>NC_000003.12:50010000-50313030 GCF_000001405.40 Homo sapiens
GCCTCAGCCTCCCATGTAGCTGGAATTACAGGCACACCACCACACCTGGCTAATTTTTGTATTTTTAGTAGAGACAGGGTTTCACCATGTTGGCCAGGCTGCTCTCGAACTCCTGACCTCAGGCAATCCACCCGTCTCGGCCTCCCAAAGTGCTGGGATTACAGGCGTGAGTGATGGCACCCAGCCAGAATAATTAGTTTTAATCTCACAGGGTGAGATTTGTGAGGTTAATTTTGTATATTAATGATGTATATATTACCAAAATCTGTGGTCAAGTGAAATTTGTGCTTAATCTTTGCAAATGCTATTTCCAAAGGAAAATATGTAGGAGAAAAGGTGGTGTATCACAGGATGTAGAGTAGTGGTTACTGGGCACAAGGGTGGCCGGGGAGTCGGGGGGTGGCAGGAGAGGATAGAGAATGATAACTGATTGATACAGGGTCTCTTTTTTGGGATGAGGAAAATATTTTAGAATTAAATAGTGAGGATGGTTGACCAAGCTTGTGCATGTACTAAAAGCCATTAAATTGTATATACTTTAAAACAGTGGATTTTATGGTATGTGAATTTTATCTCAATTTTAAAAAAAGTCTTTAAATGTAGTATGAAACTTTTTTTAAGGCCAGGCAGGGTGGCTCACACCTGTAATCCCAGCACTTTGGGAGGCTGAGGCGGGCAGATCACCTGAGGTCAGGAGTTCTAGACTAGCCTGGCCAACATGATGAAACCCTGTCTCTACCAAAAATACGAAAATTAGCCCAGCATGGTGGTGTGTTCCTGTAGTCCCAGCTACTCGGGAGGCTGAGGCAGGAGAATTGCTTGAACTCAGGAGGCAGAGGTTGCAGTGAGCTGAGATTGTACCACTGCACTCCAGCCTGGGCGACAGAGCAAGACTGTCTCAAAAAAAAAAAAAAAAAAAAAAAAGTTTTTTTAGGGTTCCAGCACAATGGGAATGAGTCCAGATCTAAAATAAAGTACAGATTCATTTACCACCCTCCACCCTACCCCAACCCCCCAAAAAGATTGTCTATCAGTTTGTCAGGAAGTTAGAGTAAAATGGTCTTAAAATGCATCAAGAGGGCTGGGCACAGTGGCTGATGCCTGTAGTTTCAGCTACTCAGGAGGCTGAGATAGGAGGATCACTTGAGCCCAGGAATTCGAGTGAGCCATGATTAGATCACTGCACTCTAGCCTGAATGACAGAGCAATACCTTGTCTCTTAAAAAAAAAAAGGCATGAAGAATTTTTTTGCTAATGGTATCTACTTACCACAGAGGAACATTTAAGCTAAACATCTGAAAGATTATGGATGGAGTTGGTAACAGGCTCCATTTGAACTGGTTATGTAGTTTATGCTCAGTAAGGTTGAACGGACTTTCTGCTTTGAGTTATTCACAGTTAAAAATAAAGGACTATTTTGAAGTAGACCGAAAATGAAAATAACATTAAGAAATCCTTGGACTAATTTTTAGGGGAGATTCCTGTAATCGGATGGTTTGTAGTTGTCAATGTAGACCTTTCCTGGTTTCCTGAAATTGCTAATCAAAGCTCAAAGCCATGGGAAAAGACTGGATTGCAGCTAGAATGTGTGCTCTCCACATATGTCTTTCTTAGAGGCCTCTTTCAAGCAGCATTGACACTATGGCTATCATCTTTGACCCTCTTAGTATACAGAGAGTTGTAGGTTTTCTTTTTTTAAGGGGGAAAACATTATTGACATAAATTATATATCATAAAAGTCACTCATTTTAACTGTACAATTCAATGATTTTTTAGTAAATTTACCAAGTTGTAACATTTATTATTATAATTAGTTTTACAACATTTTTCTTTTCTTTCTTTTTTTTTTTTTCTTTTTCTTTTTTTCTGGGACACAGGATCTTGCTCTGTTGCCCAAGCTGAGTGCAGTGGCATGACCATGGCTCACTGCAGCCTCCACCTCCCGGGCTCAAGCAATTCTCCCACCTCAACCTCCTGAGTAGCTGGAACTATAAGTTGGAACCATCGTGCCCAGCTAATTTTTTATTTTTTGTAGAGAGAAGGTCTTGCTATATTGTCCAGGTTGGTCTTGAACTTCTAAACTCAAGCAATCCTTCCTGCCTCACCTTCCCAAAGTGCTGGGATTACAGGTGTGAACCATCATGCCTGGTCTAGAACATTTTCATTACCTCAATCGGATCCCCGTTTGGGGATACATTTACATTTTTAATTTTTTAATTTTTATTTTTTTTAGAGACGAGGTCTCAATCTATTGCCAAGGTGGTCTTGAACTCCTGGTTTCAAGTGATCCTCCCACCTTGGTTTCCCGAAGTGCTGGGATTACAGGCATGAACCACCATGCCCAGTCCATTCCAATTTTTTTTTTCTTTTTTTTTGAGATAGAGCCTCACTCTGTCGCCCAGGCTGGAGTGCAGTGGCGTGATCTCAGCTCACTGCAACCTCCACCTCCCGGGTTCACGCCATTCTCCTGCCTCAGCCTCCCGAGTAGCTGGGACTACAGGTGCCTGCCACCACGCCCGGCTAAGTTTTTGTATTTGTAGTAGAGACGGGGTTTCACCGTGTTAGCCAGGATGGTCTCAATCTCCTGACCCTGTGATCCGCCCGTCTCAGCCTCCCAAAGTGCTGAGATTACAGGCGTGAGCCACCGTGCCTGGCCCATTCCAATTTTTTACAAAAGTGATTTCAGACTTATAAAAAAGCTGCAAAAATTCCTGTGTTCTTTTCACCTAGATTCTACCTTTTTTTTTTTTTTTTTTTTTGAGGCGGAGTTTTGCTCTTGTTTCCCAGGCTGGAGTGCAATGGCGCAATCTCGGCTCACCACAACCTCCCCGTCCCGGGTTCAAGCAATTCTCCTGCCTCAGCCTCCCAAGTAATTGGGATTACAGCCATGCGCCACCACGCCTGGCTAATTTTATATTTTTTAGTGGAGACCAGGTTCCTCCATGTTGGTCAGGCTGGTATTGAACTCCCGACCTCAGGTGATCTGACCACCTGGGCCTCCTAAAGTGCTGGGATTACAGGCGTGAGCCACCGTGCCAGGCCCACCCAGATTCTTCTTAGCACATTTGAATGCAGATTTTTGAATAGTTATGATCTATTCTCATTGAAAAAGGGACATCATTTGACTTGACCTCCCACCAGACTCTTCCTTTGAGGTTGGATGGAGGTGCTTAATGGATGCTGTGGATGGTGTGTGAATTTCCATTGGGTTGAGTGGATGATGTATGTGGAAGGCGATTGGGATTTACTTTGTCGGTGTCTCCAAGAGGTCCCCCACTGGGCTTTGTCAGGTGCTGGGGTTGGAGGTCAAGAAGTAGGGCAACATCTAAAGCTTCTACTCCTGGGCACTGTGAGGTTTTTATAGGTCTTTTAAAAAAAACAGTGAATAGGCCGAACGCGGTGGCTCACACCTGTAATCCCAGCACTTTCAGAGGCCGAGGGAGGCGGATCACGAGGTCAAGAGATCAAGACCATCCTGGCCTCGTGGTGAAACCCCATCTCTACTAAAAATACAAAAATTAGCTGGGCATGGTGGCACATGTCTGTAGTCCCAGCTACTCGGGAGGCTGGAGCAGGATAATCGCTTGAACCCTGGAGGTGGAGGTTGCAGTGAGCCCAGATTTCACCACTGCACTCCAGCCTGGCGACAGCGAGGCTCTGTCTCAAAAATATGTTCTTCCATGAGACAGCGGGCATTTGGATGCCTGATACAAAAAGAGGAGGGACTATGTGCTAGTCAGCTTTAGACTGAGAAGCAGCAGCAACCATGGCAAAGGGGAAGCAAACTTTCCTGAGTGGCCTTAATAATGTTATTCGTCAGGCAGTGGCTCTTAAACAGGGGCTTCAAGCAGTGATTTTTGACATGCTCTTCTCCTCCCCAACCACTGGACATTTGGCAATGTCTGGAGACATTTTTGGTTGTCACCACTGGGAGAGGGTGCTACTGGTATCTAGTGAATAGAGCCAGGGATGCTGCTAAACATCCTACAGTGCAAAGGGCAGCTCTCCACACAAAGAATCATCTGGCCCAAAAATCTCTATTGCTGAGGTTGAAAAATACTGGTGTAAGGAGACAAGAGTTGTGGTTAGTCAGAAAGGATGACCTGGCTTGCCGTGGATTGTCTTATAATAATCAGTTATCTCTTTCCTTGCCTTATTCCTGGTCCCAACAGAGTGAGGATTGGCAAGGGGGTTTGGGAATATAGTGGGAATGCTGTGTAGTGAGAGTGCAGGCACGGCACTCCAGACTACCAGTCACGAGCTTAGCCTGTGTCCTTGGGGTAGGAGCTGTAGAATAAGACCTATTTTGATATGTGGACCAGAATAAGTTCTTTAAATAATCAAAGGTAATAAACATTCTTAAAATATACTATCACTAAGGTAGTCTGTCATCCAGCAGAATGAGGGAGTAGTCAGAAGATTACACATATTTGGCAGCAATTACTAGAAAAAACAAACAAGTTGAGAGTTTTCAAAATAGATGTTACTTCATATTTCAGATAGTTTTCCAGGGAATATTGAAAATGCAAGTGCAGATTTTCACATCCTTCTTTATACTGATTAAAACATTTGAATCTATTGGATCATCTTTTCATTAGGCTTTACTTCACAGGGCCATCTACTGGATCCTGTATGCTGATATAGTTAAGGGGACTGACCTCAAAGTAAAAGATGCATATATTTTATCTTAATACAATATCACTTTGCTGTGAAGGGGAGCTGCTGTGTATATAGAATGCTGTGTAATAGTGATTGGGCTGTTGGGAATCACATTGGAAATATCAGTAAGCAACTCATTTTAACTTTTGTTAACACAGTTAAGTGCTGAGCACCTCTTGTGTTTGAAGCTCTGTGCTAGGTAATATGTGTTCATTAATGAATGAAAAAACAATACAAAAATTAGCCAGGCATGGTGGCGTACACCTGCAGTCCCAGCTACTCAGGAGGCTGAGGCACAAGAATTGCTTGAACCCAGAAGGTGGAGGTTGCGGTGAGCCGAGATCACGCCACTGTACTCCAGCCTGGCCAACAGAGTGAGACTGTCTCAAAAAAAAAAAAAAAAAAAAAAAAAGTTTTTTATTTTTAAATTTTTTGTTTTATTTCTTTTTTACTTTTTTTTCTTTTGAGACAGAGTCACGCTCTGTCACCCAAGCTGGAGTGCAGTAGCACCATCTTGGCTCACTGCAACCCCCCGCCTGCCAGGTTCAAGTGGTTGTCCTGCTTCAGCCTCCCAAGTAGCTGGGACTACAGGTACCCACCACCACGCCCGGCTAATTTTTGTATTTTTAGCAGAGGCGGGGTTTCACCATATTGGCCAGGCTGGTCTCAAACTCCTGACCTTATGGTCTGCCCGCCTCAGCCTCCCAAAGTGCTGGGATTACAAGCATGAGCCACTGTGCCTGGCAAAATTTTTATTTTATTATTATTATTATTTTTTTTTTTTTTTTTGAGATGGAGCCTCGCTCTGTTGCCCAGGCTGGAGTGCAGTGGCGCGATCTCGGATCACTGCAAGCTCCGCCTCCTGGGTTCATGCCATTCTCCTGCCTCAGCCTCCTGAGTAGCTGGGACTACAGGCGCGTGCCACCACGCCCGGCTAATTTTTTGAATTTTTTTAGTAGAGGCGGGGTTTCACCATGTTAGCCAGGATGGTCTCCATCTCCTGACCTCGTGATCCACCTGCCTCAGCCTCCCAAAGTGCTGGGATTACAGGCGTGAGCCACCGCTCCCGGCCAATTTTTATTTTATTTTTAATTGATAATTGTACATGTTTATGGAGTACCCATGTTATGATACATGTGCACATTGTAGAATAATTTTTAATTGATAATTGTATACGTTTATGGAGTACCCACGTTATGATACATGTGTACATTGTAGAATGATTGAATCAGACTAGTTAACATATCCATCACCTCATGTAGTTATTTCTTTGTAGTGAGAACATTTAAAATCTCTTTTAGCAATTTTGAAATAGATACAATACATTGTTATTAACTATAGTCACCATGCTGTGCAATAGATAACTAAAACTTCTTCCTCCTGTCTGACTGAAACTTTATACTCTTTGACTAACATTCTCCCGTTCTCCTCCACCCGCCTTCTCCACCCACGGCCTCTGGTAAACCACCATTCTGCTCTCTACTTCTGTCTGAATATTTGATTTTTTTAGATTGCACATGTGAGATCATGCAGTATTTGTCTTTCTGTACCTAGTTTATAATACACTTAGCTAAGTGTCCTTCATGTTTTTCCACATGTCGCAAATGGCAGAATTTCCTTCTTTTTTAAGGCCAAATAGTATTTCATTGTGCTTACATACCACATTTTCATTATCCATTCATTCATTGATGGGCAATGGATGAATGGATATCATGGCTATTGTGAATAGTACTGCAGTGAACATGGGAATGCAGGTATCTCTCAGACATAATGATTTCAGTTTCATTGGATATATACTGTACCCAAAAGTGGGACTGCTAGATCATATGGTGATTCTCGTTTTAGTTTTTTTTTTTTTAAGAACCTCCATACAGTTTCCAAAATATCTGTACTAATTTACATTCCCACAGTGTAAAGGGTTCCCTTTTCTCCATATCCTCACTAACACTTGTTACCGTTCATCTTTTTTATAGTAACCATGCTAACAAGTATGAGGTGACATCTCATTATGGTTTTGTTTGTTTGTTTGAGACAGTGTCTTGCTGCATCACACAGGCTGGAGTTCAGTGGCGTGATCCCAGCTCATTTGCAGCCTTAACTTCCTGCACTCAAGCAGTCCTCCCACCTCAGCCTCCCAGGTAGCTGGTGTGTCACCATGCCTAGCGTTTTTTTTTTTTTTTTTTTGAGACAGAGTCTCGCTGTGTTGCCCAGGCTGGAGTGCAGTGGTATGACCTCGGCTTACTGCAATCTCTGCCTCCCGGGTTCAAGTAATTCTCATGCCTCAGCCTCCTGAGTAGTTGAGATTACAGGCATGTGCCACCACACCCAGTTAACTTTTGTATTTTTAGTAGAGATGAGGTTTCATTATGTTGTCCGGGCTGGTCTTGAACTCCTAGGCTCAAGTGATCCTCCCACCTTGGTTTCTGAAAGTGCTGGGATTACCAGCATGAACCACTATGCCCAGCTCCTTATGGTTTTAATTTGTAATTCTCTGATAATTATTGATGTTGAACATTTTGTCATATATTTTTTGGCAATTTTTTTTCTTCTTTTAAAAATTTTGTTTTTAGCCATAAGGCCAGGAATGCACGTATGTCTTCTTTCAAGAAATGTCTGGGCTGGGCACAGTGGCTCACGCCTGTAATCCCAACACTTTGGGAGGCCGAGGCGGGTGGATCACGAGGTCAGGAGATCGAGACCATCCTGGCTAACATGGTGAAACCCCGTTTCTACTAAAAATACAAAAAAATTAGCTGGGTGTGGTGGTGGGCGCCTGAAGTCCCAGCTATGTGGGAGGCTGAGGCAGGAGAATGGCGTGAACCCAGGAGGTGGAGCGTGCAGTGAGCCAAGATCGCGCCACTGCACTCCAGCCTGGGCGACAGAGCAAGACTCTGTCTCAAAAAAAAAAAAAAGAAAAAGAAAAAAAAATGTCTATTCAGGTCCTTTGCCCATTTTTTAATAGGGTTATTTGTTTTCATTATTGAGTAGTTTGAGTTCTTTGTACATTTTGGATATTAGCCCTTTATCAGATGGAAGATTTGTAAGTATTTTCTCTCAATCTGTGCATTGTTTCTTCACTTTGTTAATTGTTTCCTTGCTTTGCAGAAGCTTTTTAGTTTGACGCAATTCCATTTGTCTGTTTTTGCTTTTGTTGCCTGGCCTTTGGGGGTCATGCACAAGAAATCATTGCCTAGACCAGTGTTGTGGAGCTTTCCAACTATAGTTTCTTCTAGTAGTTTTACAATTTCTGTTCTTACATGAAGCTATGAACAGTTCCTGTATAGTTATCCCTGCCACCCTTCTCCCAACATTACATACACAGCCTCCCCAACTATCAGCATCCTGCAGTGTAGTGTATATGTTACAATCAGTGAAGCAACATTGATACATCATTATCAAGGGTTCACTCTGGGTGTTGTACCTTCTATGGGTTTCCACAAATGTATGTCATATATCCACCATTATAGTATCATACAGAATAGTTTCATTGCCCTAGAAACCCTCTTTTCTCCACCTGTTTGTTCTTTCCTCTTGCAAACCCCTGCAACCACTGAACTTTTTATTGTCCGTGTAGTTTTGCCTTTTGCAGAATTTTATATAGTTGGAATTGGACAATATGTAGCCTTTTCAGATTGGCTTCTTTCATTTAGTAGTACATTTCTCTATGTAGTCTCATTCCTCTATGTCTTTTTGTGGTTTGATAGCTCATTTCTTTTTAGCACTGAATAATATCCCATTGTATGGATATATCACAGTTTATTCATTCACCTACTAAATGACATTTTGGTTGCTTCCATGTTTTGACAGTTACGAATAAAGCTGCAATAAATATCCATATGCATGTTTTTGTACGGACATACGTTTTCAACTAGTTTGGGTAAATACAAGGGGCATGATTACTGGATCGTATGGTAGGAGTGTGTTTTTTTTTTTTTTTTTTTTTTTTTTTTTTGACACGGAGCCTTGCTCTGTCACCAGCTGGAGTGCAGTGGTGCGATCTCGGTTCATTGCAACCTCTGCCTCCCAGGTTCAAGTGATTCTTCTGCCTCAGCCTCCCAAGTAGCTGGGACTACAGGTGCATGACCATGCCCAGCTAATTTTTTGTATTTTTAGTAGAGACAGGGTTTCAACATGTTGGCCAGGATGGTCTTGATCTTGTGACCTCGTGATTCGTCCACCTCGGCCTCCCAAAGTGTTGGGATTACAGGCGTAAGCCACTGCACCCAGCCTGTAGAGTATGTTTAATTTTGTAAGAAACTGTCAAACAGTTTTTCCAAAGTAGCGATTACAATTTGCATTGCTACCAGCAATGAATTAGAGTTCTGTTGCTCTGTATCCTTGCCAGCATTTGGATGGTAGCCATTTTTATTTTTATTTATTTATTTTTTTTTTTTGAGACAAGGTCTTGCTCTTTCACCCAGGCTGGAGTACAGTTGGACGATCTCAGCTCACTGCAGCCTCCGCCTCCCAGGTTCAAGTTATTCTCCTGCCTCAGCGTTCTGCATAGCTGGGATTACAGGCACGCACCACCACACCCAGCTAATTTTTGTATTTTTAGTTTCACCATGTTGGCTAAGATGGTCTTGAACTCCTGACCTTAGGTGATCTGCCCCGCCTTGGCCTCCTGAATTGCTGGGATTACAGGCATGAGCCACCATGCCTGGCCTCCTTTGGGTATTTCTATTGGACAGTCATGTCATTCATGAATAAAGACAATTTTATTTCTTCCTTTCTAATCCATATACCTTTTATGTCCTTTTCTTGGCTTATTGCACTAGCTAGGATTTCTAGTACAATGCTGAAAGGAGCTGTCTTTCTCTTCTTTTCTCTCCTTTCCTTGCCTTTTCCTTTTCTTCTTTTTCTTTCTTTTCTTCCTATAGAGATAGGGTCTCGCTATGTTGCCAAAACTGGTCTCCAGCTCTTGGGCCCAGGTGATCCTCCCACCTCAGCCTCCCAAAGTGCTGGGATTACAGGTGTGAGCCACCACACCTAGCTGAAAAGGAGCTGTTGAGAATACATCCTTGTCTTGTTCCTGATGTTAGTGGGAAGAAAGCATCTAGTCTCTCACCATAAGTGTGATGTTAGCTATAGGTTTATCAAGTTGAGGAGGTTCCCCTCTGTTCCTAGTTTGCTGAGAGGTTTTTTTTTTTAAATCATGAAAGGGGATTGGATTTTTGTCAAATGATTTTTCTGCATCTATTGGTATGTTCATGTTAATTTCTTCTTCAGCATGTCGATGTGATGGATTACATTAATTGATTTTTTTTTTTTTTTTTAGATGCAGGGTCTCACTCTGTTGCCCAGGCTAGAGTGCAGTGGCACAATCACAGCTCACTATAACCTCAAGTTCCTCAGCTCAAGCAACTTTCCCATCTCAGCTTTCCAAGTAGCTAGGACTACAGGCACATACCACCATACCCATCTAGTTTTTTAAAACATTATTTGTAAAGATGAAGTCTCTCTATTTTGTCCAGGCTGGTCTGGAACTCCTGGGCGGGCTCAAGCAGTCTTCACCTTGGCCTCCCAATTTGTTTGGATTACAGGTGTGAGCCACTATGCCCAGCCTCATTTTTGTTATTAGTAATTTGTATCTTCTTTCTTTTTTTCTTAGACTGGTTAAATGTTTATCAATTTTATTGATCTTTTCAAAGAACCAACTTTTGGTTTCACTGATTTATCTCTATTGATTTACTGTTTTCAATTTCATTGACTTCAGCTCTAATTTTTATTATTTTCTTCTGCTTACTTTTGATTTAATTTGCTCTTTTACTGGTTTCCTAAAGTGGAAGCTCAGATTATTGATTTTTAGATTTTTCTTCTCTTTTAATATATGCATTCAGTGCTATAAATTTCCCTCTCAGCACTGCTTTTTGTGTATCGCACAAATTTTGATAAGTTGTGTTTTTCATTATCGTTTACAGTTGTGTGTTAATCCCCATACAGTTAATGATGGGGATAAATTCTGAGAAATGCACTCTTAGGCAATTTTGTCTTTGTGCAAATACCATGGAGTGTACATACACAAACCTAAATGGTATAGCCTGCTACCCACCTAGGCTATATCATTTAGCCTATTGCTCCTTAACTGCAAACCTGTACAACTTGTTACCATATTGTATATGATAGGCAGTTGTGACACAGTAGTATCTAAAGATAGAAACGGTACAGTGAAAATACAGTATTTCAGTATTTTGGGACCACCATCATATATGCAAGCCCATTGTTGACTGAGATGTCATTATACAGCATCTGACCATAATTCGGAATATTTTTAAATTCCTCTTGAGATTTCTTCTTTAGCTTGTGTGTTATTTAGAAGTATGTTTTTAAATCTCCATATACTTTGGGATTTTTACAACTATATTACTGTTACTGACTTCTAGTTTAATTCTATTGTGATCTGAGAGCATATATTATTTTTTCTGTCATTTTAAACTGGAAAAGGTATGTTTTATGGCCCATAATGTGCTGCGTGAGCTTGAAGAGAATATGTAGTTCGCTGTTGCTGGATGAAATAGTCTACAAATGTTGATTAGATTGCTGCTGTTATTTTGATGCGTATCCTTCCAGATTTTTCTATGCATGTATCATCTATCTGTGTATCTATCTGTAGGATAGGAGAGTCTTGTACAAATGGTTTTATAACTCTTTAACTTCAAATATTGTGGACTTACTTCCTTGTCATTAAATACATTTAAGGCTGGGTGCAGTGGCTCATACCTGTAATCCTAGCACTTTGGGAGGCCGAAACAGGCAGATCACCTGAGGTCAGGAGTTTGAGACCAGCCTAGCCAACATGTTGAAACCCCGTCTCTACTAAAAATACAAAAATTAGCTGGGTGTGGTGGCACACGCCTGTAATCCCAGCTGCTCAAGAGGCTGAGGCACGAAAATCGGTTGAACCCAAGGAGGCGGAGGTTGCGGTGAACCAAGATTGCGCCAGTGCACTCCAGCCTGGGTGACAGAGCAAAACTTTGTCTCTAAATAAATAAATAAACAAATAAAATACATACCTATGTACATACATACATTTTAAGAATCATTTTGATATATTCATCTCCATACTGAGGAATTTAAGTGCTTTTTTTTTTTTTTTTTTTTTTTTTTTTTTGAGACAGAGTCTCACTTTGTTGCCCAGGCTGGAGTGTGGCGGCACGATCTTGGCTCACTGCAACCTCTCTACCTCCTGGGTTCAGGAAATTCTCCTGCCTAGCCGGGTGAGATTTCCTCTTTAGCTTGTGTGTTATTTAGAAGCATGTTTTTGTACCTATCGTAGCTTCTCTAGAGAAGGGAGGTAGGAGAATCGCTTGAGCCCGGGAGGTCAAGGCTGCAGTGACTGACCCATGACCATGCCACTGCACTGTAGCCTGGGTGACAGAGTGAGCCCCTGTCTCAAAAAGGAAAAAAAAGAAATCAGCATATTTTATGACTTAATAAATGTATTCAAATTCCATCCAGATATTTCCTAATTTATTATTTTACTAACAGTGTTTGAGAGCACTTGTCTCCCCTGCCTTCCAACCAGTGTCAAGTGTATTTTAACAAAATACTTGTATTGGGTAGTAGTACATGGTTGGTTGTTACTCTCTAATCGCCTGTTGTGTTTGAAATATTTAATAATTTTTTTAATGTTGCTAGTGTAGTGAAGAAGATAATGATTTAGTTTTTCTTCTTTCTTTTTTTTTTTTGAGATGGAGTTTCACCCTTGTTGCCCAGGCTAGAGTGCAATGGTGCGATCTCAGCTCACCAAAACCTCTGCCTCCCGGGTTCAAGTGATTCTCCTGCCTCAGCTTCCCGAGTAGCTGGGATTATAGGCTCATGTCACCACGCCTGGCTAATTTTGTATTTTTAGTAGAGACAGGGTTTCTCCATGTTGGTCAGGCTGGTCGCGAACTCCCGATCTTAGGTGATCTGCCTACTTTGGCCTCCCAAAGTGCTGGGATTACAGGCGTGAGCCACCGCACCTGACAAATGATGTAGTTTTTCTCCCTTAGGTTATTAGTAGGCAGAATAGTTTTACATTTGATTATTAGTTATTCATATTTCTTTTGTGACTTGTTGGTTCTTAATATATCTATTCAGCCAAAAATGAAAAATAGGATATCTTAGCCTGTCTAGTCTTAAGGTAAATATATGTGGGATATAAGGGAGTTTGGGGGCTGGGCGCAGTGACTCACACCTGTAATCCCAGCACGTTGGGAAGCTGAGGTGGGCTGATCACTTGAGCCCAGGAGTTCAAGACCAGCCTGGGCAATGTAGCAAAACCCCATCTCTACCAAAAGTACAAAAATTAGCCAGGTACAGTGGCACATACCTGTATTCCCAGCTACTAGGGAGGCTGAGATGGAAGGATAGCTTGAGCCCAAGAGGTTGAGGCTGCAGTGAGCTATAAGCATGCCCCACTACATTCCAGCCTGGGTGACAGAGCGAGACCCTGTCTCAAAAAAAAGATTTTTTTGAAAAGTTGAAAATGAGTATATTCGCTGAATACGAGATGAGTTTTCCCAAGAATTTATCCCTCAGAATCTTTCACGTTCTTCCTCCTCCTTCTCCTCCTCCTGCTTTCTTCTTCTTCTTTCTTCTTTTTCTGTTTCTTCTTCTTGCTTTTATAAAGTCTTAGCTCCTGTGGAGTTTTCTCTCAGTTACTTCTTATTTATTTATTTGAGACAGAGTTTCACTCTTGTTGCCCAGGCTGGAGTACAGTGGCGCGATCTCGGCTGACTGCAACCTCCGCCTCCTGGGTTCAAGCTATTCTCCTGTTTCAGCATCCCAAGTAGCTGGGATTACAGGTGCCTGCCACCACACCTGACTAATTTCTGTTACTTCTTTTGAGCCACAAAGTATTTGAAAAAGATGCATTAAGTAGTGACCGCAGTCCGTGCTAGTATTGGGTGCTTACAGAGGTCTAGTAGAATACCGTGTTTTAAAAGGAGGTGAATTTAATAATTGCTGTGATTACTCTGGCATTATACGCTCACAAATAAAATGTTTGGTGATTTTTTTTTTTTTTTTTTTTGGAGACAGATTCTTGCTCTGTCACCCAGGCTGTGCAATGATGTGATCTCAGCTTACTGCAACCTCCGAGTTCAAGTGATTCTCGTGCCTCAGCCTCTCGAGTAGCTGGGATTACAGGCACCCGCCATCATGCCTGGCTAATTTTTGTATTTTTGTAGAGATGGGGTTTCACCATGTTGGCCAGGCTGGTCTTGAACTCCTGACTTCAGGTGATCCACCCATCTCAGCCTCCCAAAGTGCTGGGATTACAGGTGTGAGCCACTGCTCCCAGCCGGGTGTGATATTTTTAATAAAACAAGTATTCAAATTCACTTACAGGACCAATGAAAGAATCGTTTGTCGTAATTTTATGCCAAAGGGTACTTGTGGCTTAAGATAAACTTCCCATAATGACATTATCCACAGATTCAAAAAGTAGTTTATCTTAAACAACTTCTGTGACATTTTAAAATGATGTGGCTTAGAAAATTGCTAGGTTATCTAAAATGGCTCTATTGATGATGTAAATGTAGCACATGAAGAGCTTGAATAAAATAGACTTTTGAAGTGTGCAAATGGAAAGAACAGTCCTTCTAAATAATTATTTCCCCTCCCTTTTATTGACGTATACATACAGAAAAGATATCATGTCGTAAGTGTATTGCTTAGTGAATTACTCCAAAGTTGGATATACCTGGTTAACCACCACCTGAATGAAAAAAACAGAACACTGCTTCATATGGAGAAGCCCCTCCTGCCCCTCCTGGTCATTGTCCTTTTCATCCCTCCCACAGGTAGTCACTGAGTTCTAATACCACAGAGTCTTTTGACTTTCTTTTGAGCCTTATGTAATTAGAATCACAAAAGATGTATTCTTTTGCCTGACTTTTATACTTAGTATTGTTTTTGAAATTCATCTTGTGTGTAACTGCGATTTGTTCATTTTCATTGCTTAGTGAATTATTCCAAAGTTGGATATACCTGGTTAACCACCACCCGAATGAAAAAAACAGTTTTTGGCCGGGCACGATGGCTCACGCCTGTTATCCCAGCACTTTGGGAGGCTGAAGCGTGCAGATTACGAGGTCAGGAGATCAAGACCATCCTGGCTAACACGGTGAAACCCCGTCTCTACTAAAAATACAAAAAATTAGCTGGGCGTGGTGACGGGCCCCTGTAGTCCCAGCTACTCAGGAGGCTGAGGCAGGACACCTGTAATCCCAGCTACTTGAGATGCTGAAACAGGAGAGTGGCGTGAACTTGGGAGATGGAGCTTGCAGTGAGCCGAGATTGCGCCACTGCACTCCAGCCTGGGCGACAGAGCAAGACTCCGTCTCAAAAAACAAAAAACAAAAAACAAGAAAACAGTTTTCCAGTCTAAGAATGTATTACAATTTATTCAAATTCCACTCTAGATGGACTGTGGGTTTTTTTTTTTCCCCCATTTGGAGCTATGGCAAATGATGTTTTTTCAAAGTTGTTATTTCTCAGCCAGGCGCGGTGGCTCACGCCTGTAATCCCAGTACTTTGGGAGACTGAGGTGGGCAGATCACCTGAGGTCAGAAGCAAGACCAGCCTGGCTAACATGGCGAAACCCCGTCTTTTCTAAAAATACAAAAATTAGCCAGGTGTGGTGATGGGCACCTGTAATCCCAGCTACACAGGAGGCTGAGGCAGGATAATCACTTGAACCCAGGAGGTAGAGGTTGCAGTGAGCTGAGATCACACCACTGCACTCCAGCCTGGGTGACAGAGCGAGACTCTATCTCAAAAAAGAAAACAAAACACCACGGAATTGTTATTTCTCTTGGCGAATAGGTAGATGCACTTATTCCTGTTAATATATACCTACCTGTGAATGTGCTTGTTGGATTTTCTATGTATCTTCTGTCTGCCACCTAGAAATTTAACCTTTTATATATATACAACTTTAATTTTTTTTTTTTTTTTTTTAAGAGACAGGGTGTCACTATGTTGCCCAGGCTGGTTGGGAACTCCTGGCCTTAAGCCGTCCTCCTGCTTCAGTCTCCCAAAGTGTTGGGAATATAGGCGTGAGCCACTGTGCCCCACTGTTCAAGTTTTCATTGATTGCTGCCTACATATAGTTGTTCAACAGCTATTGATTCCCCCTGCTCTGTATATATGTCTCCTAGTGTAGGTATCAGGGTTACAGCAGTAATTAAGACCACATTATTTCATTTTATCATTTAAATATATAAGACTAATTGATAAATTAAGTATAGAACTTTGACCAACATGGTGAAACCCCATCTCTACTAGAAATACAAAAATTAGCTGGGTGTGGTGGCAGACGCCTGTAATCCCAGCTACTCAGGAGGCCGAGGCAGAACTGCTTGGAGATGGAGGTTGCAGTGAACCAATATCAGACCACTATACTCCAGCTTGGATGACAGAGGGAGACTTTGTCTCTTTTTTTTTTTCTTTTTTTTTGAGACGGAATCTCGCCGTCTTCCAGGCTGGAGTGCAGTGGCACGATCTCGGCTCACTGCAGCCTCCGCCTCCCGGGTTCAAGCGATTCTTCTACCTCAGCCTTCCGAGTAGCTGGGATTACAGGCACCCACCACCATGCCCGGCTAATTTTTGTATTTTTAGTAGACAGGGTTTCACCATGTTGGCCAGGCTGGTCTCAAACCCCTGACCTCAAGGGATCAACCTGCTTTGGTCTCCCAAAGTGCTAGGATTATAGGCGTGAGCCACTGTGCCCGGCCCTTTTTTTTTTTTTTGGAGACAGAATTTCGCCCAGTTGCCAGACTGGAGTGCAGTGGCACGATCTCAGCTCACTGCAACCTCTGCTTCATGGGTTCAAGCCATTTTCCTGCCTCAGCCTCCCAAATAGCTGGGACTACAGGCATGCACCACCACGTCTGGCTAATTTTTTGTATTTTTAGTAAAGCCAGAGTCCCAAAGTGCTGGGACTAGGCAGGCGTGAACCACCACGCCTGGCCAAGACTCTGTCTCTCAAAAAAAAAAAAAAGAAAAAAAAATATAGGACTTTGGGAGGCCGAGGCAGGCAGATCACCTGAGGTCAAAAGTTTGAGACCAGCCTGACTAACATGGTGAATCCCCATATCTACCAAAAAATACAAAAATTAGGCAGGTGTGGTGGCGTGCACCTGTAGTCCCAGCTATTGGGGAAGCCGAGGTGGGAGATTGTACCTGGGAGGCAGTGAGCAGAGATCGCACCACTGCACTCCAGCCTGGGTGACAGAGTGAGACCTTGTCTCACCAAAAAAAAAAAAAAAAAAAAAATAGCATAGGTAGGCATTTGATGATTTGATGATTTCATTCGCATCCCTAAAAGTTTATTTGTTCCTGGGTCGTCAGATAGCTTTTTGGCCATCTTCCTGTTGAGAAAATTGATGTACCCTTCTGGAGTCCTCCAATTTTCCATTATAATATGGTAAGTGGGAGCTAGAGCTTTGGGTAAGAATTGGGATGTGATAAGGAGGATGAGTTTTGCAGTGGTGTGCATGGTTAGGAGGAGAAAAAGCTGGAGGCAGAGTGTTCACTTAGAGGCTTGGGGTAGGAGGGGTAGGTTTAAGTGGTGCTCATCTGGGCCAGAATAGGGCAAAAAGGGAAGAATGAAATAACCAGATGTCTTTGCTTTGTCAGTAGTCTTGCAGCCCTGAAAGCTTTTTTTGTTGTGTTATATTTGTTGTAATTGAGGTATAATCCACATAACATAAAACTTACCTCTTTCAAGTGTACAATTTAGTAGTTTTTAGTATATTCATAAAATTGTGCAACTATCACCACTGATACCAGAACATTTCTGGGAACAAAAAGAAACTATATATCCATTAAGAGTCACTCTCCATTTTCTCCTACTTCCTTCTCTACCCCCAGTCATCTGCTAGTCGGCTTTCTGTCTCTATAGATTTGCCTGCTCTGGATATTTCATATAAATGGAATCATATACCATATGGTCTTTTGTGACTGGCTTCTTTTACTTAGCCTAATGTTTTTAAGGTTCATCCATGTTATATGAATCAGTACTTAAATCATTTATAGGGTTGAATAATATTCCATCATATGGATATACCACATTGTCTTTATCTGCTCATTAATTGGTAGACATTTAGGTTGTTTCCACTTTTGTTTATTATGAATAATACTATTCACATTCATGTACAAGGTTTTGTGTGGACACATTTTCAGTTCTCTTCGATATATACCAAAGAGCCACAATGCTAAAACTTCCAGCTTTTTACCAGCTATCCCCAGATGCGTAGCCTAGTAAGCCCCATGTTGGAGTGGTGTAGTGTTGAAAACATGGCATACTCATACATTAGATAACCAGGTTTCAATTCTGGTTTGGAAGCCTTTGGATATTTGCATTACCCATTTGAATTCTCTCTTGGGCTGTGTTTGGTTTGGGGTTTTGTACTTGTTTTTTTTTTTTTAACTAGATGTTTTGAGGCACTTGGTACTGTGGACATGTGTCAGTCTTAAATATTTGGGTTTTGAGCATATCAAGGGCTTGGTTTGCAGTTGACAGTTGAATAGCAGTCTTCTTCCTTCCATTCCTTACAGATTCTCCTGTTCAGAGTCAACCATTGAATAGCATATTTATTGTTTCTGCCTGTGTGTCTGTTAGTGCTCATATGGTCTAGTTCCTGAGTTAAGAAGTATAGGGTAGTGGTCATCTTTTTTCTTTGACTTGATTCCTGCGTACTGTGAATGCAGAGCAATGCAGGATATGTTGGGTTTTCTACAAACAGAGCATCAGCCCAGAGACATGTTTGCATTTGTTTCTGTCAGGTTTCCTGGCTCAACTGGCACCCTTTAAGGCCAGAGAACGTTAGTTTAGGCACTTTTCCTAGTAAAATACTTCTTGTGGCTCTTCCTGTGTACTTGGAATAAAGGAGGCATTCCATTGTTAGACATGCTTGGGTAGTTCAGGGTAATCTTAGAGTCATGAGAGATATGATATAAAGGAATAACTAGCTAAACCAGAAAAAATGCCTGGGTAATGACTAGCAAATAGGTGGTCAACAGATGTCCTCATTAGATTGAAAGGTCCATGAAAGCAGGGACTATTTCTTTTCTTTACTGCTTAAAAAGGTTAGAACTGGACCTGGCAACATATGATGAGCTAAATAAATACATATTTGTGAATTGGGTTAACACATATTGCATAAAGTGGTTTTGGCTCTGTTTTATTCTTCATAAGCCCTAGTGATCTTTTTAATTTCTGTAAAATGTGGTCTTGACCCCCCCAACCCAAGTGACCTCCTTATTTGCTAGGCTCTGATATTTCTGTTAGGTTTCTACTGTATTTTCTGAGATAGCAATTAGTAGATACTATTTCTCCTTTGATGGAGCTAGCCATATATTCTTGTTTGTTCATTTTAGCTTTCAAATTTCTGTCTGATTCTTGTTCTTTTACTCTGGAATGTAGTGAATGGAATGACTTGGAAGGTACAAGGTAGGTCAGTTTAGGTTGTCTAGGGCCTTGCATTTAAAAGTTTAATTTGATGACATGGTGGATTACAAGAATGTAACAGTATCAAAATGATACTATCTTCTTGTGGTGGTATGTAGACTTAAAAAGAGAAACTGCAGAGAAAAGGGTCCCTTAGGATGTAGAGCAGCAGTTGATATGTGAGAAGTTGATGCCTTGCATTAGGGATTAGGAGTAGATGTGGAAGGAAGAGATCAGGTTTGAAAGAGTTTAAACAAAGAATCTCTAGGATTTGATAACACTGGATATCAGAGGGGAAGGTACAAGAGAGAGGGCAGAATCAAAGGCCACTCAGAGGTTAAAGGAATCATACCGGTTTGGCATGGTGGCTCACGCCTGTCATCCCAGCACTTTGGGAGGCTGAGGCGGGCAGATCACGAGGTCAGGAGTTCGAGACCAGCCTAGCCAATATGGCGAAACCCCGTCTCTACTAAAAATACAAAAATTAGCTGGGCGTGGTGGCGTGTACCTGTAGGCCCAGCTACTCAGGAGACTGAGGCAGAAGAATCACTTGAACCCAGGAGGCAGAGGTTGCAGTGAGCCGAGATCGTGCCACTGCACTCCAGCCAGGGCGACAGAGCGAGACTCTGTCTCAAAAAATAATAATAATAATAAATAAATAAAGGAGTAATTCCAACACTTGGGAGGCCGAGGCAGGAGGATTGCTTGAGCCCAGGAGTTCAAGACCAGCCTGGGCAACATAGTAAAACCTCATCGCTATAAAAATTTTTTAAAAAGAAATTTAGCCAGGCATGGTGGTGTGCCCCTGTAGTTCCCATTACTAGAGAGGTTGAGGTGGAAGGATCTCTTGAACCCAAGAGGTCGAGAGTACAGTGAGCCATGATGCACCAGGGCACTCCAGCATGGGCAACAGAGTGAGACTTTGGGAGGCCATGGCAGAAGGATTGCTTGAGCCCAGGAGTTCGAGACCAGCCTGGGCAATGTAGTGGGACCTTGTCTCTATAAAAATTTTACAAATATATATAAAAGCTGGGCATGGGGGCACGTGCCTGTAGTCCCAGTGACTGGTGGGTGGGGCGGGGGTGAGGTGGGAGAATCACTTGGGCCCAGGAAGTCGAGATTGCAGTGAGCCATGATCATGCCACTGCTCTCTAGCCTGGGTGACAGAGTGAGACTCTTTTTGTCTTAAAAAAAAAAAAAAAAAAAAAAAAAAATGGTTGTACCTTGAACAGATACAAAGCATGTAGAAGAGGAAAGCATTTGGGAGGGAGAATAATTGGTTGGATACATTAAGTGTCAAGTGACAGTAGGACCTCTAGAAATACACAAACAGAGCTCCACAGGTTTTTTCATTGTCATTTCTTATACCTTTTGTTCCACTACCTACTTTTTTCCTACAACTTTCTGTTTATTTTATAGTTTATGAATTTTAAGCAAAATACTTCCTTCTGCCTCTTACCAGTAATTTTCAAAAGCGTCTGTATTGGTTAGGATTAGATTTGGCTGGGAATGACAGAAAACTAAAAATAAAAGCAGTTTAAACAAGTTTATTTCTCTCTAATGCAAATGAAGTTTGAGCTGTCCAGGCTTTCTTATGGTGGTTTGGTCATGATCAGGGACCCAGGTTCTTTCAACCATGTAGCCCCATCTTAACATGTGATTTCTATCTTATTGTTCAAGATGGCTATTTGAGTGTCAGTTATCAGTTTTATTTAGCAACCAATGGGAAGGAAGGGGGATGAAAATGGGCCCTGTCTTTAAGGATACTTCCTGGACATAGTGAGTAGAAGGATGGTTACCAGAGTATGGGAAGGGTAGTTAGGGGGCTGGGGGGAAGGTGGGAATGGTAAAGGGGTATAAAAAAGGTAGAATGAGTAAGACCATCAGAGAAATGCAAATCAAAACCACAATGATATAGGTGGCTCACGCCTATATGTATCTCACACCAGTTAGAATAGTGATCAGTAAAAAGCCAGGAAACAACAGGTGCTGGAGAGGATGTGGAGAAACAGGAACACTTTTACACTGTTGGTGGGACTGTAAACTAGTTCAGCCATTGTGGAAGACAGTGTGGCGATTCCTCAAGGATCTAGAACTAGAAATACCATTTGACCCAGCCATCCCATTACTGGGTATATACCCAAAGGATTATAAATCATGCTGCTATAAAGACACATGCACATGTATGTTTATTGCGGCACTATTCACAATAGCAAAGACTTGGAACCAATCCAAATGTCCATCAATGATAGACTGGATTAAGAAAATGTGGCACATATACACCATGGAATACTATGCAGCAATAAAAAAGGATGAGTTCATGTCCTTTGTAGGGACATGGATGAAGCTGTAAACCATCATTCTGAGCAAACTATCTAAGGGCAGAAAACCGGACACCACATGTTCTCACTTATACGTGGGAATTGAACAATGAGAACACTTGGACACAGAGCGGGGAACATCACACACTGGGGCCTGTCGTGGGGTGGGGGAGGGGGGAGTGATAGCATTAGGAGATATACTTAATGTAAATGACGAGTTAATGGGTGCAGCACACCAACATGGCACATGTATACATGTGTAACAAACCTGCACATTGTGCACCATGTACCCTAGAACTTAAAGTATAAAAAAAAAGACCTACTATTTGATACCACAATAGGGTGAGTATAGTCAATAATGACTTAATTGTACATTTTAAAATAACATAAAAAGAAAAAAATAAAATAATGCAGAGTATAATTTGATTGGTTGTAACTCAAAAGATAAATGCATGAGGGGATGGATACTCTATTCCCCATGATATGCTTATTTCACATTGCATGCCTGTATCAAAACATCTCCTGTACTCCATAAATAAATACACCTACTATGTATCCACAAAAATTTCTTAAAAAAGGATACTTTTGAGCGTTTCAAGCATTACTTCTAGTTATGTTCAGTTGATCAGAATTTAGTCATAGCCACACTTCAGCTTCAAGGAGGGCTGCAGAACGTCTTTATTTTAGGCAGCTATGTGCCCAGTTAAAAAGCAGATTTTCTCCCAAGGTAAAGAGAGCAGATAGGCATTAGGAGACTACTAGTAGTCTTTTAATTTTCCAGGCCGGGCACGGTGGCTCACACCTGTAATCCCAGCACTTTGGGAGGTCGAGGCAGGCGGATCATGAGATCAAGAGATGGAGACCATCCTGGCCAACATGGTGAAACCCCATCTCTACTAAAAAAAATACAAAAATTAGCTGGGCGTGGTGGTGCGTGCCTGTAGTCCAAGCTACTCAGGAGGCTGAGGCAGGAGAATTGGTTGAACCCAGGAGGTGGAGGTTGCAGTGAGCGAAGGTCGTGCCATTGCGCTCCAGCCTGGCAACAGGGCGAGACTCCATCTCAAAAAAAAAAAAAAAAAAGCAGGGATTTGCTCCCAAGGTAAGAGAGCAAATAGACATTGGGAGACTATTAGTAGTCTCTTAATTTCCCAGAATGAGAACCAGATTCTTTCCGGTTACAGAACTCGTTTCTCCAAACATTAATTATTCTTATAATAATTTTAAAAAATACTAAATATATAATTATCACCAGCCAAATGCTTCTTTTAAGAAATAGAGACAGGGGGCCGGGCACGGTGGCTCACGCCTATAATCCCAGCACTTTGGGAGGCCGAGGCAGGTGGATCACCTAAGGTCAGAGTTCGAGACTAGCCTGGCCAACATGGGGAAACCCTGTCTCTACTAAAAATACAAAATTAGCCGGGCATGGTGGTGCATGCCTGTAATTCCAGCTATTCGGGAGGCTGAGGCAGGAGAACCGCTTGAAACAAGGAGGCAGAGGTTGCAGTGAGCCGAGATCGTGCCATTGCACTCCAACCTGGGCAACAAGAGCAAAACTCCATCTCAAAAAAAAAAGAAAAAGAAATAGAGAAGAGACAGGGAAGCCAAGCTCATGCCTGTAATCACAGCACTTCGGGAGGCCAAGGTGGGCAGATCACCTGAGGTCAGGAGTTTGAGACCAGCCTGGCCAACATGGAGAAACCCAGTCTCTACTAAAAATACAAAAATTAGCTGGGCATGGTGGTGCATACCGGTAATCCCAGCTACTCAGGAGGCTCAGACAGGAGAAGTGCTTGAACCCGGGAGGCAGAGGTTGCAGTGAGCCAAGACTGTGCCACTGCACTCCAGCCTGGGTGACAGAGTGAGACTCTGTCTCGAAAAGAAAAAAAAGAAAAAGAGACGGGGCCTCACATATGTACAGTGGTATGATCCGTAGTTCACTATAATCTTGAGCTCCTGAAACCTGATGCTTTAAAACAAAACAGTACAAAACTACTAAATTTATAATTAAATATATAAATAAAATATAATAAAAATGTTCACTTCTGTTTTTATATTCTTTAAAATGACCCATAGGCTGGTGATTAGTAACTAAAGCATATGCTGTGGAACATCCAGCACTGATGTAAGTATATGAAGTTTGAATGCCAGGTCAGTAGATTCAGAAGCTAAGTTACTGTATGGTAAAGACCATGTTTTGCCTGAGCAGCTTTGGATATGGTTTTTTCTTTTTTTTCTTTTTTTGAGATGGAGTCTCGCTCTGTCACCAGGTGGAGTGCAGTGGCGTAATCTCAGCTCACTGCAAGCTCTGCCTCCCAGGTTCAAGTAATTCTGCCTCAGCCTCCCGAGTAGCTGGGGCTACAGGTGCATACCACCACGCCCAGCTAATTTTTGTATTTTTAGTAGAGATGGGGTTTTACCATGTAGGCCAGGATGGTCTCAATCTCCCGACCTCGTGATCCCCCTGCCTTGGCCTCCCAAAGTGGTAGGATTACAGGACTGAGCCACAGCACTTGGCCGGATATAGTTTTTCTATGTGTGTTTTTCCTAAACCTTATTATACATAAACATACAAGGACAGAGATCAAATGCCCCCTGTCTAGAAACACCATTTCTGCCAGGCCCATCTTAATAAGACTATGTCTTCTTTTTATTTGTTTCTATACTTCCTTTTTTTTTTTTTTTTTTCTGAGACAGGGTTTCACTCTTGTTGCCACCACACTCAGCTAATTTTTGTGTTTTTAGTAGAGACAAGGTTTCATCATGTTAGCCAGGCTGGTCTGGAACTCCTGACCTGAAGTGATCCCCCCACCTCGGCATCCCGAAGTGCTGGGATTACAAGCGTGAGCCATCACGCTCAGCCTAGACTTCTTAGTGTGGTGTTTCATTTTCTTTTCTCTGGTTCCCATCCAGCTTTGTTCATTGTACATGCTCACGGTGCACTTTATATGACCTGTTGGCATATTTTCTCACTCTCTTTTTGTCTCTCTTCACTTCCAGCAGTGTTAAATAACTCTTTCCATTCTGCAGTTTTCCTGATAAGAATTTCAGATGGTGGTGGCCAGGTGCGGTGGCTCACGCCTGTAATCCCAGCACTTTGGGAGGCCAAGGCGGCAGATCACTTGAGGTCAGGAGTTTGAGACCAGCCTGGCCAACATGGCGAAACCCCATCTCTACTAAAAATACAAAAGCTAGCCGGGTGTAGTAGCGCATGCTTGTAATCCCAGCTACTAGGGAGGCTGAGTCAGGAGAATTGCTTGAACCCGGGAGGCGGAAGTTGCAGTGAGCCGAGATCACAACACTGCACTCCAGCCTGGGCGACAGAGCGAGACTCCGTCTCCAAAAAAAAAGGCAATGAATAATTGGACAAGGAACCAAAACTTTTATTCTGAAAAGAGAAAATTCCAGTCTATAGCAAGGGCAGTTTTCCTTCTAAGGAACAGTACTGATATATCATGGCTAAAGAAGCAGGCTCAGCTTCTTTGTCCCTTTCACTAATTTGCTATGGCTTCTAACATAGGCTAGGAAAAGAAAAAAATCTGTTTCTCTTTCTCCTCTCCTCTCCTCTCCTCTTCCCTCTCCTCTCCTCTCCTCTCATCTTCCCTCCCCTCCCCTCCCCTCTCCTCCCCTACTCCCCTCTCCTCCCCTCCCCTCTCTTTATCTGTCTATCTGCTAAGGGCAGCAAATCTGTATCCATACAGGTCTGCAGCAACTTCAATTCTTGCCTCCTCAGAAGAAACAATTTGACTGAGGGTCATAAGGCAGAAGGAGAGACCAAGGCAAGTTTTACAACAGGAGAGAGTTTATTTAAAAGCTTTAGAACAGGAATGAAAGGAAGGAAAGTACACTTGGAAGAGGGCCAAGCAGGTGACCTGAAAGACAAGTGCACCAACACATAGCCTTTCAACAGGATAGAGAGCAGTTAAAACTGCCCTGGAAAAGCCAGACTTACAGGCTACTCTGTATAATAGAAACTTCAGGACAGGGTGCGGTGGCTCACACCTGTAATCTCAGCACTTTGGGAGGCCGAGGTGGGCGGATCACGAGGTCAGAAGATCGAGACCATCCTGGCTAATACGGTGAAACCCCGTCTCTACTAAAAATACAAAAAATTAGCCGGGCATGGTGGCGGGTGCCTGTAGTCCCAGCTACTTGGGAGGCTGAGGCAGGAGAATGGTGTGAACCTGGGAAGCGGAGCTTGCAGTGAGCTGAGATCATGCCATTGCACTCCAGCCTGGTCGACAGAGCCAGACTCCGTCTCAAAAAAAAATAAATAAAAAAGAAACTTCAGCATGCTTCCTAATACTGTTCAAAGGTCTCCCTTTTTATGATTTTATTTAAAAAAATTTTTTTTTTTTGAGACAGAGTCTCACTCTGTTGCCCAGGCTGGAACGCAGTGGCGTGATTTCGGCTCACTGCAACCTCCCCTCCCAGGTTCAAGCAATTCTCGTGCCTCAGCCTCCTGAGTAGCTGGGATTACAGGTGCCCACCACCATGTCTGGCTAATTTTTTTGTATTTTTAATAGAGACAGGGTTTCACCATCTTGGCCAGGCTAGTCTTGAACTCCACACCTTGTGATCCACCCACCTTGGCCTCCCAAAGTGCTGGGATTACAGACGTGAGCCACTGCGCCCAGCTCAATTTTTATATTTTTGGTACAGACCAGGTTTCACTATATTGGCCAGGCTGTTCTCAAACTCCTGACCTCAGTTGATTCGCCCACCTCAGCTCCCAAAGTGCTGGGATTACAGGCATGAGCCACTGCGCCCAGCAGGGTCTCCCTTTTTAAACGTATTTTCTTTTTATAGCCTACAAACTACAAGAGATGCCTTTTAATAAACTGGATGGTATGTCTTAACGTCTGATGGAGTTTAAAGGCATCCAAGGGTTACGTCTGTGATAGATTGCCAAGGCATACAGGTCTGATCAGGAGAGTTTCTTGATGACTAGCTATGGGCTATGCCTTTGTAGCACATGATCCCAACTCCAGCAGGGATATAGTTAGTGACATGCTGGCTTTGTCTTCTCCCTAACTCCTGGATTACTACAAATTTCTTCTTCGTGCAGGAATCATTCCCTCACTCTATACATATCTGCTGTTAAAAAAAAAAAAGTTAAGATATTATAGCCATTATATTGTAGCAGCCATGATATTATAGCTCAGTAAATGCTGCTTTCCAAATATTGGCTAATTTAACCATAGCATGTCTTCAATGTTAGAAGCCAGCCCTCATTTTTATCAAGGGCTGAAGTTTGATAATTCTTTGTGTTATTTGCTTGTGAAAATAAGTAGAACAAAAAGGATTAGGGACCTAACCTTGTATCCCATGTATCCCAGTGAACCTTTTCTGACTTAAAGCTTCCTTTCTTTTTTTTTGGAGATGGGAGTCTTGCTCTGTCGCGAGGCTAGAGTGCAGTGGCGCGATCTTGGCTCACTGCAGCCTCCGCCTCCTGGGTTCAAGTGATTCTCCTGCCTCAGCCTCCCAAGTAATTGGGACTACAGGCTCATGCCACCATGCCCAGCTAATTTTTTTTTTAATTTTTAGTAGAGACGGGGCTTCACCATGTTGGCCAGTATGGTCTCGATCTCTTGACCTCGTGATCCATCCACCTTGGCCTCCCAAAAAGCTTCCATTCTTAGTCTTGGTACTTCTAAGTGGCATTGGGTCAATAGCTTTCTGCCTAAGAAGAGAATTGGCTGGGCATGATGGCTAACACCTGTAATTCCAGCCCTTTGGGAGGCTGTGGCAGGAGGATCATTTGAGCCCAGGAGTTCAAGACCAGCCGGGGCATCATAGGAAGACCCCATGTCTGCATAAAATAAAATAAATTAGCCAGACTTGGTGACATGCACGTATTGTCCCAGCTTGTCAGGAAGCTGAGGTGGGATGATTGCTTGAGCTCAGGAGATCAAGGCTACAATGAGCTATGATCATACAACACCAGTGCACTCTAGCCTGAGTGACAGAGCAAGACCCTGTCTCAAAAAAAGCAGGGGGGCATAGTCACCTCCCTAAAATATTAGTTGAACAGTATGTATTCAGAAGTCCAGAGGCTCTGTATTTTATTAATATTTTCAAGGCACTATTTCTGCAGAAATCAAGTCAGCAAGACTCTTTGAGGACGTTACAGGCAGAGGGGCTAAAGATACCTTTGAGGAAGCTCAAGTACTTGGGTGGGAGGTGATAGATAAAGGGTCAGTAGAAATAATGTCTCTTTTTATTTTTTTTCCCATTAAAAAATTTTGTTTTAATAGCAATGGAGATGGGGTCTCACTGTGTTCCCTGAGCTGGTCTGGTCTCGAGCTCCTGGGTTCAAGCAGTTCTCCCACCTTGACCTTCTAAAGTGTAGGGATTATAGACATGAGCCACCATGCGTGGCAAATTTCTTTTCTTTCCTTTTTTTTTTTTTTTTTTTGAGACAGAGTTTTGCTCTTGTTGCCCAGGCTGGAGTGTGGTGGCACGATCTTGGTTCACTGCACCCTCCACCTCCCAGGTTCAGGTGATTCTCTTGCCTCAGCCTCCTGAGTAGCTGGGATTACAGGCGCCCGCCACCATGCCCGGGTAATTTTTGTATTTTTAGTAGAGATGGGATTTCACCATGTTGGCCAGGCTGGTCTTGAACTCCTGACCTCAGGTGATCCACCCGCCTCAGCCTCCCAAAGTGCTGGGATTACAGGTGTGAGCCACCGCTGCCGGTTCCAATGTCTCTTTTGGATGGTGGATCCTGAAGAATAGCTGCTGGTTCTTTGGGGATGCCTGGGGAATACTGTGCAGGCTTTGTGATGGGCTCAGCAGTGAGGCCTGTACAGTATCTTAGGTCTTGTGGGCCTCAGTCTGCTCTCTTGGCTGTTCTCTACCACCTCCTGCCATTAAGTTTTTAAGAAAAAGGAATAGTTTTATTATATTCTTTGGTAAACAAAGCAAATTAAGAAGCTTTATATTTTCCACATTTATTTACCAAACTCCCTATTTGTTTTTCTCTATAGTGATTCAGTTTAGAGACCTATTCAATGAAGCATGCCTTGATGTTGAATTTAGAGTCTACTTTTTCCAGAAGAAAAGAGCCAGGGAGCTCCAATAGTAGTCATCTCAGAATATAAAAGTGTTATAGAAATGATGTAAATCAGGCCGGGTACAGGGGCTCACGCCTGTAATCCCAGCACTTTGGGAGGCCGAGGCGGGCGGATCATGAGGTCCGGAGATCGAGAACATCCTGGCTAACAGGGTGAAACCCCGTCTCTACTAAAAATACAAAAAAAATCAGCCAGGTGTGGTGGCCGGCACCTGTAGTCCCAACTACTCAGGAGGCTGAGACAGGAGAATGGCGTGAACCCAGGAGGAAGAGCTTGCAGTGAGCCGAGATCGCGCCACTGCACTCCAGCCTAGGCAACAGAGCAAGACTCCGTCCCCAAAAAAAGAAGAAAAAGAAGAAAAGAAATGATGTAAATCAGCTGCCCTTCACTCTGTGTTGAGGTGGGGGATGTCCCTAATTGCAGTAGGAGAGAGCCTCTCTTTTATCTGGGACTAAAAGCCCTTGCCCTACATACCTCATAATTATTTTAGGGTTAACTGATTCAATTGTCAGAAAAGAACAAGCTGTATCTTGTTTCTGTACATATTCTACTTTGTGAGTATTTTTATTTCATTGCTATGTGATTGGAATCAACTCAGGAAAGAGGAAAAAAATAAGATAGAGGTTATAGAATTCTGAATTCTGAAGGGAATTCTGAGAATTATCAGTAAAATATGTCAAAATGTGATATTTTACTTCCACCAAGAATTAGGCCATATCTTTGTGTGAAAATAAATTATTATTATTTATTTATTTATTTTGAGATGGAGTCTCGCTCTTTTCACCCAGGCTGGAGTGCAATCACACAATCTCGGCTCGCTGCAACCTCCACCTCCCAGGTTCAAGCGATGCTCCTGCCTCAGCCTCCCGAGTAGCTGGGATTAGAAGCGCCCATTACCACACCCAGCTAATTTTGTACTTGTAGTAGAGACAGGGTTTCACCATGTTGGCCAGGCTGGTCTCGAACTCCTGACCTCAGGTGATCCACCCCCCCCCCCCCCACCCTTGGTCTCCCAAAGTGCTGGGATTACAGGCATGGGCCACCGCACCCAGCATACGGAAATAAATTATTAACCAGAGAAATTTTGACTAAGGTTTTTATAAATGTTAGGTGAACCATTGCTCTAAAAGATACAAAATTATAACAAGCTGAAAAGTTTTTTAAAAATCTGCATTTTAGTGGTTCAGTTTTTCAGTTGTTCTGAGTGCTAATAGTTGGAGTTTATAAATTGTAAGAAGCAATCTACGGAGATTCTGTGATGAAGGAATTTGTTGAATGCCCTGTCTGCCTCACAGTCTCAGTCTTTATGATAGAGTCTTGTCTTCTCACAAGGAGAGAAAAGATTTGAGGCTCTTTTGATTACTTACTTACTTGCTTATTTATATATTTTGCCTCTTTGTTTTTGCCGCAAATACAAATGTAATGGAACCTTAGAATAGGAGAGACGTGTGGATCCCCTGGTAGGCACTGTTCTTTCTATGTTCCTGGAGCCAAGTTCATGGAATTACCTCCAAGACTACGGATCCCTGGTTTTCTTTCATCATGATAGGAGGCATTTTCTAGAACCTGAATCTTACTTTAAAATGCATGTAAGACCTGCAAGGAGTGGTAGTGAAGTGGGTGGAATATATTCTTAGCACCAGACACCTTTAAAATATTTAAGTTCTCGGCCGGGTGCCCTGGCTCACGCCTGTAATCCCAACACTTTGGGAGGCCGAGGTGGGCAGCTCACGAGGTCAGGAGACCGAGACCATCCTGGCTAACACGGTGAAACCCCATCTCTACTAAAAATACAAAAAATTAGCCAGGCGTGGTGATGGGTGCCTGTAGTCCCAGCTACTCGGGAGGCTGAGGCAGGAAAATTGCATGAACCCGGGAGGCAGAGCTTGCAGTGAGCTGAGATCGCACCACTGCACTCCAGCCTGGGTGACAGAGCAAGGCTCCTTCTCAAAAAAAAAAAAAAAAAAAAAAAAAAATATATATATATATATATATATACACACACACACACACACACACACGTGTGTATATATATACACACACACATGCATATATATATACACACACATGTATATCTATAGATATATACATATATATGTGTATATTTACATTTTCTTATGTCAGGGTCTGGCTTGGAGTGTATTGTGTTCCCAGAGCAGAATTCTTTTTTTTTTTTTTGAGATTGGGTCTTACTTTGTCACCCAGGCTGGAATGCAATGGCGTGAGCTTGGCTCACTGCAGCCTCGACCTCACAGGTTCAAGCAACCCTCCCACCTCAGCCCCTGGAGTAGTTAGGATAACAGGCGCACACTACCATTTTGTATTTTTTGTAGAGGCGGGGTTTTATCACATTGCCCAGGCTGGTCTCGAACTCCTGAGCTCAAGCAATCCACCTGCCTTGACCTCCCCAAATGCTGGGGTTACAGGCGTGAGCCACTGTGCCCAGCCGCAGAGTTCATCTTGAGACCCTGACTTCTGCCAGCTCTGATCCTAGTGGGTGGGGCTCTGGGGCTCAGTGAAACAGTCAGCCGTTTTGCTTCAGAGAACACAAATAAGATTTTGGCTTGATGCTGGTTGTTGCTGGCGTCATATAGTCTAAAACGTTTGCTGTCAAGAACATTTTAGTAAAAGTTTTTGTTGTGCTTTCATCTAGTCAAGAAAAGATAGGAAGTGGCAGCTGACAGGGCAGTGTCTTCATGCCCCTCAACCTTACATTGGACACTGAAGTAGGATTGTGTTTTCACTGGAAGTCCCAGTGGGGCCTTATCTCCTGGATGCTCAAAGTGCAGCTCAGATCCTGTTGGGTAAAAAGTCTAGTCAAAATGGAGGACATGGAGAAGGCCAACAGGCAGAGCTATAGAGCTGACATAGGGCATTCTTTGTACTTCCCTTAGCCACTGTACTTTCTTTCTTCCTCCATCTCCTCCTTCCCTCTTCTATCTCATTTTGGTTTGGCCTTTGGGAATAGTGGGTTTTAAAAAATATTTGAACTATAACATATCCTTGTACCATAAAGAATGAGCCTGACTGCTTTACAAAGGATTTCTATAAAAAGTAATCTTTTATACTAAGAGAAATGACACATCTGTTTTAAACCTGTTACTTTTCTTCCCCGGGCTTTGCTCTTTCTGCAGGTCCGTTTGACATGGTTCTTGAAACTCCTGGTAGCAGCCATTTACTAGTAGCACTCTTTATCTTAGACACAGCACCTAAAGCAATTGTAGGTGTTTTAAGAACAGAAAGCCCATCTTAAGCAGACCAGTTTGAGGGATTGGCAGTGCTGTCAAGAAACAAGGGCTTTGTGGCAGTCTCTCTAAAAACTCCCTATGAGTCCATTTCTTGCAAACTTCTTTAGACTCTACTGTATCTTTTCATCAGAAGCTACCTCTTTGATGTGGGAAGTGTCATGAATGGACTGACTCTCTGGAATTTAAAAACAAAGACAATATGGCAAAAAGAAAACCTGACTTTTAGTACTGTATGTGTTGCTAATTAGCTCTGTATTCTTGGGCAGACTACTCCATGTATCCCAGCCATCCATATGCCCTATTTGTAAGGATCTAATGAGATGATATTGTGAAGAATGCCTTTGTAAACTGTAAATTGCTTTGTGAATAAAGATACTATCTCTGATAAACAGTACCAGTTCTCAGCCACCAATAACCTGATACTCCCATACTGTGTTTGGAAGAAACACAAAACAATGAAGAGTAATTGTGACTTTTCAATGTGAGTTGTATTCACAAAGCTCATATACTTTTTCCCTGCCTTTTGATACTGTTTATCGCTTTCTGTGTTGTAATGGGAAGATCACACAGCAATCATTTTCTCAGTACAAAGTATAACTACAACTGAGCTTGCATTGAAGATCTTTAACAAAGATGCAAAGCTGCTGTCCAGAAATGTTTTCTTTCCATTTTCTCTTGTACCTCCCAGTATTTTAAGAATCCTTGAGGCTGGGCACCATAACTCACGCCTGTAATCTCAACACTTTGGGAAGCTGAGGCAGGAGGATCACTTGGGCCCAGGAGTTTGAGACCAGCCTGGGCAACATAGTGAGACCCCCATCTCTACAAAAAAATTTAAAAATTAGCTGGGCATGGTGGTGTGCACCTGTGGTCTCAGCTACTTAGGGAGGCTGAGGTAGGAGGATTGCTTGAGCCTGGGAGGTCAAGGCTGCAGTCAGTCATGATTGCACCACTGTGCTCTATCTAGCCTCCAACCTGGGCAACAGAAGCGAGACCCTGTCTTTTTTTTAAAAAAAAAAGACTATCCTTGATGATTGGTTTTGAGCCAACGGAATGGGAGCATATGGTAGAGTTTCAACACTCTGACCCTAGTCCTTCTGACAGGCAGTCACAAAATGAGATCATGAAGTCTCTAAGAGCAGCTGATGAAAAAGGAAATGGGAATGTAGATGTTCAATCAGCAGCCCTCCAGACCCAGAGTTTGCTCCTCTGTGGTGTCTCTAGGTGGAGAATAAGGACTTGATTTGCCATTCTGGAGTGCAAATATCTAGCTTTTTGCAGCTTCATATTAAGATTTCTTGAAATGTACTTAGTAATATCCATGTGTGACTTTGCCAAGTGATGGCTTTGGGCTGGAAAGGATTTTAGCAGGTTTTAGTCTAATTTAAGCCTAATCTAACACTGCTGAGAAAGGAGGAGATGTCTTTGGTTTTACTTTCTAATATATGGTACCTCTTAGCCGGGTGCAGTGGCTCATGCCTGTAATCCCAGCACTTCGGGAGGCCGAGGCAGGCGATCACTTTAGGCCAGGAGTTCAAGACCAGCCTGGCCAACATGGTGAAACCCCATCTCTACTAAAAATACAAAAATTATCCCGGTGTAGTGGCGCACACCTGTAATCCCAGCTACTTGGGAGGCAGAAACAGGAGAATCGCTTGAACCTGGGAGGCAGAGGTTGCAGTGTGCCAAGATCATGCCACTGCATGCCACTCCAGCCTGGGCAACAGAGCAAGACCCTGTCTCAAAAAAAAAAAAGAGAGATCTATCTCTCTTCTTTTTATATACATATACATATACATACATACATACATATATGTATGTACACACATATATATATATGGCCCCTCTTTTTTTATTTGAGTCGGAATCTGGCTCTCTTGCCAGGCTAGAGTGCAGTGGCATGATCTTGGCTCACTGCAACCTCTGACTTCCTGGTTCAAACGGTTCTCCTGCCTCAGCCTCCCGAGTAGCTGGGATTACAAGCATGTGCCACCACACCCAGCTCACTTTTGTATTTTTAGTAGAGACGGGATTTCACCATGTTGGCAGGGATGGTCTTGATCTCCTGACCTTGTGATCCTCCCACCTCAGCCTCCCAAAGTGCTGGGATTACAGGCATGGGCCACCGTGCCCAGCCTTTTTTTTTTTTTTTTTAAAGAGACGGAGTCTCACTCTGTCACCCAGGCTGGAGTGCAGTGGCGTGATCTTGGCTCAGTGCAACCTCCACCTCCCGGGTTCTAGCAATTCTGCCTCAGTCTTCCGACTGGCTGGGACTGCAGGTGTATATCACCGCAACCAGCTAATTTTTTGTATTTTAGTAGAGACAGGGTTTCACTGTGTTGCCCAGGCTGGTCTCGAACTGAGCTCAGGCAGTCCACCCGCCTCGGCCTCCCAAAGTGCTAGGATTACAGGCGTGAGCCACCGTGCCTGGCCTATATGGTACCTCTTTAGGAGCCAGACCTGGTTAATCAGACACATGGCTTTCATGACTCCTTTGCTTGAGTAGCTTAATAACTCAATAAATCAAAAGATGAATAAATATTCTAATGTGTGAAGATACTCTAATAGATAATAGGCAATTAAGAATGGACATCCACGGCTGGGCGCTGGGGCTCATGCCTGTAATCCCAGCACTTTGGGAGGCTGAGGCGGGTGGATCATGAGGTCAGGAGGTAGAGCCCATCCTGGCCAACATGGTGAAACCCCATCTCTGCTAAAATACAAGCTACTCGAGAGGCCGAGGCAGGAGAATTGCTCGAACTTGGGAGGCGGAGGTTGCAGTGAGCCAAAATCGCATCACTGCACTCCAGCCTGGCGACAGAGCGAGACTCCGTCTCAAAAAAAAAAAAAAAGAATGGACATCTACTGAAGGTGATTGCATCATCCTACCCATTCATTAATCTAACTCCCTACAGGATACTTTCCTAGGAGACACTGACAGGTCTGTTTTCTGAAATCCAGAGAAAGGCAGCAATGGGGAGGGGTGCAGTGTATGTATGTCATACCTGTGCTTGGTATATCTGAGTTGCCTGTGTATGATAGCAGCTGGGGAATCAAATCATAGATAAATTGTTCTCATACAGGTTTGTCCTATGACTACCTATTCTTATTAAACAATTGGCTATATTGACCCTTTTTGGTTTTGGAAAAATAATAATAATTTTTTTAAGAGAGAAAAAGAAACAATTGGCTACCCTTCAACAGTGATGTTAAAACCATTTCACATTCTTTAGCAGTGGTCACTGTCCTATGTCTAACTATGTGCAGGTTGAGAAAAAGGACTGCCCGAGTTATAGATGATTCTGTGAGAATAAGAAATCATTGCTTTTGTAACACATGAGGTAAAAGTAATCTCAAAGTTGACATGCTGATGGGGACTCCTGGCAAGGGGAGTTCCCTGCCCTCAACAAAAGGTCATCCACAGCTACTGGAACATTTTTGTTGTCTGAGAAGTATAAAGTGCCTTAGAAATACCTGAATCCATTAATGCCTCCAGTTGGTGAAATCAGAATTTGCAGGTGACTGAAATTGACAGTAGTGCCTTGTTCTTACTCACTGTTCAAATGACAACCCACATGTTTTATGGATTGGGTATACAGATGTATGCTCTAACAGCAGTATCTCCCTCCAGAGCCACTGTGTACCAAGCACCAGGTCCTCCAGGGATAGTTGGCTCTATTCAGTCTTTGATTCATTCAACAAGAGCTTACTAAGCTCCTTTTTGGTACCAGATACTCTTTGTTGCTGAAAATAAATAAAAGGCCAGCAAGATTAAGTAGACTGTGAGATCTGGACCAGTAATTTGACAACACAAAGTACTGTCGTAAAGATACAGTTTCTGATGTGTAGTGACCATTCCGTATGAAAGCTTAGTCTTTCAGGAGATTAAAATGGGTGGTGGAATATTCCTACCTAGCAAGCAAGCAAGGTGAAATGAGTGGCTGTTTGACTCCCACCTGCTGATGCTGGTCTTTTTTGGTTCCTAGGGCTTATAATGATCAACATTTCTTGAGCCCTCACTATATTCTATGCTAAGCTCTTTACATGTATGAATTTACTTAATCTTCACAACCACCCTAAGAAATAGGTACTGTTGTCCTTACTTTACAGATGAGGAAATGGAAGCACAAAGAAGTTAAGGACCTTGCTGAAGGTCATGGAGTAGAGGCAGGATTCAAATTTAGGGAACTCAGCCTACAGTCCATGCTCTTAAAGATGTTATATCCTGTCTCTGGGCTTAGAAGGGGTTCATCTTAGGCCGGACACAGTGGCTCACGTCTGTAATCCCAGCACTTTGGGAGGCCAAAGCGGGCAGATCACGAGGTCAGGAGTTCGAGACCAGCCTGACCAACATAGTGAAACCCCATCTCTACTAAAAATACAAAAATTAGCCAGGCATGGTGGTGTGCGCCTGTAGTCCCAGCTACTCGGGAGGCTGAGGCAGGAGAATTGCTTGAACCTGGGAGGCGGAGGTTGTGGTGAGCCGAGATCGTGCCACTGTACTTGAGAGTGAGTGACAGAGCAAGACTCTGTCTCAAAAAAAAAAAAAAGACGGCCAGGCGCAGTGGCTTACGCCTGTAATCCCAGCACTTTGGGAGGCCGAGGTGGGCGGATTACCTAAGGTTGGGAATTCGAGACCAGCCTGACCAACGTGGAGAAACCCCGTCTCTACTAAAAATACAAAATTAGCCAAGCGTGGTGGCATATATCTATAATCCCAGCTACTCGGGAGGCTGAGGCAGGAGACTCGCTTGAACCTGGGAGGCGGAGGTTGCAGTGAGCCGAGATCACGCCATAGCACTCCAGCCTGGGCAACAAGAGCGAAACTCTGTCTCAGGGAAAAAAAAAAAAAAAAAAGGAGGGGGCGCTTCATCTTGACTAACTTCCTGCATTGGTGGAGCTTGATAGAGTGGTCCTTCCCAGATCCTTCCCTGCATACAGAGCCTGTCTCTTTTCTGATTGGTCCCTAAGGCCAGATTACCTGTCCCTAATACTGAGCAGAAGCTGGTGAATGAAACAGGAGATCCCTCAGTCAAAACAAAAGGAAAAAGAAAAATGAAACAGGAGATCCCTTCTCTACAGCCCAGATGTAAGTCCAGCTGTGCCCTTCACCACCTGGGTGACCCCACCTCTGTGAACATAGGTCCTCATCTGTAAAGTGTAGATAATGTTATTTCATCGGATCATTTAGGGGATTAAATAAGATAATGTACTTCGTGGTTTCTGGCTCTTAGTAAGTGCTTAATAAATGTTAGCGATTTTTATTATCATTGTCCTTAGCCTTGAGAACAAGCCAGGGAATAGTGTCTCAGACCAGATGCTAAGACCTAGGTAGATGGGCAATTTTCCTTGGTTTTGACAAGACAATAATTTTATCCTGTGTATTTCTCTTGACTTTTTTGATGTGAAAAGCAGAGAGGTAAAGCATTATTTGACAGATGTATGGATTCAAGCAAGAAACTGAGGTCCAATTGCAAAGAAATGGCTTGTATAACTCAGAGCCCTGTCTGAGGAAACACAGAGGACCCTAGAGGGCGGAGAATGAACACAGCGCAGGGGCTAGTTCCAGAGTCGCATTCTCGGTTAGTTCACTTTCAAGTGTGGGTGAGGGTCCCTTGTCAGTAGGCAGAGAATTTTTTTCCCCTGCACCAACACATACCTGCTGCCTAGTGTTTATTAAACAAAACTTTATTTTAATGTGAAATAGAATTCATGACTTGTCCAAAATGGAGAGGCAAGGGAGCTCTTTAACAGGCTTGTTGAGCCCCTTTTCCCACCTGTTCCTGTGCCAGACTTTCCCAAAGGCTTACTTGCCAATGGTTGCTCCTCAGATCTCAGGGCTAGCTCACTCTATAGGCTCCAAGCCAGAGTGATACCGCCGCCGCCGCTGTTGCTCCCACCAGCCAATCAGTTTCCTGCTGTAAGGATGTAACTTGCTGTGAAGCTTTCACCTTCCTCCTTTCTTCCTGTCTTCAATGTTGTATGTCTTTGTCCTGGTGCTTTTGCCATACAGCCAGTGTTTCAAAGAAAATTTTCAGGCACTAAAGTTATAGCCCTTACTACCTTTCCAAGGAGATGTGAGATAGCTGTGGAAAAGAAGAGGGCTCCTCTGCCTCTGTGCAGAAGGAACAGTTTACTTCTTGATAGTGTGCTAGCTCCTGAGCTAGGTGGGGGACTTGCTGGGATTCAAGAGAGTGCATTACCTGACCTCTGGACAAGTAGACTGGGCATAGCCTGCCCAAGGACAGCACCCTAACCTGCAGGAACCAAGGCCGAAGACTGATTTCACCTTCTCGTACTCCCCTTTCCTAAGCTAAAGCTTGCTCTGTAACACTGCCCCAGGTCTGTGGCTTAAAACAGCCATTTCCTTTCACCAGTGAATTAAGCTCACTCTTTATAAAATGTTTCAGCTTGGGGATTGGAAAGGCTCTCTGTGCCTTTCTGTCTCTGTCTGTTTCTCCAAGGGTTGATGTTGATGGCTTCTGTCTTTGTCTTTACAGGGAACTCTAATGATCCAGGACAAAGAAGTTACCCTGGAGTATGTATCAAGCCTGGATTTTTGGTACTGCAAACGAGTAAGTACCAAGAATCCCTTTCTTTAGAAGTAAGTATCTGGAATAACAGCTCCTCCATATCTCTAGGAAGGCTGCCTGCTAACATGCATTCCCAAGGACAAAGCTCTTCTTCCTCAGGTCACTTCAGTTGAACAGGAGGAGGTCAAGACAAGGTCATTCATAATTTCTCCTTCCCAGCTGCTACATGTGGCCATAGAGAGTTCTGGACCTGCAATTGGAGACACTTTCCCAAGGACATGTGCCATTATTTCTATCAGTTATAAAAATAACAGTTCCTTGACATATAATATCTTCTCACCTCTCCTGGGGGTGGTCATAAAGGAATTCTTGGTTGGAAAAGTAGGTTTGGAGAGACTAGTTCTTTGGGAGTCGTACATTTTTTGGATATTCTTGGGTTTCCAAGGGTATAGAACTTCAGACACCATGGCATTTTACCTCTATTAAACTCCATATTCTCTTAGAGTGGGATATTTAAAATTTTAGGCTATACTCTTTTTTTTTGAAACGGAATCTCATTCTGTTGCCCAGGCTAGAGTGCAATGGCGTGATTTCCACTCACTACAACCTCTGGCTCCTGGGTTCCAGTGATTCTGCTGCCTCAGCCTCCCGAGTAGCTGGGATTACAGGCACTTGCCACCTCACCTGCCTGATTTTTGTATTTTTAGTAGAGATGGGGTTTCACCATGTTGGCCAGGCTGGTCTTGAACTCCGACCTCAAGTGATCCACCTGCCTCAGCCTCCCAAAGTGCTGGGATTATAGGCATGAGCCACCGCGCTGGCCTGTTTATTTATTTATTTATTTATTTTGAGACAGAGTCTTGCTCTGTCGCCCAGGCTGGAGTGCAGTGGCGCGATCTCAGCTCACTACAACCTCTGCCACCCGGGTTCAAACGATTCTCCTGCCCCAGCCTCCCGAGTAGCTAGGATTACAGTTGTGTGCCACCATGCTCAGCTAATTTTTTTGTAGTTTTTAGTAGAGATGGGGTTTCACCATCTTGGCCAGGCTGGTCTTGAACTCCTGACCTCATTATCCACCCACCTCGGCCTCCCAAAGTATTGAGATTACAGGCTTGAGCCACGGCACCCAGCCGGCTATACTCTTTAAAGGTCCAGTTTGATTGCAGTGAGCATGAAAATATAATTTGTTTTCATTGCTACTACTTAGTATCAAAAATAATTATGAAAAATATATAAAGTTTCTGAGCCCCGACACACTAAAAATGTTACAGTACTTGAAAAAATTTAGTAAAGACTTTAGCTTGACATTTGTTAGTCTCGGTAGAATTGACATTGTGTTAGTCTCGGTAGAATACAACTTGAAGAGCTATGATTGTTATTAGCCAAAGTACTCATATTTCATGGATATACTCCCTTATGGTGTCATTTTAGGAAGATATTTCGTTTCCTTTTATTGAGATAAAATACATGTAACATTACATTTGCCATTTTAACCATTTTGAAGCATTAATTCAGTGACATTAAGTACCTTCACAATGTTGTGCAGCTATCAACACTACTTCCTAGAACTTCTTTTTTTTTTTTTTTTAAATAAGAGATGGGATCTCACTATGTTGCCCAGGCTGGTCTCACAGTCCCTGGCTCAAGTCATCCTCTCACCTCAACCTCCCAAATAGCTGGGACTATAGGTGCCATCATGTCCAGGTTAGTTCCAGAAATTTTTTTTTTCTGTCTTTTTTTTGAGACAGGATCTCACTCTTGTTTCTCAAGCTGGAGTACAGTGATGTGATCATGGCTCACTGTACCCTTGACCTCCTGTGCTCAAGCGATCCTCTCACCTTGGCCTCCCGAAGTTCTGGGATTACAGGTGTGAGCTGCCATATCTAGCCTCAGATCTTTTTTAAACCCTCAAAAGGAAACCTCTTATCATTAATCAGTAACTTCCCACTTCTTCTTCCCCCAGTCCCCAGAAACCATTAATCTTTTTTCTATCTCCATGGATTTGCCTATTCCGGATATTTCATATAAATGGAATCAAAATATGTAAACTTTTCTGTTGGCCTTTCACCTAGCATGTTTTCAGAGTTCATGTATGTTGCAGTATTTATCAGTACCTCATTTCTTTTTGTGGCTAAATAATATGAATATATCACATTTTGTTCATCCATTCCTCAATTGATGGACATTTGGGTTGTTTCTACCCTGACTTTGGTGAATAATAGAACCTTTGTGTGCTAGTTTTTGTTTGAACAGCTGTTTTCAGTTATTTGGGGGTATGTATCCAGGAGTGGAATTGCTGAGTCATATGGTAATTTTATATTTAACTCTTTGAGGAACCATCAAACTGTATTTCTTTTATTTTATTAGCAAACCTTTTCATAGACCACAGCTGTACCATTTTATATTCCAGCAATATGTAAGGGCTTCATTTCTCCACCTGCTTGCCAACATTTGTTCTTTTCCCTTTATTTGATAATAGCCATCCTAATGGGTATGAAATAATATCTCATTGTGGTTTTGATTTGCATTTTCCTAATGACTTTGAGGGTTTTTTTTCATGTGTTTGTTGGCCATTTGTATACCTCCTTTGGAGAAATGTTCAACCAAGTCCTCTGCCCTTTGGAATTGATTTGCATGTATTTTTGTTGTTGAGTTATAAGAGTACTTTATATTTTCTGGATATTAATCCCTTATCAGATATATGATTTATAAATATTTTCTATGTGTTATCTTTCACTTTCTTGAGAGTATCCTTTCTAAAGAAAAAAAAAGAGAGAGAGAGAGATAAGGTGTGGCTCATGGCTGTAATCCCAACACTTTGGGAGGCTAAAGTGGGCAGATCACTTGAGCCCAGGAGTTCGAGACCAGCCTGGGCAACATGGCAAAACCCCATCTCTACAAAAAATACAAAATTTAACTGGGTGTGGTGGTGCATGCCTATGATCGCGGCTACTAAGCAGGCTGAGGTGGGAGGATCACCTGAGCCCAGGAGGTCGAGGCATCAGTGAGCTATGATAGTGCCACTGTACTTCAGTACTCCATCCTGGGTGACAGAGCAAGACCTTGTCTCAAAATTTTTTTTAGCTGGGTGTGGTGGCTCACGCCTATAATCCCAGCACTTTGGGAGGCCGAGGCAGGCGGATCATCTGAGGTCGGGAGTTGGAGATCAGCCTGACCAACATGGAGAAACCCCATCTCTATTAAAAATACAAAGTTAGCTGGGCATGGTGGCACATGCCTGTAATCCCAGCTACTTGGGAGGCCGAGGCAGGAGAATCACTTGAACCTGGGAGGCAGAGGTTGCGGTGAGCTGAAATTGCACTATTGCACTCCAGCCTGGACATCAAGAGTGAAACTCCATCTCAAAAACAAAAAAGAAAAATTTTAAGTTTATTATGTACCTATTAAAATTTTTTTGTAATTAAAACAAATGCTAATGGCGGTATTATTCATAATAGCCAAAAAATGGAAATAACCAAAATGTCCATTGGCTGATGGATGGATGAACAAGTTGGCATATCCATACAATGAAATGCTATTTGACAATGAAAAGGAATGAAGTACTGATGCATGTTACAACCTAGATGAACCTTGAAAATACTATGCCAGACACAGAAGACCATACATTGCACAATTCCATGTCCCTAGGGGTAAGAATGGGGGAGGTAACTCCACTAGATTTCTTTTGGGGTGATGAAAATGTTTCAGAATTAGATTATGGTGATGGTTGCACTATACATTTACTAAAAATCATTGAATTGTACACATAAAATAGGTAAACTTTATGGGGTTTGTTTTTGTTTTTAAGAGAGAGTCTTGGTTTGTCACCCAGGCTGGATTGCAGTGGCACAATCTCGGCTCACGACAACCTCCACCTCCCAGGTTCAAGTGATTCTCGTGCCTCAGCCTCCCAAGTAGCTGGGATTACAGGCGTGTGCCACCATCCCCAGCTAATTTTTGTATTTTTAATAGAGATGAGGTTTCTCCATGTTGGCTAGGCTGGTCTTGAACTCCTGGCCCGAAATGATCCAACTTCCTCGGCCTCCCAAAGTACTGGGATTACTGGCATGAGCCATCATGCCAGGCCTGTTTTATGCTATTTAAATTATACCTACTAAGGTTAGGATCCTAACTGCCACTCACTAACTGAAGTGTCACATACTTTATTCGTTGGCATGTATATACTCAGTTGTCCCAGCACCATTTGTTGAAGAGACTATTCTTTCCCCATTGGCACTTTCCCCATTGTTAGAAATCAGTTGACCATAATCTATAGGTTTATTCCTAGATTCTCAGTTTTATTCTGTTGATCTATATGTTTACAAATAGCACCAGTTACCACAGCAGCTCTCCTGTAGTAACAACTCTCCAATCCCAGTAGCTTAAAACAGCAAGCATATTCTTCACTCACATTACATGTCAGGGACTATGGGTTGTTTGCTACAGTTCTGTTCCACGTGGCTTCTCATCCCAGGACCCAGGCGGAAGAAACAGTCTCAATATGGGGCAGTGTCCCTCTGGCTAAGGGAGAGAGAGGTTCATTCACGCAAGCAGTGGCTCCTAAGGCTTCTCTTAGACCTAGTGTAGGTCATGTTCACTCATGTTTTATTGGTGAAAGCAAGGAAGGCACATGGCCAAGGCTGACAATGGAGAGAGGAAGTATACTCACCCTGTGGGAAGGCATAACAGCCATTTGGCAGTGGGCAGGGGTGTGTGTGTGTGTGTGTGTGTGTGTGTGTGTGTGTGTGTGTGTGTGTGTTTATAATCTGTTTATAGGGAAGGGAACAATGAAATAACTGACTGTAGTGATCTTCCTCAAGTGAGTTAACCTCTCTAGGCCTCAGTTTCCTCATCTACAAAATGAGGAGATAAGAGTACCCATTTCATGAAGTTTATTGGGGTTGTCAGGATCAATAAGTGATGACATATACAGTAGGCCAAATACATGGTATGTACTATTTAAGAATTAGCCGGCTGGGCGCAGTGACTCACACCTATAATCCCAGCAATTTGGGAGGCCGAGGCGGGCAGATCACCTGAGGTCGGGAGTTCGAGACCAGCCTGACCAACATGGAGAAACCCTGCCTCTACTAAAAATACAAAATTAGCCAGGTGTAGTGGCACATGCCTGTAATCCCGGCTACTCGGGAGGCTGAGGCAGGAGAATCGCTTGAACCCGGGAGGTGGAGGTTGTGGTAAGCCGAGATCATGCCGTTGCACTCCAGCCTGGGCAACAAGAGTGAAACTCCGTCTCAAAAGAAAAAAAAAAAAAGAATTAGCCACTGCTACTATTGTTATTGTTTTCTCCTCAACTCCATCTGGCAGACCTTTACTCGCCCTATAAGGCCCTCCTCAAATACCATCCTCTTTATAGTTCTTACTCTTTTATTTCCTGCCAACCAAGTTTCTGCCCCCATGGCATTTGGAAGCTCAGTGGCAAAAGTTCAGGGATTTCGGGGTTGGGCAGTGTGCTTGACTTTTTGTTCACATGTTCAGACAAAAATAATTACATTCACATTAAAAATGTCTCTTACCTTATTCTGGGCTAGTGAATGTTCCCTTTCAATGTCTTTTAGATAGCTGCCAGAGACACTATCTGTATCTCTTCCTCCTACCTTGTACCTCATTATCAGTGTTTGAGAAAGGAGTTGATAACTGAATTCTCAGTTCTAGCCAAATGTGAATGGGGATCTCATAGTCAGTTCAGGCCCAAGTTTTGGGTGCAGACTGTAAATGGCTTTGGGACAATAATATTCTATAAACCATGTAACAGTAGTTTTCTAGGCATATTTCCTATAGGAATCTTTATCCAGGGCAAAGGCATTTGGGCTGCACCAAAGTCCCAGATGCCTTGTTATAAGGTAGCTCTCAAACAGTAGCTCATCAGATCCCATCTGCCAGCTCTAATCAGTGGGGAATATCAGATTCTTTTTTTAAGCTTTGAGGGGATCTGGGATATGGCTTGTTTCTTTCATTTTTGGGGGGTTTCACTTTGTTAGATATACATAAGATTTTTAAAAATGTTTTCAGTCAAATTGATTTCCTTCTTCCTTACAGTGTAAGGCAAACATTGGTGGGCACCGATCTTCCTGTTCATTCTGCAAGAACCCAAGAGAAGGTGAGTGGCGAAAGTGGTAGCAGTTTTTATCTCGTGCATTGAGCAAAACAAATTTCATGTTTTCCTTGGCTTTGAAGAATTATCATCCCTAAATCCAAGTTGATCTACAAACCTTTTTTTTTTTTTTTGAGATGGAGTCTCGCTGTGTTGCCCAGGCTGGAGTGCAGTGGCACCATCTTGGCTCACTGCAACCTCCAGCTCCCAGGTTCAAGCGATTCCCCTGCCCTAGCCTCCTGATTAGCTGGGATTCCAGGCATGTGCCACCACGCCCTGTAGCCCGGCTAATTTTTTTGTATTTTTAGTAGAGACGGGGTTTCACCATGTTGGTCAGGCTGGCCTTGAACTCCTGACCTTGTGACCCGACCCACCTTGGCCTCCCATAGTGCTGGGATTACAGGTGTGAATCACTGCACAAGGCCTGCAAACCTTTATTTATTTATTTATTTTTGAGACAGAGTCTCGTACTCACCCAGGCTGGAGTGCAGTGGCGCAATCTCGGATCACTGCAAGCTCCGCCTCCCAGGTTCACGCTGTTCTCCTGCCTCAGCCTCTCTAGTAGCTGGGACTATAGGCGCCCACCACCATGCCCAGCTAATTATTTGTATTTTAGTAGAGACGGAGTTTCACCGTGTTAGCCAGGATGGTCTCGATCTCCTGACCTCGTGATCTGTCTGCCTCAGCCTCCCAAAGTGCTGCGATTACAGGCGTGAACCACCACGACCGGCCCAAACCTTTCAAAAGTGCAATTTGAGCTAGGCATGGTGGCTAACGCTTGTAATCCCAGCACTTTGGGAGGCCAAGGCAGGTGGATCACCTGTGGTCAGGAGTTCAAGACCAGCCTGACCAACATGCCGAAACCCTGTCTCTACTAAAATTACAAAAATTAGCCACAGGTGTGGTGGCACATGCTTGGAATCCCAGCTCCTTGGGAGGCTGAGACACTAGAATCGCTTGAACCCAGGAGTCAGAGGTTGCAGTGAGCTGAGATCTCGCCACTGCACTCCAGCCTAGGCAACAGAGTGAGAAAAAAAAAATTGCAGTTTGGTGCCCAACTTAACGTAACCTGTTAGTAAATGATTTCAGATCTTATTTTCACCAGAGGAAAGAGATAGGGTTGTGGGCTCCTAGGCTAAAGTGGCTAAGTGGGCAGCTGAGCAGAGGTCAGTATATTGTTATTTGGAATACATTTAAGGATTAAGGATGTTAGGTTGAAAAAGAGTCTTTATGACATCAGTCTGTGTGGCAAACCTTTCTCCCACTCCTACTTCTTTGAAGTTATTGGGAATCATTTGCTCTATTGTTTTCTCTTTTACATTCTGTAAGCATTTCAGGATTTTCAAGAGAAAAACATTTGTTAAAATAACAGTAAAAACATAAATAGGAGAAAATAATCAGGATGTGGGGAACATTTTATTATTTTAGAGGAATAAAACTACCAGCTTCTCAAGCACTTATCTTTAATGTAAATTTCTTTAGAGAAATTTCAGGTAGGCAACTTCGAAGAGTCAGACACATGCATCCATAACAACAGTCCTGTAGTCATCCCTTAAGGAAAGCCACAGCATGACCATAAAATATAGTTCAGTGCAGGGATTCAGGTAGCCTTCTGTTTGTTGCAAGGTTAGAGTTTAATGTGCCTACAAGGAGTTTCTTAGGTGGGCTTTTGTCCTCTTGTGGAGATTTTACTCTGGTGAAGACTGAAAGGCAGGTGTTCTGAAAATCTTTAGGGGAAGGCTGTGTATGTTCTAGAAACCAAACCAAAATGTGGGAAGGAGGATGAACAACTGAGATTTTTGCTTGTTAGGTCACTTCAGGTTAGGCAAAGTTGTGTTTTTTTCCCCCCACAAGAAACACTTTTTTTCAAAGCTATTCCAGCAAATGAATAGATAGTTTTTTGTTTTTTTTCTTTTTTTTTTTGAGACGGAGTCTTGCTCTGTCACCCAGGCTGAAGTGCAGTGGCGCAATCTCGGCTCACTGCAAGCTCTGCCTCCCAGGTTCACGCCATTCTCCTGCCTCAGCCTCCCAAGTAGCTGGGATTACAGGCACCCGCCACCGTGCCCAGCTAATTTTTTGTATTTTCAGTAGAGACAGGGTTTCACTGTGTTAGCCAGGATGGTCTCGATCTCCTGACCTCGTGATCTGCCCGCCTCAGTCTCCCAATGTGCTGGGATTACAGGCGTGAGCCACCGCTCCCGGCCATGAATAGATAGTGTATGAAAACCACTGGGCACCATACCACTAAGATGAGACAGCTTTAATCTGGAAACCTGTCACTGCTATTATGTAATCTCTATATTGCTCTCATATAATACCTCTTTTTGAGCCACATGGATTCCAGTGAACCCTCCAAGAATGAATTAGTTACAAGAATGTGCCCCTAATTATAAAACAAACTATAAAGACAAATTATCCTGCTGTAGTAGGACATTTGAAATAAATCATTTATATTTTGAAGGACGTCTGCCCATTATGTTTATTTGCATATAAAGGAGCTACGTGCAGATAGGGTCTGTTCCTAGCTTCACTGGAGGAGGGCCTGTGGTCTTACAGGATATGAGTAGCTGTTTGAGCACTGTAACACTGGAAGAAGCAAGGCTTCTAGATGTGTGTTTGGGATATGTGTTTCTACTAAACCTTAAGTAAGGGCCATATCTTCGGTAATTTTGTCCCCAGATGTGTTGTTATCATTGATTATGATAGTCAGGTTCAAGGTGTCATGAAGGATTTGTTATATTTAAATGTTTAGTAGGTGATATAGAGATTTCATAAGATTACATTTTTTAAATGCTTGGATAGTTTCTTCTGTGAACTATTTCATGTCCTGTCTCAGCTTCACTTAAAATATTTTGTCAGGAACTGTCAGAGGACTTTTTATTAGATATTTCTGAGATAATATTAAAAGCATTCCAGGCCGGGCGTGTTTGCTCACACCTGTAATCCCAGCACTCTGGGAGGCCGAGGCAAGTGGATCACCTGAGGTCAGGAGTTCGAGACCAGCCTGGCCAACATGGTGAAACCTCGTTTCTACTAAAAATACAAAAAATTACCTGGGCGTGGTGGTGGGCACCTGTGATCCCAGCTACTCTGAAGGCTGAGGCAGGAGAATCGCTTGAACCCGGGAGGCAGAGGTTGCAGTGAGCCAAGATCATGCCATTGCACTTCAGCTGGGCAACAAGAGCAAAACTCCGTCTCAAAAAAAAAAAAAAAAAAAAAAGGCATTCCAGTATGAGTATTTGCTGGCAGGTAAGGAGAAATTACAGTAGCAGTGTTTTTTCTTTTTTTTTTTTTTTGATAAAGCTTTCTAGAGATTCTCTTTGTTTCTGTTCCACTAGTGACAGAGGCCAAGCAAGAATTAATAACCTACCCTCAGCCTCAGAAAACATCCATACCAGCACCATTGGAAAAACAGCCCAACCAGCCCCTAAGACCAGCTGATAAGGAACCTGAACCCAGGAAGAGGGAAGAAGGCCAAGAGTCACGCTTAGGACATCAAAAGAGAGAAGCAGAAAGGTATCTGCCTCCTTCTCGAAGGGAAGGGCCAACTTTCCGAAGAGACCGAGAGAGGGAGTCATGGTCTGGAGAGACACGCCAGGATGGAGAGAGCAAAAGTAAGTAGTTTGTCAGGGCACATACCAGACTGTGATCATCACAATGGAGCATAGATGGCCAATGTTATGTCCGGGAGCTATCTGCTTTCCAGTACCCTGAGAGATCTGTGCATGACCTGATGACAGAGGCCATTGCTGTCTGTGGACCTTCCTGTACTGCTTAAAGGAATCTATGCCCTTCAAATAGTAAATTGCTATATGAATGCAGTAAGGCATGATTTTAGATTTCTAAGTATTGGTGAAGAAAAGTATGCAGTATTTATTTGTTTAGCATTTTTTTACAGAACCAGCCTTGCTAGTAGCATCTATAGTAAAAAATGACAGTCAGATTCTTGGGACTTCAAAAATTTATCTTTCTCTCCCTTGTGTTGCCCTTCTCCCATTTATGGTTGATTCAGCTATCATGCTAAAGCGTATCTATCGTTCCACACCACCTGAGGTGATAGTGGAAGTGCTGGAGCCCTATGTCCGCCTTACTACTGCCAACGTCCGTATCATCAAGAACAGAACAGGCCCTATGGGGCATACCTATGGCTTTATTGACCTCGACTCCCATGCGGTGAGTTTCCTCCACCTTGGATTGGCCTAGAGACAGATGGCTAAAGAACCTTCAAGAAGGTTTGACTGGGGGCCGGGCCTGGTGGCTTACGCCTGTAATCCCAGCACTTTGGGAGGCCGAGGTGGGTGGATCACGAGGTCAGGAAATCAAGACCATCCTGGCTAACACGGTGAAACCCTGTCTCTACTAAAAAATACAGAAAAATTAGCTGGGCGTGGTGGCAGGCGCCTGTAGTCGCAGCTACTCGGGAGGCTGAGGCAGGAGAATGGCGTGAACTCCGGAGGCGGAGCTTGCAGTGAGCCGAGATCGCGCCACTGCACTTCAGCCTGGGTGACAGAGCGAGACTCTGTCTCAAAAAAAAAAAAAAAAAATTTGAGGGACTTCTTGATCATTTGAATTCTTGTGTGCTACCTGATATCATAATCCCTCTTGCTCTCTCCTTTGGGTTTATTGTTCATTCAGGTCAGGTGACAGCCCTCAAAAGTTAGGATCCCGTCTGGTTTTCTAGGTTCATTTTTTTCTTGTGTCATTTACTGTTTCCAACTTACTCGCTTGTGAAGAATCTGAGTACTGAATCCTTCATGATTTTAGTGAACTTTCTGATTTATTTTGTCCAGCCACAGATGGTTTTATATTTGATGATAAAACATTTCCTCTTTTTCCTCAAAGTATTTATAGATTCCTGTGGCTTAAATTTTTAGTTGCGGGGCCTTTTTCTATGGAAGTAAGGTGAAGATAATGAAAGTCATTGGTATTTCTTAGATTTTTCATGCTCAAAAGTCACAAGGGACTTTGTAAACTGAATCTGATTGATGATAATTGCAACCTAAAAGAAGAGGATTTGAATTTCTGAAGTTTATGCCAGAACTGACATCTATTCTGATTCCTGTTCCAATCAGTCCTTCATTAAAAGTTGCCTGTTTCTGCCAGTATGCTCTTACTGTTAAAATTTTGACAGAATATAATGTAGTAAATTTATCCTCTGAGAAGGAAAATCCACGTTCACTTCTCTTTCAAAGGAGAATTTTTCTGTCTTTGGGTTCTGGCATTTTCTGTCTCTGGGTTCAAGTGTGTCTGGTTCTATAGGAAGCTCTTCGTGTGGTGAAGATCTTACAGAACCTTGATCCGCCATTTAGCATTGATGGGAAGATGGTAGCTGTAAACCTGGCCACTGGAAAACGAAGGTAAGGCAGAAGGGTGAGGATCTCTTGTGCTGCCCCCACTTGTGTTTTTGAGAGGAAACTCCTTTTCCTGGCTGGAAAAACAGTAAAGCATGATGTTTTCCTAACATGGACTGCTTCAGATAGGTGTTTATTACAGTTTCTTTCTGAAGCCTGACTTGTCCTGACTCTCGAATTGTTTTCTTTCTTGAATAATACTAGGTACTTTTGTCCTTTCCCTTTTGACTGTCTGGTATCTTTGGGTCCCAAATGGCCTGGCGTGGTAGCACATATCTCTATTCCAAGCTACTAAAGAGGCTGAGGCGAGATGGGGAGCGGGTTACATGAGCCCAGGAGTTCTAGGCCATAGTGTGCAATGAAGATGCCTGTGAATAACCACTGTACTCTACCCTGGGCAACACAGCAAGACCCTATCTCTTAACAAAAAAATGATGGTACAGTTTTGGATGTGCAGACACATGTCAATACATTCTTGCCCCTTGCAATCCTAGGAAAATGCTGTCCTGGCTTTTCCTTCCCCTGACCTTGTGCATATTTCCATAGCACTGGGAAATCTAATTTCTCTTTCCTCCTTCACTCATCTTGACCCAGGAGTGGTAACTTGGAAATGGCCATGTCAGAGAAACAGGCTTACCAATATGGGGCATATCTTGCTCTAGCACCCTCCACTTAATGGCTGTTTTGCTCCACCACTTGGCTTTGTAAGAGTCTTACTGCTCATTGGGCAGGCGTGGTGGCTCACGCCTGTAATCTCAGCACCTGGGGAGGCCGAGGCGGGCAGATCATGAGGTCAGGAGATTGAGATCATCCTGGCTAACACGGTAAAACCCCGTCTCTACTAAAAATACAAAAAAAAAAAAATTAGCTGGGCGTGGTGGTGGGCACCTGTAGTCCCAGCTACTTGGGAGGCTGAGGCAGGAGAATGGTGTGAACCCAGGAGGCGGAGCTTGCAGTGAGCTGAGATCACGCCACCGCACTCCAGCCTGGGCGACAGAGCAAGACTCCGTCTCAAAAAAAAAAAAAAAAAAAAAAAGAGTCTTACTGCTCATTCTTTCAGGAGTGTCTGGACCACCCAACCTGCTTGCTGTCTAGGTTGGTTCCTTTCCCTGCAAAATGAGGAACAGAGGATTTCTCGATAGGAACTGTAGGATTAAGTACTCGTCAAATGCCACTTGGTAGCAGCCTTAAGAATTGTTGTGTTATCTGTTGCAGAAATGATTCTGGGGACCATTCTGACCACATGCATTACTATCAGGTAGGCTGTAACAGGTGGGGAGTGCTCTATTAAAATCCTCAGGTGACTATAAGGGTGATCTTGAATTTTCTTTAGTGGGTGACTGTTAAGGTGAATGACCATTGGATAGTTCTGTAATTTTAACTTGCCTTTCTGTGATAGGGTAAAAAATATTTCCGAGATAGGAGGGGAGGTGGCAGAAATTCAGACTGGTCTTCAGATACAAATCGACAAGGACAACAGTGTAAGTAACCTTTGTTTTATTTCTGTTGCTCTTTTTTGCTTGACTTGCTACTCATTACTTGACATCTGTGTGATCACAGTTGGCAAGATACACTGTTGACTGAGGGTGCTCATCCAGAGAGAGGCATCTGTAGATGCACCTATTTGTGTTGGTCACCCTAATTCTTGGGTTCTTGATGAGTCTCCAGTAAGGGCTTCATTGGACAGAGACTAACATTGGCTCTGATCTTGTTACCTTTAGCATCATCTGACTGCTACATATATGATTCTGCTACTGGCTACTATTATGACCCCTTGGCAGGAACTTATTATGACCCCAATACCCAGGTGAGTTTGGGGCTTTTTTTTTTTTTTTTTTTTTTTTACCTCTGTCAATGATTCTTTTGAGAAAAGCACCCATAATTTGCTACTTGAGGATTTTATTCCCTGGATTCTCTGGATGCTCATTGCATGAAAAGTGGAAAAGTTTAGATCTATGGAAACAGAACTGTTGCCTATATGGAAAATCAGTGCCTTGTGGCAATACAGGTAAGAACAGTGTTGCTCTTGAAAAAGTGGACAGTGGGTGGTCTGAATGTGTCCTGGTCCCTGGAGTGGGTTTTTAGATTGATGTGGACTCTTCTTAGACTTGTAAGTAAAAAAGTTGTTTCTTCCCCTAAAAGGGAACTGTGCGCCTTAGACCTGGAATTGCTGGGAAACTGAAACATTCTGTAGACTTACTTGTTTCCAACTGTATCGCAGCAAGAAGTCTATGTGCCCCAGGATCCTGGATTACCTGAGGAAGAAGAGATCAAGGAAAAAAAACCCACCAGTCAAGGAAAGTCAAGTAGCAAGAAGGAAATGTCTAAAAGAGATGGCAAGGAGAAAAAAGACAGAGGAGTGACGAGGGTAAGAGGAATTGTTAATTTGCTGTCTTTTGCCACATAGTTATTAAAATGTTGGAGGTACGAACAGAGGATATCTATGTTTGCAAGTGTAAAGTAACTTTAAAAATACTCTGTCAGCCGGGCGTGGTGGCTAACGCCTGTAATCCCAGCACTTTGGGAGGCCAAGGCGGGCGGATCATGAGGTCAGGAGATCGAGACCATCCTGGCCAACATGGTGAAACCCCTGTCTCTACTAAAAATACAAAAATTAGCTGCGTGTGGTGGTACACGCCTGTAGTCCCAGCTACTCAGGAGGCTGAGGCAGGAGAATTGCTTGAACCCTGGAGGCAGAGGTTGCAGTGAGCCGAGATCGCGCCACTACACTCCAGCCTGGCAACAGAGCAAGACTCTGTATCAAAAAAAAAAAAAAAACCTCTGTTAATGAGTATTTTTACCTGGTGTAGGCAATTCCCTCACCTCTTATATCCCAACTCTCTCTTTTACAAATGGGAAAACTATGGATGGTAGAACAAAGTGGCCCAGCTCAAATCCCAACACCTCAGCTCCATACATTTTCACTTTTCTACATTCCTTTTTTAGTGTTTGACTTTATACACATTTCTCTAGTTGTAATTATAGCAGGAGATACTGTTTAGTCACTTTTTATCCTAAGTATTTTTTCCATGTTTCTATATACTCTATTATTTTTAATGCCCACATGGTAAAAATTCACGGTATAACTGTACCTTCATTTTCTTCATCTCTCCTACATTATTTGTCTTCTCTTTCTAATCTTTTCTTTTTCCTTTTTTTTTTTTTTTTTCTGAGACAAAGTCTTCCTCTGTCTCCCAGGTTGGAGTGCAGTGGCATGATCATAGCTCACTTCTACGTCAAACCCATGGGCTTAAGCAGTCCTCCCACCTCAGCCTCCCAAGTAGCGGGGACTACAGGCATGAGCCACCATGACCAGCTAATTTTTGCTTTTTTGTAGAGACAGGATCTTGCTAGATTGACCAGGCTGATCTCGAACTTCTGGCCTCAAGTAAGCTTCCTGTCTCAGTCTCCCAAAGTGCTTCAGTTACAGGCAAGACCCACCTTGCTCGCCTCTTTCTAATCTTATACTGTCATAATATATAACATTTAGCATTTTGTTTCTTCTTTTAAATTACTCCCTATGACACATTTTCAGAATCAGAGATGATGAACATTTTTACATCTAATACAAAATCAAATTATTAGGCAGGGTGCAGTGGCTCACACCTGTAATCCCAGCACGTTGGGAGGCCAAGACAGGTGGATGCCTGAGTTTAGGAGTTTGACACCAGCAACATGGTGAAACTCCATCTCTACCAAAAATACAAAAAAAATTAGCCTACTGTGGTGATGCATGCCTGTAGTCCAAGCTACTTGGGAGACTGAGTTAAGAGGATCGCTTGAGCCCAGGAGATTGCAGTGAGCTGTGATTGCGCCACTGCACTCCAGCATGGACAACAGAGCCAGACTTGTCTCAAAAAAAAAAAAAAAAGAAAATCTGCCGGGCATGGTGGCTCATGCCTGTAATCCCAGCACTTTGAGAGGCCAAGGCAGGCGGATTACTTTAGGTCAGGAGTTTGAGACCGCCTAGCCAATATGGTGAAACCCCCATCTCTACTAAAAAGACAAAAATTAGCTGGACGTGGTGGCGCAAGCCTGTAGTCCCAGCTACTCAGGAGGCTGAGGCAGGAGAATCTCTTGAACCTGAGAGGCAGAGGTTGCAGTGAGCCAAGATCACACCTACCTTGATATCAGTTATGCATTAGTGAAAATGGATGAATTTGCTTGTGATTCAATTCATAACACCTTTTTTTCCCTTTTTTTTCTTTTGAGACGGAGCCGCTCTGTCGCCCAGGCTGGAGTGCAGTGGCGTGATCTATCTCGGCTCACTGCAACCTCCGCCTTCCAGGCTCAAGGGATTCTCCTGCCTCAGCCTCCTGAGTAGCTGGGATATCAGGCGCTGCCACAACGCCCAGCTAATTTTTGTATTTTTAGTAGAGACGCGGTTTCACCATGTTGGTCAAGCTGGTCTCGAACTCCTGACCTTGTGATCCGCCCACCTCAGCCTACCAAAGTGCTGGGATTACAGGCATGAGCCACTGCGCCCAGCCTTTTTTTCCCCTTCTAACACTGTTAGTTGTTTAGAGATACAGAAAAGAGGAGAGAGAGTGTGTGTGTGTGTTTAAAAACTTAGAGTCATACTGATTTAATATTTGGACTCTGCTTCAGCCACTTAATCTGTCAAACTATATTCCCAATCATTTGTAAAATTAAGATAGTAAAGCTTACATAGGAGGATCATAGTAAAGTCTGAAGAAGACAATGTTTATATATACATGCCTCATCTGGTCTGACATACAGTAATCATGCAATATATACTAACGTTTTATTTTATTTTATTTTATTTTTTGAGACAGAGTCTCTCTCTGTCACCCAGGCTGGAATGGAGTGGCACGATCTCGGCTCACTGCAACCTCTGCCTCCCAGGTTCCAGCAGTTCTTCTACCTCAGCCTCCCAAGTAGCTGGGATTACAGGCCAAAACCACCACACCCAGCTAATTTTTGTATTTTTACTAGAGACGGGGTTTCACCATGTTGGCCAGGCTGGAGCACAGTGGCACAATCTTGGCTCACTGCAAGCTCCGCCTCTCGGGTTCATTCTCCTGCCTCAGCCTCCCTACTAACTGGGACTACAGGTGCCCGCCACCACGCCCAGCTAATTTTTTGTATTTTTAGTAGAGATGGAGTTTCACTGCATTAGCCAGGGTGGTCTCGATCTCCTGACGTTGTGATCCACCTGCCTTGACCTCCCAGAGTGCTGGGATTATAGGCGTGAGCCACCGCACCCAGCCCAGCCTTTATCAGTTATTATGAGTGAATATCATGTGAGAGTTACCTCTGGTTTGATCAGTTTCAGGAAAATGCCAGTGAAGGGAAGGCCCCTGCAGAAGACGTCTTTAAGAAGCCCCTGCCTCCTACTGTGAAGAAGGAAGAGAGTCCCCCTCCAGTAAGACCAACATTGATCCCCTGGACCTAGGGCTGGGGCTGGGGATGGTTCCGAGTAGAAGAGGAAGCGCAAAGGCTGATGCCTTCCTCTGGTGTTGGTCTTTTACCTCACTATGTCTCCCGAATAAGGATTCCCATTTCTTTTGAGTACAAGCATGAGATAAAGTTTTCTGTCTGCTAATGGGGGTATTACTGGAGAACCAGAGGCAGTTATCTGGACTCTTTCTCTCTGCCCTGTGCCATTCTTACCAGACGAGATGCCTAGCCCTTTTTATCATCTTGTTCTTGTCAGTTCTCTAAATCACCAAGGAAACCCGTTTTCTCAGCCTCAATCTTTCCTGCCTTTTGGCATCACACAAGAATCTCTTAGATATGGAGTGCATGCGTGGTCATTTTTTTATAGTTTCTGCCTGTTCAGAGTGAATGATGCTAATATTGGTGCCCATTTTTTAGATGCCTTCAAGCAGTAGTCTCAACCTAATCACCAGTGATTCTGATTGAATGCAGGTATATAACAATAGTGACCATGCATTATTTATTTATTTTGAGTGATCATAGACCAATGATTATGCATCATTATTTAACAGTTCTTATAAGGTACCCTTTTCCTGCTCCGCATTATTAATTCAGCTCATTGTGGCATCTGTCTTAACCATGCTTTGCCTTTACCTTACATGTGAGCTGGATCTGTCTACCCAAGTGCCTATTAATGCAGTTGCTTTTAGTTTACTTCCTAAATCCTCTTTGCTAGAGTCTTAATGAAAGTCATCTTTTCTTCCCTCCATGAGTTACAGTAATTTGGAGGTATTTATCTCTTCCTCTTTGTAATTTGTAACCTTTTACTATTTTCTATGTTTATTTTCCTTTCTCTTCCTTCTCCTCACATTCTGTTGCTAGAGTCACTTCTAAAGGAATCTTTCTTGTTTATTCTTAATGAACAAGGAGCAAAGCCAAGCTCTGGCCATGTTGCTTTCATCTGGGAAATGAGCAGCATGGCTAGTGAGTTTATTTTGAACCCAATTCAATGAAATGAGATGCCCATATCAGAATATCAAAAAAAATGGACCCCAAAATATAGGTTGAATTTGGTATTGATCCCTGGCCTTCTCCTTCCAGCCTAAAGTGGTAAACCCACTGATCGGCCTCTTGGGTGAATATGGAGGAGACAGTGACTATGAGGAGGAAGAAGAGGAGGAACAGACCCCTCCCCCACAGCCCCGCACAGCACAGCCCCAGAAGCGAGAGGAGCAAACCAAGAAGGAGAATGAAGAAGACAAACTCACTGACTGGAATAAACTGGCTTGTCTGCTTTGCAGAAGGCAGTTTCCCAATAAAGAAGTTCTGATCAAACACCAGCAGCTGTCAGACCTGCACAAGGTATTAGGGGAAGGAGCTATGCCCTTTCAAACTGTTGACTCTTGGCCGGGCTTTGTGGCTCATGCCTGTAATCCTAGCACTTTGGGAGGCCGAGGCGGGTGGATTGCCTGGGCTCAGAAGTACAAGACCAGTCTGGGCAACATGGTGAAACCCCCTTTGTACTAAAATACAAAAAATTAGCCAGGTGTGGTGTTGTGTGCCTGTAGTCCCAGCCACTCGGGAGGCTGAGGCAGGAGAATTGCTAGAACCTGGGAGGCAGAGGTTGCAGTGAGCCGAGATCGTGCCACTGCACTCCAGCCTGGGTAACAGAGCAAGACTCCATCTCTTAAAAAACAAAACAAAACAAAACTGTTGACTCATATTATTGATGGGGATTATGGGGAATAAAAAAGATTATTTAGGCCGGGCCTAGTGGTTTACACCTGTAATCCCAGCACTTTGGGAGGCCAAGGCACCTAGGTAGATCACTTGAGATCAGGAGTTTGAGACCAGCTTGGCCAACATGGTGAAACTGTCTCTACTAAAAATACAAAAATTACCTGGATGTGGTGGCGCATGCCTGTAATCCCAACTACTTGGGAGGTTGAGGCAGGAGAATCGCTTGAACCTGGGAGGCAAAGGTTGCAGTGAACCGAGATCACACCACTGCACTCCAGCCTGGGTGACAGACCAAGACTCTATCTCAAAAAAAAAAAAAAAAAAAAAAAAAAGCCGCAGCAGCTTATACAATCCTTCCTCAGTGTATATCAGCCCCAGTTCCTATCATTAAAACAGTCCAATTCAAGAATGAATTGCTCTGGATTAAGGTTATGCCTACCCTCAAAGAACTTCCATGTATAGGCCGAAGCCAAGCATTATGACTGTGGCTAGGGTGCCAAATATGGAGGATGGGTAGGAAGAGAAAGGGTTGTGGAATAGGACATTACTTGCTGGGTTTCTCATCTTAGCTGTGTCATTAACGTTACAGTTGGACCTCAGATAAGCCCCTTTTCTTCTTTGGTCCTTGTAACTTCATCTGATTCTATCCAGCTCTGACAGTGTGCAGTTTTCACCATAGGTGAGTCAAATTCTGCCATTTCTTCATGTAGTGAATATTGTTATGAGCCACAGCACAACATCTATACTTGGGATGTTAAACCGACATACATTGGTCTTCCCCTGTAGTATTCCCATTTATATGAACTGACCAAGGATCCAAATTATGGACAAATAAAGTCCCTAAATGGACTCACATTCTCAGAGCAATTTGTTTCACACCCCTTCTCTAGTAGATGTTGCAAGAGCAGGTGATGGAACTAGATTCAGACTTTCTCTGAATACAGAGCTCAAAGTTTTATTTAGCTAAAAGCTGAGAAGTTCTGCTTTTGGTAATAGGTACACTACTTTTCCCAGCCATCTCTGTGGAGGCTTTGCAAAGATAGGACTCTGAAAAGCTCCTGATAATCCCTGGAACAGACTACCTCCCATGTCCTTTGACCTGAAGTTGTGAGTTGTCAGACTGACACATTGAAATTTCACCCATCTGATGTAAATACTAATAAATGGCTAAAGAGATAAAAAGTAATCGTCAGGAAAGAGGAGCCACAGGTCTGGTGAATTCACAAACTGAACTGGTCATAGGACAGTGGAAAGTAGACTGTAGTACTTTTCCTTTCCTTAAGGTCGTCTGCTACAAAGAACCACCACTTCATGTAAGAGCTGCTTTGGACTCCTTAAGTTTCATACATATGTCTGAGGGCTTGTGTAGTAGAGCCATGCGTGAGGAATTTGCAACTCTCAGAGCAGTCTCTTGGAACCCTGGGGCTCCTTTCCATGTTTCTCTGGGGGCTGAAAGAGTGACTCATGTCTGGGAATGGTATGTATGGCAGAGTATGTGGGCATTTGGTTTTCTTCACTGGTGTGCCCACATCCTCTGTCCCATGATTTTCAACTTAGATAAAGAGATAGATATTTGTTTCCCACATCTTGGAGATAAGTAAAATGATATTCCTCTTATGCCATACCACATAACTAATCTGCATGACAAGACCAGTTAGGGATTGTTGGTTGCAGGATACAGTGATCATTTAGTAGATCTGATCAATCAAAAGAGCTACAATCCAAAAGCAACTATTGGGAAAGGCCTAGAAGCATCTCTAGGACCATTGTTTCTTAGACCTATACTCATAGAATTGCCTCTCTTCTCAGCAAAACCTGGAAATCCACCGGAAGATAAAACAGTCTGAGCAGGAGCTAGCCTATCTGGAAAGGAGAGAACGAGAGGTAAACTTTGGTGACCTATTACTCCCTTGACCTCAGCTCTTTTTGCTTTCTGATATAGACTTCATAGGCTGTGCTGATCCCTCCTTATAAGAAGATGGAGAACAAAAGCAGCCTCAAAAGATAGTGCATACATTTGCCAAATTATATAATACAATCAAAATAGGTGCTTTTTATTATTTGTAAGTTTATACTTCAATGAAGTTGATATCTTTTTTAAAAGGTGGTGTTAGGGTCTCTAGGTAGATAACACTCCTCTTTCCTGCTTAGCTTTTAAATTAGTTGAGTTAATGAACAAGTGTTGAATAGCGCTGCTGAAATAGCATCTTTTACTATTAAAGGCTAAGCTGGAGGAAGTAGCTTAGTGTCAGAGTCAAATGGACTTGCTACCTCAACCACACAGTTAGGGTGAATTACCCAGTCATAGGCTTCACTGGCCTCTCTCATGATGGTTAAGAACCCACCTATGGGTCAGGCACGGTGGCTCACGCCTATAATCCCAGTACTTTGGGAGGCTGAGACGGGCGGATCACTTGAGCTCACAAGTTTGAAACCAGCCTGGGCGACATGGCGAAATCCTATCTCTACAAAAAATATAAAAATTAGGTGGACATGGGGTGTGTGCCTGTAGTCCCAGCTACTTGAGAGGCTGAGGGAGGATCGCATGAGCTGGGAGGCAGAGGTTGCAGTGAGCTGAGTTTGTGCCACTGCGCTCCAGCCTGGGTCATAGAGCCAGACCTTGTCTCAAAAAAAAAAAAAAAAAAGGAAGCCACCTGTGGAGAGCCAGGCACAGTGGCACATGCATGTAATCCCAGCAGTTTAGGAGGCTGAGGTGGGAGAATTGCTTGAGCCCAAGAGTTCCAGGCTGCAGTGAGCTATGATCACAGCCCTGTACTCCAGCCTGGGTCACAGAGTAAGTCCCTGTCTCAAAACCAAACAAAAGAATCCACCTATGGAGGACTGTTAGAGATAGTGAATTCACAAACTGAACTGGCCATAGGACAGTGGAAAGTAGATTGTAGTATTTTTCCTTTCCTTAGAGTTGTCTACTACAAAGAACCACCTCTCCATGTAAGAGCTGCTTTGGACTCCTTAAGTTTTATATTATATGCCCGAGGGCTTGTATAGTGGAGGGCTTGTGTACTTTCCCCTGCTTCTCAGAAGGGGAAAAGACAGCGGAACCAAGCGTGCCAACTTATTCTTTCCAAATGTTTAAGTTAGGAAGTCACTGCTTTCTCTAGAAGAACGTGTAAAGGAGTGAGAGATTCCAGGAGTTACCAAGTGAGCTACTTTCACTTTAAAAGAAATAACAAGGCCGGGTGCGGTGGCTCACACCTGTAATCCCAGCACTTTGGGAGGCCGAGGCTGGTGGATCATGAGGTCAGGAGTTCGAGACTAGCCTGACTAACATAGTGAAACCCCGTCTCTACTAAAAATAGAAAAATTAGCTGGGCATTGTGGCACTCACCTGTAGTCCCAGCTACTTGGGAGGCTGAGGCAGGAGAATCGCTTGAACCTGGGAGGCGGAGGTTGCAGTGAGCTGAGATCACGCCAGTGTACTCCAGCCTGGGCAACAGAGTGAGACTCTGTCTCAAGAAAAAAATAATAATAATAACAGCAATGGGGTAGAATTTCCCCACTCCCCAATTCCCTCAGGTGGCAATCTCAGGTCTGCTCTTCTGCTTACCAACAGGGAAAGTTTAAAGGAAGAGGAAATGATCGCAGGGAAAAGCTCCAGTCTTTTGACTCTCCAGAAAGGAAACGGATTAAGTACTCCAGGGAAACTGACAGGTAAGCCAGGAACTCTTCATTCAGCCTAGGCCTCAAGCCTAATGATAAAACCACCTCCTCCTTCAACTGTACTGCTGTTTTCTGTCTCAGGGAGATGATATTATGAGTAGATTCTGTCTGAACTGCTAAAACATGAGGTCTATGCCAGCCTTTTTACTATCTGTCTTTATACGGGGAGTGTACATGGAAGGTTGGCTGGCAGCTTCGCCTTCCCAAAGCCAGGGCTGGAGTAGCCATGATCGGGAACCCTTTCTGTCTTCATCAGTAATACTGCACCCTCTTTACGGGCCTGATAAGAATGTCACACTCTTGGGCTTTTTCTCTAGGGAACCTCCATTCTCACACATAGGTGCTAAATAAATGGTTGGCTGCTGATGGAGATGTATGATATCTAGCTTCCTATACTTGTTTTCAGTCAGCTAGTTCCCAAGTTGTAAGCCCAGAGTTATATAGAATTTGTTGATAACCCACTGTTTACAGGTGTCAAGTGCAAGAAATACTCAGGTGGACAAGACATAGATTATCCTTGACTGAACACAGAATAGACAAGACTTAGGTGATGGTGCGTCTCATAGGGCAGACACAGAAATCAGTGGGGAAGGGAAGGGCATTTCAGGGAATTTCATATACCAGGGATATAAGAGCTTATGATGTGTTTGAGGAGTTGCAAATAGTTTGATGGTCCTGAACACTGCAGGTATATTGTTGAGTGACAGTAGATAAGCCTGGTCCAAAAGATGCAGGCCAGTTCATGAAGTTTAAACACCTTGAACACCTTGCTAAGGCTTTATCTTAAAGGCAGTGGACGGTCATGGAATAATTTTAAGCAGGGTATTGACTTAGCTTTGCATTTTGGAGAGATTACTAATCATGTGGAAGATGAGTTTGTAGAGAGACTAATGCATTATGCAAATTCTATAGTAATTCAAGTGAAAGATCATGATTGCCTGAGTGAAGGTGATGAGTCTAGAAAGGAGAGTGGCCTATAATCCCAACACAGAGAGGCTGAGGAAGGAGGATCTCTTGAGCCTAGGAGTTCCAGGCCAGCCTAGGCAACATAGGGAGAAGGGAGACCCTGCCTCTATTTAAAAAAAGAAAAGAAAAGGAGTGTGGCTTAGAGAGAGGTGTCAGATCTGCCAGTCTTTGTGATCACCTGGGGAAAGGGAGAAGTCACTGATGGTGTTCAGGTCTCTGGTCTCTGGATAGCTAGGAGGAGAAGGGACAGTAAAGTCCTTGAAAAGGAAAAATGGGGGCCAGGCGTGGTGGCTTACGCCTGTAATCCCAGCACTTTGGGAGGCCGAGGCGGGTGGATCACAAGGTCAGGAGTTCGAGACCAGCCTGGCCAAGATGGTGAAACCCCTTCTCTACTAAAAATATAACAATTAGCTGGGCGCTGTGGCAGGCGCCTGTAATCCCAGCTACTCAGGAGGCTGGGGCAGAAGAATCGCTCAAACCTGGGAGGCAGAGGTTGCAGTGAGCTGAGATCATGCCACTGCACTCTAGCCTGGGTGACAGAGCAAGACTCTGTCTCAAAAAAAAAAAAAAAAAAAAAAGAAAAGGAAAGGAAAAATGGGGCCAGGTGTGGTGGCTCACACCTGTAATCCCAGCACTTTGGGAGGCTGAGGCAGGTGGATCACTTAAGGTCAGGAGTTCGAGACCAGCCTGGCCAACATGGTGAAACCCTGTCTCTACCAAAAATATAAAAAAATTAGCCAGGCGTGGTGGTGGGTACCTGTAATCCCAGCTACTCGGGAGACTGGGGCAGGAGAATCGCTTGAACATGGGAGGTGGAGGTTGCAGTGAGCCAAGATTGCACCACTGTACTCTAGCCTGGGTAATAGAGCGAGACTCCAAATCAAAAAAAAAAAAGAAAAGAAAAGAAAAGGAAAAGTGGGTAACAAGTGGATGCATGAGCAGAAGGAAAGGGAGATAATTGACAGAGCAAGGCCCTTGAGGAGGCTGGACAGGTTTTGGGGCTCTGGCATTCCAGCTTATTTGATCCAACCCACAATAAGAGAAGTATTTTTGTATCATGGCCCAATAATAAAGTGTGTGTGTGCACAACTGAAAAAGTTTTCATCTAAAATACTTTCTTACCAGGTACAGTGAACCCTGATATTTTTATTCAAGTCTAGTCTCTCTTCATTTTTATGAGTTGTTACAGTGGGACCATTTAGTGTGACATTCCATTGGGTCATTCTCTGCAATTTGAAATACAGTGGATTAGGACTAGGTGAAGGAGTCAGCCATCAGGAGGAAGGACACCTTGGCCTTGAGTCTTCTGGGACAAGGCTTAGGTGGGGTGCGGAAAGAGACCCTTCTTTATTCTCAGCACCCTTTATACCACATTCTCCTGGCTCTTCTCCTTTCCAGTCACCTTTTCTGCTCCTCTTCCTTTTCTGGATAAATCCAGGTGTTCTCTAGGACTCTTCTCTCAGTGCTTCTTTGGTCTTGCTGCTCTACCCTCTTGACCTGGGCTTTCTAAGGTACCCATGGCCTCAACCACCACCACAGTCTAACAAGTCCAAATCTCCTGTATTATTATTTCAGAGTAGCAGCATCATAGCATCACTGTCTACATGGTCTGATCCATCCTCCTCCTTTATCCCCTGTGTCCAATTAGTGACCAAATCCCTAATTAAGTCTTGCCCCCTGTCTTAGTCTGTTTTATGATACCATAACTGAATACCACAGACTGGGTAATTTATAATGAACAGAAATTTATTTGGCTCATGCTTCTGGAGGCTGGGAGGTCCAAGATTGAGGAGCTGCATCTGGTGAGGGCCTTCTTGCTGTGTCACCTCATGGTGGAAAGTAAAAGAACAAGAGAGCTTAGGCAAAAGAGGGGGTTGGGAGAAAGAAACCAGACTAATCATTTTATCAGGAGAACCCACTCCTGCAATAACAGCATTAATCCATTTGTGAGGGCAGAGCTCTCATGACCTAATCACTTCCTGAAGTTTCACCTCTCAATACTGTTGCATTGGGGATTATGTTTCCAACATATGTACTTTGAGGGACACATTTAAACCACAGCATCTCCCATTCTATTCCACCTCCACACTGGACTCCTACTCCCAGTCTTTGCTCCCACTGTTCTTCAGTCCATTCTCTACCCTGCCACCAAAATGACTTTTGTAAAGAGAAATCTACTCTTATAACTTGTCTTTTTACAAACCGTATACCTTGCCTACAGGGAGGCCTGAGCTCCAACTTTTGCCAGAAGGATGAGGTTCAGAGACATGATTTAGCTTAATAAGTTCAAGGTTTTTTACAGTCTGACCCCATGCAGCCTTTTTTTTTTTTCCTTTTGTTTTGAGACAGTCTCATTCTGTCGCCCAGGCTGGAGTGCAATGGCACGATCTTGGCTCACTGCAACCTCCGCCTCCCAGGTTCAAGCGATTCTCCTGCCTCAGCCTCCCCAGTAGCTGGGACTATGGGCTAATGTTTGTATTTTTAGTAGAGAGGGGTTTCACCTGTTGGTCAGGGTGGTCTCGAACTCCTGACCTCAGGTGATCCACCCGCCTTGGCCTCCCAAAGTGCTGGGATTACAGGCGTGAGTCACTGCACCCGGCCACCAAGCAGCCTTACCTTTGTCAGTTTCTACTACTACTCTCTTGGACAAATTGTCTTTTGTGTCTCCTTGCTTGTGTCCTCCTTTTCTCTTACACAAACTCCTTATTTCGAGATCCAATTCAGATGTATCTTCCTGTTGAAATTCCTGTCATTTTTGGTGATGCCCCTTCAGAGTTTTCGTTCCTTCTACTGCATTTCTTTTTTTTTTTTGAAACAGAGTTTCACTCTTGTTGCCCAGGCTGGAGTGCAATGGCGCGATATCAGCTAACCACAACCTCCACCTCCTGGGTTCAAGCGATTCTCCTGCCTCAGCCTCCCGAGTAGCTAGGATTACAGGCATGCGCCACCACACCCGGCTAATTTTGTATTTTTAGTAGAGACAGGGTTTCTCCATGTTGGTCAGGCTGGTCACGAACTCCCAACCTCAGGTGATCTGCCCACCTCAGCCTCCCAAAGTGATTCCTTCTACTGTATTTCTATAGCAGACATCTACTGTTGCTACATCCATGGTTGAGCTCTCTTCAATGTTCTATAAGCATCTCTTGACATAATGTTTGAGACCTTTCTTGTGAACAGGGCCATATCTTAGTAGTCTGTGTACCCAGCAACAAAACATAGCTATCAGGCACTCAGAGGTACTGTTAAATATACTTACTTAATAAGAGGCAGATATGAATCAAGAGGACAGAGATTTTATATTAGGCTTATAAGCAGGTCTTCATCAAAATGATGGTGTCAGGTTGGGCATGGTGGCTCATGCCTGTAATCCAGCACTTTGGGAGGCCAAGGCATGCGGATTACCTGAGGTCAGGAGTTTGAGAGCAGCCTGGCCAACACAGTGAAACTCTGTCTCTACTGAAAAAAAAAAAAATTAAAAATTAGCCAGGTGTGGTGGCGGGCACCTGCAATCCCAGCTAATCGGGAGGCTGAGGCAGGAGAATCGCCTGAACCCAGGAGGCAGAGGTTGCAGTAAGCTGAGTTCGAGCCATTGCACTCCAGCCTGGGCAAAAAGAGTGAAACTCCGTCTCAAAAAAAAAAAAAAAGGAAGTGATGGTGTCTGCTTCTTTTGCAGTGATCGTAAACTTGTTGATAAAGAAGATATCGACACTAGCAGCAAAGGAGGCTGTGTCCAACAGGCTACTGGCTGGAGGAAAGGGACAGGCCTGGGATATGGCCATCCTGGATTGGCTTCATCAGAGGAGGTAAAATGGTTTCCATCTTTTGGGGGGTGACATGAACCTGGAATGTAATTAACTTTCACTTTCTGGCCTAGAGTGATGTCTTTGCCATTTTGCTGGGCTTTCTCTACTGCTGGGATAGGACATGAGAGTTGAACACTTTAGCCTTGAATACTGGGTTATAGCTTGGCAGGCTGGGCCCTTTGCAGTTTGGAGTTAGGAAGAGAAGGAAGGAGTTGGAATGGATTTCATCATACTTTTACATGGAGTAAATAGTAGAGCAGTATCTGAGGCAGTTTGAGACTGAAGAATCATTTGGGCAAAAGAACCAGGGAATCAGCAATGAAAGGTACAGAGGCATCTCTGAGAGGGACTGTCAGCGGAAGTCTTTGGTGGCTAAAATTTAAGGAGCATGTTGTTCTGGTTCCCATGAAGGACTTTGCCCCTCATATTTCAAGAGCCTCTAGAAAAGGTGATAAGAGGAAACATTACCCATTTTGTGTTGGCTTGCTTCTCCTCTGAAAATGCCAACCATAAGAGATTGGCTTATTTCTCTCCTACCGAGTTTCTCATATCTCTGGTATTAAAGCCTGTATCTTGCAATCATAGCATCACCACCCACCTTAATTCATCTTGGGTATTTGTTTAATAATGAAAGATTCTTTTCTTTTTTTTTTTTTGAGACAGAGTCTTGCTCTGTCGCCCAGGCTGGAATGCAGTGGTGCGATCTCAGCTCACTGCAACCTCCTCCTCCCAGGTTCAAGCAATTCTCCCACCCCAACCTCCTGAGTAGCTGGGATTACAGGTGCATACCACCATACCCAGCTAATTTTTGTGTTTTTAGTAGAGACAGAGTTTTGCCATGTTGGCCAGGCTGGTCTCGAACTCCTGGCCTCAAGTGATCCGCCCACCTCAGCCTCCCAAAGTGTTGGGATTACAGGCGTGAGCCACTGTGCCCGGCCAAAAGATTCTTTAAAAAAATTATCCTGCCAGGGTCCGGGCGCAGTGGCTTATGCTTGTAATCCCAGCACTTTGGGAGGCCGAGGTGGGTGGATCACAAGGTCAGGAGTTCGAGACCAGCCTGACCAATATGATGAAACCCCTGTCTCTACTAAAAATACAAAAATTAGCTGGGTGCAGTGGCGCGCGCCTGTAATCACAGCTACTCAGGAGGCTGAGGCAGAAGAATCGCTTGTACCGGGGAGGCAGAGGTTGCAGTGAGCCAAGATCTTGATCGTGCCACTGCACTCCAGCCTGGGTGACAGAGCGAGACTCTGTCTCAAAAAAAAAATTATTCTGCCAGGTGTGGTGGCTCACATCTGTAATCCCAACACTTTGGGAGGCCAAGGTGGGCGGATCACTTGAGGCCAGGAGTTCGAGACCAGCCTGGCCAACATGGCGAAACCCTGTCTCTACTAAAAATACAAAAATTAGCCGGGCGTGGTGGCAGGCGCCTGTAGTCCCAGCTACTCAGAGGCTGAGGCACAAGAATTGCTTGAACCGGGGAGGCAGACTTGCAGTGAGCCCAGATCGCACCACTGCACTCTAGCCCGGGCGACAGAGCATGACTCCATCTAAAAAAAAAAAAAAAATTATCCTATATACTGCTTCTTACTAGTCCAGAAATGCCTGTGGTCAAAGACCAGCGCTGAGGCTAATTAATCTATAGGGCCCACTTCATAGTTTGTCTTTGTTTTACAGGCTGAAGGCCGGATGAGGGGCCCCAGTGTTGGAGCCTCAGGAAGAACCAGCAAAAGACAGTCCAACGAGACTTACCGAGATGCTGTTCGAAGAGTCATGTTTGCTCGATATAAAGAACTCGATTAAGAAAGGAGACAAGTTCCATGGGATACAACCTCCCTCTTGTTTTGTTTGTCTCTCCTTTTCTTTTGTTACTGTTCTTGCTGCTAGAACTTTTTTAAATAAACTTTTTTTCAATGTGATTATCTTTTTGTTATTTTTTTTTCCCAGAGATGGGTGGGAGTGGGGCTACTGGTAGGAGAGAGAGAGTGCTCCCTGTCTCTACTAAAAATATAAAAATTAGCCGGGCATGGTGGTGGGCGCCTGTAATCCCAGCTACTGGGGAGGCTTAGGCAGGAGAATCACTTCCAGGAGGTGGAGATTGCAGTGAGCTGAGATTGCGCCACTGTACTTCAAGCCTGGGCAACAAGAGCAAGACTCCATCTCAAAATAAAATAAAATAAAATAAAATAAAATAAAAGGGCTATATAAGGCCAGGTACGGTAGGTGGCTCACTCCTGTAATCCCAGCACTTTGGGAGGCCAAGGAAGGCAGATCACTTGAGGTCAGGAGTTCGAGACCAGCCTGGCCAACATGGTGAAACCCTGTCTCTACTAAAAATACAAAAATTAGCTGGGCATGGTGGTGCATTCCCAACTACTCAGGAAGCCAAGGCAGGAGAATTGCTTAAGCCTGGGAGGAGGTTGCAGCGAGCCGAGATTATGTCACTGCACTCCATCCTGGGTGACAGAGCAAGAAAAAAGAGGACTATATAACCTATAAGCATGTTTTTGTTTTGTTTTAAATTTTGCTCTATTTCTTTGGCTATGAGAGCCTATTATAACTTTTAAAAATCCTGGCCTGGCATGGTGGCTTACACCTAAAATCCCAGCACTTTCAGAGGCTGAGGTGAGAGGATCATTTGAGCCCAGGAGGTTGAGGCTGCAGTGAGTGCAGTGATCACACCACTGCACTCTAACCTGGGCAATGGAGTGAGACCCTGTCTCAGAAAAATAAAATTCCTCAGGGTTACATATCACAGTACTAAAAATTTCACTTTGCACATGTCTCAAGGGAAGAATGTTTCTTAGGAAGAGAACTGAGACCACCATTTGGATAGCATAAGGCAGGTCAGATCATCTTTATCAGAACTATTTAGCTGTAGTGTCGTGGTGAGAAAGCAGCAATAGGTAATCTGTAAACAAGTGGTTGTGGCTATGTTCTAATAAAACTTTATTCACAAAGACAGAATTGGCCTGTGAGTTTTAGTTTGCCAACCCCTTGCCTAAGGGAATGGTTTGTATACAGAAGGCTGGACCAAGGAGGGCTGAAATATACTCTGTTAAAGGTGGGTGTGGCAGAGGGTTTGGGAGAGATGGGGAGTGAGGAGTGGGAGAGGTTAGGGAGAATATGCTAAGAAGAAAACATGAACAGGAATAGTAAATCTGAATTTATTTGCCATGCTGTGTCCAGATCTAATTTTTCTCTTTAATAAGTCTTTATTCCTCCAAAAGGGAAAACAAACAAAATCAGGAGCACATTAGCTTAGAAACTGAGAGCCCCATGTTCTGGGCCTTGCTACTACTAGTGCTGCATTACTACATAAGATGGGCCATTTGAATCTATCAGCACTAGACAAGTGCACTTTAAAAACCCTTCTGATCTAACGATGGTCTGCAGATTCATCTGTGAAGTAACTCATTACTTCCTGTCTGAGTAGGTCAAAATTCTTTTTGGAAGCTGGTCTAGTTTTGTCCTGAACTGGCCAGACCAGGTTTTCCTTCTAACCCTATGTCACCTGACTAGACCTGTCATGAGCTATGGAACACATTAAATGCTTCACTAATGAAGTTGTTAACTCAACATAGGCAGCATCCAATTATTAAGTGTTGGTATATGTTTTGAAAGCTTAGTCTACTTGTCACTGGGGATTATAGCAAGACTGATGTTGGCCTCTGCCCATATAACTCAGTCCACTGGGAAAAATGGACATTGAGCAATTACTGACAGAATGAGACCCTCAAGGGAGAAATACGGTATGCTATGGAGACAGCATGACATAGACTTGTTTTTTGGTTTTTTTGAGACAGAGTCTTGCTCTGTCGCCAGGCTGGAGTGCGGTGGCACAATCTTGGCTCACTGCAACCTCTGCCTTCCAGGTTCAAGCGATTCTTCTGCCTCAGCCTCCCGAGTAGCTGGGACTACAGGTGCATGCCACCACACCTGCTAATTTTTGTATTTTCAGTAGAGACAGGGTTTCACCATGTTGTCCAAGATGGTCTCGATCACTTGACCCTGTGATCCGCCCACCTTGGCCTCCCAAAGTGCTGGGATTACAGGCATGAGCCACCATGCCTGGCCTTTTTTTTTCTTTTTTTGAGATGCACTTTTCACTCTTGTTGCCCAGGCCGGAGTGCAATGGCCTGATCTTGGCTCACTGCAACCTCCACCTCCCATGTTCAAGCAATTGTCTTGCCTCAGCCTCCCTAGTAGCTGGGATTACAGGTGCCCACCACCATGTGTGACTAATTTTTGTATTTTTAGTAGAGATGGGGTTTCACCATGTTGACCAGGCTGGTCTCGAACTTCTGAGCTCAGGGTGATCCGCCCACCTTGGCATCCTAAAGTGCTGAGATTACATCTTCCCTGAAGTAAGTGTTTAAGCTCAGATGTAGTTTGGCCCATGGCCTAGGTTGGTTTGTTCTTCCTAGTTTAACTTTTCCTTTGTAGTGGAGATTTTGCTTTTGGAAATAAGGTCTGAAATTTTTTTTTTTTTTTTTTAACTTTAACTTCTGGGATACATGGGCAGAACGTGGAGGTTCGTTACGTAGGTATACATGTACATGTGCGTGGTGGTTTGCTGCAACTATCAACCAATTATCTGGGGTTTTTTTCTTTGTTTGTTTGTTTGAGACGGAGTCTTGCTCTGTTGCCAGGCTGGAGTGCAATGGCGGGATCTCGGCTCACTGCAACCTCCACTTCCCGGGTTCAAGTGATTCCCCTGCCTCAGCCTCTGAAGTAGCTGGGACTAGAGGCACACACCACCACGCTCCGCTCATTTTTTGTATTTTAGTAGAGACGGGGTTTCACCATGTTGGCCAGGATGGTCTCGATCTCCTGAGCTCATGATCCACCTGCCTCGGCCTCCCAAAGTGCTGGGATTACAGGCGTGAGCCACCACGCCTGGCATCAACTAGGTTTTAAGCCCCGCATGCATTAGATATTTGTCCTAATCCTCTCCCTCCCCTTGTCCCTGTGTGTGTTCCCCTCCCTGTGTCCATGTGTTCTCATTGTTCAACTCCCACTTATGAGTGAGAACATGCAAGGTCTGAAATTTTTTTTCCTTTTTCTTTCTTTTTGAGATGGAGTCTCTCTCTGTTGCCCAGGCTGGAGTGCATGGCGCGATCTCAGCTCACTGCATCCTCTGCCTCCCAGGTTCAAGAGATTCTCCTGCCTCAGCCTCCCGAGTAGCTGGAATTGCAGGCGTCTGTCAGCATGCCCAGCTAACTTTTGTATTTTTGGTAGAGGGGGGGTTTCACCATGTTGGTCAGGCTGGTCTCAAACTCCTGACCTCAGGTGATCCACCTGCCTTGGCCTCCCATTGTGCTGGGATTTACAGGCGTGAGCCACTGTGCCCGGCCAACGTCTGAATTTATTATATTATTTTATTTATTTATTTATTTTTCCCAGGCTTGAGTGCAGTGGCACGATCTCAGCTCACTGCAAGCTCCGCCTCCCGAGTTCATGCCATTCTCCTGCCTCAGCCTCCCAAGTAGCTGGGACTACAGGCGCCCGCCACCATGCCTGGATAATTTTTTGTATTTTTACTAGAGATGGGGTTTCACCATGTTAGCCAGGATGGTCTCGATCTCCTGACCTCGTGATCCACCTACCTCTGCCTCCTAAAGTGCTGGGATTACAGGCGTGAGCCACCGCACCCGGCCATGAAATTTTTAATACACTTTGTTTTTTGTGTTTTTTTTTTTTTTGAGACAGACTCCCTCTGTGTTATCCAGGCTGGAGTGCAGTGGCAAGATCACGACTGACTGCAACCTCCACCTCCTGGGTTCAAGCAATTTTCCTGCCTCAGCCTCCTGAGTAGCTCCGACTACAGGCACATGCCACTACGCCGCGCTAAGTTTTGTATTTTTTTAGTAGAGACTGGGTTTCACCATGTTGGCCAGGCTGGTCTTGAACTCCTGACCTCAAATGATCTGCCTGCCTGGGCCTCCTAAAGTGCTGACATTACAGGCCTGAGCCACCATGCCTAGCCTTAATATACTTTTAAAAGCAGTACCAGCTGGGCTTGGTGGCTCACACCTGTAACCCCAGCACTTTGGGAGGCCCAAGCGGTGGATCACGGGAGGTCGGGAGTTCGAGACCAGCCTGATCAACATGGAGAAACCCCATCTCCACTAAAAATACAAAATTTGCCAGGCATGGTGGCGCATGTCTGTAATCCCAGCTACTCGGGAAGCTGAGGCAGGAGAATCGCTTGAACACAGGAGGTGGAGGTCGCCTTGAGCCGAGATTGCACCATTGCACTCCAGCCTGGGCAACGAGCAAAACTCCATCTCAAAAAAAAAAAAAAAGCACCTGATAGCTTTTTTTTTTTTCTTTTTGAAACGGAGTCTTGCTCTGTCGCTCAGGCTGGAGTGCAGTGGCACGATCTCTGCTCACTGCAAGCTCCGCCTCCTGGGTTCACTCCATTCTCCTGCCTCAGCCTCCCCAGTAGCTGGGACTACAGGCACCTGCCACCATGCCCGGCTAATTTTTTTTTTTTATTTTTTAGTAGAGGTGGGGTTTCACTGTGTTGGCCAGGATGGTCTCAATCTCCTGACCTCGTGATCCACCCACCTCGGCCTCCCAAAGTGCTGGGATTACAGGCGTGAGCCACCGTGCCCAGCCTTTTTTTTTTTTTGAGACAGTCTCGCTCTGCTTGCTCTGTCACCCAGGCTGGAGTGCAGTGGGGCCATCTCGGCTCACTGCAACCTCTGCCTCCCAGGTTCAAGCAATTCTTGTGGCTCAGCCTCCTGAGTAGCTGGGACTACAGTCACGCACCACCATGCCTGGCTAATTTTTGTATTTTTAGTAGAGACGGGGTTTCACCATGTTAGCCAGGCTGGTTTCGAACTCCTGATCTCAAGTGATCTGCCCACCTCGGCCTCCCAAAGTGCTGGGATTACAGGCATGAGCCACCACGCCCAGGCCTGAGAGCAATAATTTAAGCCTACTCTTAGAATAACCCTGTATGGCAGATGCACCTGAATGTGTGTTCCCAACTAGGGAATCTGGGAGTGACCAACTAGAGCTTAGTTCCTTACCTATAATAAACATCTTAGCCCCTAGTCTGTCACATGGAACACGGGACATACAGGAGATTGAGGCCCTGAGTTTTGGGGCAAATGAAGTTTGCTAGGTGGAGGTCATTATGGAGAGAGTATTATTAAGTGAATATGCTATATACGCTGCATGATGTTTGCAGGCGGTTGCGGTTTTCCTGCCCAGCCCACTGGCACTGGGCCATGCGGATATGTTTTCCTGTTATCCAGCCGTCACCAGTGGACCATTTCTTTCTTTTTTTTTTTTTTTTTTGAGACAGAGTCTCACTCTGTCGCCCAGGCTGAAGTGCAGTGGCGCGATCTTGGCTCGCTGCAACCTCCTTCCCTCGGGTTCAAGCGATTCTCCTGCCTCAGCCTCACGAGTAGCTGGGATTATAGGCACCTGCCACGGCACCCAGCTAACTTTTGTATTTTTAATAGAGACGGGGTTTCACCATCTTGGCCAGGCTAGTCTTGAACTCCTGACGTCGTGATCCACCTGCCTCGGCCTCCCAAAGTGCTGGGATTACGGGTGTGAGCCACCACGTCTGGCCACCACTGGACCATTTCTGTACGTAAGGTGGTTCTCCTTTCCAGCCCACTGCCACTGGGCTCTTTTCTCTGTATGTAAGCCCCTAATATAAGGTTGGAGATAAAGTATTCACGGTTTTTGTCATTTAAAGTAATAAAACCTCACATTTCATTTGCTGGCTCTAGGTCTCTTCTTCAGCCTCTTGAACCTGGTTCCTTCCCTTGTTGACGTTAATAGGGTTTCAGCACAACACTTGGGTACTGATTAAAGTAAGAATGGGGGTGAAAACTGTCACCCTGTGATGTCCCTGGGAAGTTCCCTGAGGCTTTTGATGCCGGAGCAGAGATCTTCAGTAATTTTCTTCACTACTTTATCCCTAGGGCCTGGCACAGGGCCTAATGATAATGGCACAGGTACTCAATAAATGAATAAATAATGCTGAGCTCATAGATTTATAGAAAATACTTGTCGGATTGAATTTTGATTATATCTCTTCCTTAGTTCATCAAAGCCCATCTTTGACAAAAGAAGTCATTTGGTTTCTTGGTATAGGCAAGAATTCTTTCATACAATTTTTTCTTCTTTATCTTCTAGAGCAATAGATCCCAGCCTGGAACCAAAACATGTGAACCAGTCTCTTCTTTTGCCAAGTGGTAGGAGATTTTTTTAAAAAAACATGATCATGATTTCATTAAAGAGGGGAACTTTTTTTTTCACATTCAGAAACTAGAAAAGACAATCTTTTTTTTTTTTTTTTTTTTTTTAATTGATCATTCTTGGGTGTTTCTCGCAGAGGGGGATTTGGCAGGGTCACAGGACAATTAGTGGAGGGAAGGTCAGCAGATAAACAAGTGAACAAAGGTCTCTGGTTTTCCTAGGCAGAGGACCCTGCGGCCTTCCGCAGTGTTTGTGTCCCTGGGTACTTGAGATTAGGGAGTGGTGATGACTCTTAATGAGCATGCTGCCTTCAAGCATCTGTTTAACAAAGCACATCTTGCACCGCCCTTAATCCATTCAACCCTGAGTGGATACAGCACATGTTTCAGAGAGCACAGGGTTGGGGGTAAGGTCACCGATCAACAGGATCCCAAGGCAGAAGAATTTTTCTTAGTACAGAACAAAATGAAAAGTCTCCCATGTCTACCTCTTTCTACACAGACACGGCAACCATCCGATTTCTCAATCTTTTCCCCACCTTTCCCCCCTTTCTATTCTACAAAACCGCCATTGTCATCATGGCCCGGTCTCAATGAGCTGTTGGGTACACCTCCCAGACAGGGTGGTGGCCGGGCAGAGGGGCTCCTCACTTCCCAGTAGGCGCGGCCGGGCAGAGGCGCCCCTCACCTCCCGGACGGGGCGGCTGGCCGGACGGGGGGCTGACCCCCCCCACCTCCCTCCCGGACGGGGCGGCTGGCCGGGCAGAGGGGCTCCTCACTTCCCAGTAGGGGCGGCCGGGCAGAGGCGCCCCTCACTTCCCGGAAGGGGCGGCTGGCCAGGCGGGGGGCTGACTCCCCCACCTCCCTCCCTCCCGGACGGGGCGGCTGGCCGGGCGGGGGGCTGACCCCTCCACCTCCCTCCCGGACAGGGGCGGCTGGCCGGGCAGAGGAGCTCCTCACTTCCCAGTAGGGGCGGCCGGGCAGAGGCGCCCCTCACCTCCCGGACCGGGCGGCTGGCCGGGCGGGGGGCTGACCCCCCCCACCTCCCTCCCGGACGGGGCGGCTGGCCGGGCAGAGGGGCTCCTCACTTCCCAGTAGGGGCGGCCGGGCAGAGGCGCCCCTCACCTCCCGGACGGGGCGGCTGGCCGGGCGGGGGGCTGACCCCCCCACCTCCCTCCCGGACGGGGCGGCTGGCCGGGCGGGGGGCTGACCCCCCCACCTCCCTCCCGGACGGGGCGGCTGGCCGGGCGGGGGGCTGACCCCCCCACCTCCCTCCCGGAGGGAGCGGCTGGCCGGGCAGAGAGGCTCCTCACTTCCCAGTAGGGGCGGCCGGGCAGAGGCGCCCCTCATCTGCCGGACGGGGCGGCTGGCCGGGCGGGGGGCTGACCCCCCCACCTCCCTCCCGGACGGGGCGGCTGGCCGGGCGGGGGGCTGAACCCCCCACCTCCCTCCCGGACGAGGTGGCTGCCGGGAGGAGACGCTCCTCACTTCCCAGACGGGGTGGCTGCTGGGCGGAGGGGCTCCTCACTTCTCAGACGGGGCGGCTGCCTGGCGGAGGGGCTCCTCACTTCTCAGACGGGGCGGTTGCCAGGCAGAGGGTCTCCTCACTTCTCAGACGGGGCGGCCGGGCAGAGACGCTCCTCACATCCCGGACGGGCGGCAGGGCAGAGGTGCTCCCCACATCTCAGACGATGGGCGGCCGGGCAGAGACGCTCCTCACTTCCCAGATGTGATGGCGGCCGGGAAGAGGCGCTCCTCACTTCCTAGATGGGATGGCGGCCGGGCAGAGACGCTCCTCACTTTCCAGACTGGGCAGCCAGGCAGAGGGGCTCCTCACATCCCAGACGATGGGCGGCCAGGCGGAGACGCTCCTCACTTCCCAGACGGGGTGGCGGCCGGGCAGAGGCTGCAATCTCGGCACTTTGGGAGGCCAAGGCAGGCTGCTGGGAGGTGGAGGTTGTAGCGAGCCGAGATCATGCCACTGCACTCCAGCCTGGGCACCATTGAGCACTGAGTGAACGAGACTCCGTCTGCAATCCCGGCACCTCGGGAGGCCGAGGCTGGCGGATCACTCACGGTTAGGAGCTGGAGACCAGCCCGGCCAACACAGCGAATCCCCGTCTCCACCAAAAAAATACGAAAACCAGTCAGGCGTGGCGGTGCGCACCTGCAATCGCAGGCACTCGGCAAGCTGAGGCAGGAGAATCAGGCAGGGAGGTTGCAGTGAGCCGAGATGGCAGCAGTACTGTCCAGCTTCGGCTCGGCATCAGAGGGAGACCGTGGAAAGAGAGAGAGAGGGAGACCGTGGGGAGAGGGAGAGGGAGAGGGCTAGAAAAGACAATCTTAAAGGACTATCCCTTATTGAACATATGTGGCTTTATTTAAAACAAAGAGCAACTCACTCTGATGTCTTTCTTTTTCTTACATCAGCTACCAGACAGGCCTTTGGCAGCAGAGCTCTGGAGCTCAACAGGCCAATGTCTAAAAGAAGATCAGCTACCAGAGATAATTTGGAGGATGGCACTTACCTATGGATGAAATCCATCTTTTTTTGCCAGGGACCTCTTCAAGTTTAAGAATTATTTTGCAGGCTGGGCATGGTGGCTCACGCTTGTAATCCCAGCACTTTGGGAGGTTGAGGCAGGAGGATCGCTTGAACTCAGGAGTTCGAGACCAGCCAGGGCAACATGGTGAAACTCCATCTCTACCCCAAAAATACAAAAAATTAGTTGGGCATGGTGGTGCACACCTGTGGTCTCAGCTACTCAGGAGGCTGAGGTGGGAGGATCTCTTGACCTGGATAGGTCGAGGTTGCAATGAACCGAGATCATGACATTGCACTCCAACCTGGGTGACAGAGTAAGACCCCGTCTCAAAAAAAAAAAAGATTATTTTGAGGTTTGTGAATAGCTATATAGCTTTTATGACTGGTGGTAAGCCCAGCTCAGCAAGCACCTCAGGAATATCCAAAGGTGCTTGTTGAACTGCTTTGGGGACAAGGCAGGCAACGGCTAGTGGCTATGAAGTCTAGTGAGTTCTAGATTCTTGGCATCTGCATCATCCATTGTAGGGTTTGCAGTGATGTCATCAATGTTAACTTTTAAATTTCATTAATGCATGTACTCTTTTCTGATATTTTGCATATATGCTTCCCCATAAATTGTATATATTTCCTCTCTAAATACACACACACCACATATATTATATTTCTACCTTTTCGTCTATATATGTATTGTGTATATACCTATATATAGATATATACACTGACATCCCTCCACTTATTCTTGAAAGATTTGTTTTCCAGAGAGAGAAGAAAATGGTATAGGCACAGTTTTCTGTAACTGATGTATAACTTTCTGTAACTAATGGTATAGGCACAGTTTTCAATTTGTATGACCTGAAAAATCAGTTCTGGCTGGGTGCGGTGGCTCATGCCTGTAATCCTAGCACTTTGGGAGGCTGAGGCAGGTGGATCACCTGAGGTCAGGAGTTCGAAACCAGCCTGGTCAACATGGTGAAACCCCATCTCTACTAAAAATACAAAAATTAGCTGGGTGTGGTGGCGGGTGCCTGTAATCCCAGCTGTTTGGGAGGCTGAGGCAGGAGAATCACTTGAACCTGGGAGGCAGAGTTTGCAGTGAGTTGAAACTGTGCCATTGCACTCCAGCCTGGGCAACAGGAGCAAAACTCCATCTCAAACAAACAAACAAACAAAAATGTTTGCAAAGCATCTAGGGCAATAATATAGCATCTAGTAAAGCGATCAACTAATGTTCCTCATTTTAATTTATTTTTTATTTTTATTTTTTTTTGAGATAGAGTCTTGCTGTGTTGCACAAGCTGGAGTGCGGTAGAGCAATCTCGGCTCACTGCAACCTCCGCCTCTTGGGTTCAAGCGATTCTCCTACCTCAGCCTCCCAAGTAGCTGGGATTATAGGTGTGCGCCACCACACCCAGCTAATTTTTGTATTTTTAGTAGAGACGGGGTTTAGCCATGTTGGCCAGGCTGGTCTCGAACTCCTGAGCTCAGCTGATCCACCTGCCTCGGCCTCCCACAGTGCTTGGATTACAGGCATGAGCCATCATGCCTGGCCCCTCCTTTTTATTTATTTATTTATTATTATTATTATTATTATTATTATTATTATTATTATTATTATTTTGAGACTGAGTCTTGCTCTGTCACCCAGGCTGGAGTGCAGTGGCACGATCTCAGCTCACTGCAACCTCTGCCTCCCTGGTTCAAGTGATTCTCCTGCCTCAGCCTCCCTAGTAGCTGGAACTACAGGTGCATGCCACCATGCCCGGCTAATTTTTGTATTTTTAGTAGAGACGCGGTTTCACCATATTGGTCAGGCTGGTCTTGAGCTCCTGACCTCGTGATCCACTTGCCTCGGCCTCCCAAAGTGCTGGGATTACAGGCGTGAGCCACTGCGTCCAGCCTTTTTTTTTTTTTTTTTTGAAACAGAGTCTCACTCTGTTGCCCAGGCTGGAGTGCAGTGGCGCAATCTCGGCTCACTGCAAGCTCCGCCTCCCGGGTTCACACCATTCTCCTGCCTCAGCCGCCCAAGTAGCTGGGACTACAGGCGCCCGCCACCATGCCCAGCTAATTTTTTTGTATTTTTAGTAGAGACGGGATTTCACCGTGTTAGCCAGGATGGTCTCGATCTCCTGACCTTGTGATCCGCCCGCCTTGGCCTCCCAAAGTGCTGGGATTACAGGAGTGAGCCACCGCGCCCAGCACCGGCCTCCTTTTTATTTTTTAGCGACAGTTTCTCGCATTGTCCCCAGGCTGGAGTGCTGTGACGAGATCACAGCTCACTGCAGCCTCGACCTCTTGGGCCCAAGCGAACCTCTCACCTCAGCTCCTGAGTAGCTGGGACAAGAGGTGCACGCCACCATGCTCAGTTAATTTTATTTTTTGTAGAGATAGGATCTCACTGTGTTTCCCAGGCTGGTCTCGAACTCCTGGCCTCAAGCGATCCTCCTGCCTCGGCCTCCCAAAATGCTGGCTTGTGAGTGAGCCACCACTTCACGCACGGTCTCCTTTTGAAGTAGAATTAGACAATGTTTTACACCGTGCCAGTGAAAGCAAACTGTACTCTCTACGGCGCTAGTAGCAAAAGCAAAGAATTATTAACATGCCTAATAGGAGCCCTAAAAACTAATCCAGGTCTGCAAAAGCCGATCGACAACTCTGTAGTGATTTAGAAGAGAATTGCAAGACATTAACACAGAGCGTCCTAAGTGACAGGATGGTCTGGCGACCACATTTCCCGGCAGCCCTCGCACAGCCAGGCCGCTTCGAGGATTGGACTTCTCCGCAGGAGGCGGGTGACAGGGGGAGGGGATAAGCGTGAGGTACTGTGGGTAGGAGACGGCCGTCGGCGGAGGCGCCATTTTGTGTAGCCGCCGAACCTTGTTGGAGGTTCTGGGGCGCAGAACCGCTACTGCTGCTTCGGTCTCTCCTTGGGGTAAGTGCGGCGGCTGTCTGTAACGACGGTAGGTTCTTGCCATTTGGGCTGGCCCCCAAGCCTCCCTTGTCAGCTGCCGGAGGCGACTGATCAGCTCCAGCCGGTTCTGTAGAGGGGCTAAATTACCCCAGGCGTTGGAGGGCCGCGCCCTTCCTTGTTGCCAGCTCTGTCAGTTTCCAGAGGGTGTCCAGCCAGCTCAGCCTTGGGCCTGCTTCTTTCTGGCTGTGACTTTGCCCCTTGTGGATACACGTCCCCTAATCTTCAGCCCAACGGAGCAGTGGAGCCGTCGCCTGTCCCTCGGGCACTCCTTGGGAGCTCCCTGGCAGTCTCTGGCCGCCATCCCCCGCTCAACTGCAACTGAATCGCCCTCTCCGAAAAGCTGTTCGGTGATCGCCCATCTGCGGGTTTGGAACCTCTTGGGAGGCGGGAGGGGCATGTGCGGGGAGGGCAGGCCGGACGCTGGAGTCGGTCGAGCAGGCCGTGACGCCGCCATCTCGGCCGCGAGACCCCACGGAGGTGGGTGCCGGCACCGCCCGGGAGACAAGGGGCGGCACCAGTGAATATGCCCCGGGACTTGTTTCCCCCCAGTGGTTCTTTTTCATTTATTAATTTCAACAAATCGTTGAGCATTCGCTCTAGACTAGGCTTCCAGAGACTACTGGAACTGATTTTTCGGACCTCGCGCTCATCGAACGCGGTCCAGCAGTGTGATGTCTTATTACCAACGGGGGGCGGGGGGCCGGGCTGTTCACTACTCAGTGGTTTGTAGTCATAAGAACTGGCTCAAGACGTGGTGGTTATTGTTACCTAGGAATTAGGTCGTTTCTAGCTTTGCTCTTGTCTTATGCGATACGTTATTAATGTAGTAGATTTCAGTCAGCTCAGTATCCCAGCTTCTACGAGGTTTTACATTTTTCATCAGAAGTGTTTGAATTTCATGTTGCTCCTTGTATTAATGAAGACACTTGGATTAATGTTTTAACGGTCAACTATCCCACGGAGTTGCTTTGATACAAAACCAAGGAGCTGATTGTAGCTCTGCCCTTTTTGCTTTGTAATTCTAAGGTAGGAGCAGGGAAGGAGTCTTCTGCTTGCTCCGTATTATGATTCTGTTAAATCTGGAATCTAATATTTTAAAATATGCTTAATCTTCCGGTTTTGCTCATTGTTAACAAAATGTTAGCACGATTTTAACGTTGACAGTTTGTCCCCACCACTTCCCCACCTTAGATAATCACTGTCAATGATTTGAAGGTTTGATGAAATCCCAGCCTCAGTAGTATCCAAGCTATGGAGCTGCTGACTTAAGTGATCTCTGAGATTTATAGCAATTAATCTCTCTTGTCTCCTAGAAAAAATAAAATTTGAACCTTTTGGAGCTGTGTGCTAAATCTTCAGTGGGACAATGGGTTCAGACAAAAGGTAAGTTACTACAGTACGTGGCTTTGATCTCAACATTTCAGTGGGGACTGAACTCCTTGTTTAAAATAGTTTATCAAACTAATATATGAGTGTTTTGCGCCAGGCATTGCTAACGAACACCTTTATGATCCTGTTGTCACAAACTACAGTCTAGTGAGAGAATTAAAGTACTGTGTGAACATGCTGTGATAAAGTGTAGGGTGCTCTTAGAACACATAGGAAGTATGTCTTTTTCTTGTTCACAGCCAGGAAAGCTTCCTGGAGAAAATATTCTCTGGAAGGAAGCTGAAGGATAAGAAAGAATTTTAGGCAAAGAAGGGCAGGGTAGAGTGGGTCACTGAAGGTTCCCTGTGTGGACAGCAACCTTTGCAGAATCCAGGAGATCATACAGTCTGGCACTTAGCACAGTTCCTGGCTGTGGTAAGCAATCAATGAATGCCATTTCTTGTTATTGTTCCCTGAATAGCAAGATGATCCAGACTTAGAGAGCTGAGAAGCTTGGGACTGTGTGTTACATGAAGAAAGAAAGAGCCAAAGAATTAGTGGAAAATTAAGATGAGAGCATTTGGCTATTGTGTCACCTATGGGTACATGCTCTCAGACCATTTGATTTAAACACACACCCTTATTCAGCCATCTGCCTTTTTAGTATTGAGGTCAGTCCCTGTGGTAGATCACATTGACAGGCTGAGGGACCTTAGGAGATGTTCATGTCACATGGTATTTTAATGCTGTGTCAGCAGTCTGTGGTTCTAAATAGCTTACTAAATTAACATTTACCCCTTTGGGGTGTCTCAGTCCCATATTTCCTTTGATTCTTTTTATTAAATTTGTATATTCTAAATGAAGCCCTTATAAACCTTTCCTTTGCCTTATGATTGCACAGCAGTTTTATGAATCTGGTAAACAGTTTACAAAAGGTGTATTTTATCTGTGGTCAAATAGGTTTAAGCCTCTTGTTATTAGGTTTTCCCATGAAGCCCAGTGCTGCCCTTTAGCCAAAAATAAACCAGATGTTATAAGAAGAGTGTTCTCTTAAGGGGTGCTAGTTTTGGGTAACTATCCAGTTGTATCTGACAGACAACTAAGTTGCCTGATGGGGAAAAAAAAGACTAACTTAGTTCATCCAGGTTTTTGGTCCATTTTCCAGTAGGCATGATACCCTTGAGAGTAGATGAGCCAGGGATGTACTTAATTTCACCCTTTAAAATTGGGTGAAATTCGAGTAACTGCTTTCTTCCTGTTTTTGGTCACTAAGATCTGAATCAGGGATGAAGGGATAATATGTAGACTCTAGGCTTGACAAAATGCAAAAATAAACTTGGACAACATGACTCTTTCTTAGAAATATTCAACCCAAATGTTTATTTCAGATTTAGCATACATTCCTGAGAATTATCATTACATTTAGGGATGTAGGTATTTTCCCAGTGGTTATCTTAGTAAACTGGAATTTGGTAATACTTTTTAACACTTTAAACTATTTGGATTATCTTATAAACTGATCTGTGGGCCGTGTGTATTTTTAACTATGTCTTTTAAAGGTACAAAATGTGACTGACTTTAGAATGAAAATTATTTTCCCTGGCAGAGTGAGTAGAACAGAGCGTAGTGGAAGATACGGTTCCATCATAGACAGGGATGACCGTGATGAGCGTGAATCCCGAAGCAGGCGGAGGGACTCAGATTACAAAAGATCTAGTGATGATCGGAGGGGTGATAGATATGATGACTACCGAGACTATGACAGTCCAGAGGTGAGTGACCAGCGGCTGTATAACCCCCCAAAACACTCTGAGCCTTATAGTAATAGAAATAACAGCCAGGCAGCCAGGTCCAGTGGCCCCTTCCCATAATCCTATCACTTTGGGAGGCCAAGGCGGCCAGATCACTTGAGGTCAGGAGTTTAAGACCAGTCTGGCCAACATAGTAAAACCCGTCTCTACTAAAAATACAAAAATTAGCTGAGTGGGGTGGTGGGCGCCTGTAATCCCAGCTACTTGGGAGACTGAGGTAAGAGAATCACTTGAAACCTGGGAGGCGGAGGTTGCAGTGAGCTGAGATTGTATCAGTGCTCTCCAGCATGGGTGACAAAGCAAGACTCCATCTCAAAAAAAAAAAAAAAAGAAAAGAAATAATGGCCAGGGTTTACATAGGGATCACCATGTACTTTTGAGCACTTGACTTCATGAATTCATTTAGGTCTCAGTACAACCTGATAAGGTAGGTGTTATTCCCATTTTAAAGATGAAACAATGGGGTTATGATAACATATTAGTTCTGTGTTTTGAAATGAATGATAAATATAAGTTGTTGGCCAGGCACAGTGGCTCACACCTGTAATCCCAACAATTTGGGAGGCCGAGGCAGGAGGATCCCTTGAGCCCAGGAGTTAGAGGCCAGCCTGGGCACCATAGGGAGACCCTGTCTTTAAAATAATAATAATGAAAAATAATAAATATAAGTTGTTGTTTTGGTCATCTTGATATATCTTTTTTTTTTTTTTTTTTTTTTTTTTTTGAGACAGCTTTTTAGTCTTGTCACCCAGGCTGGAGTGCAGTGGTGCGACCTCAGCTACTCAGGAGGCTGAGGTACGAGAATTGCTTGAGCCTGGGAGGCAGTGGTTGCAGTGAGCTGAGATCATGCCATTGCACTCCAGCATGGACGACAGAGGGAGACTCTGTCTCAAAAAAAAAAAAAACCAGAAGGCCGGCACGGTGGCTTACGCCTGTAATCCCAGCACTTTGGGAGGCCGAGGCGGGCGGATCATGAGGTCAGAAGATTGAGACCATCCTGGCTAACATGGTGAAACCCTGTCTCTACTAAAAATACAAAAAATTAGCTGGGCGTGGTGGCAAGTGCCTATAGTCCCAACTACTCGGGAGGCTGAAGGAGGAGAATTGCTTGAACCCAGGAGGCAGAGGTTGCAGTGAGCAGAGATCATCGCACCACTGCACTCCAGTCTGGGCAATAAGAGTGAAACTGTCTCAAAAAAAAAAAAAAAGAAAACACAGCAGGCTGGGTGTGCCTATAATCCCAGCACTTTGGGAGGCCATAGCAGGAGGGTCATTTGAGGCCAGGAGTTCAGACCAGCCTGGGTAACATAGTGAGACCCCTGTCTCAAAAAAAAAAAATTGCAGTGAACATTACCATGGAGTGCTTGTGTAATCTCTGTACACTTCCTGCTAAGGATAATTTCTAGGAGTGGAGGGTCTGTTTCAAAGAGTACAGGGTGATGTTAATTGTGATTTTGTTTATTGTAACTCAGAGAGAGCGTGAAAGAAGGAACAGTGACCGATCCGAAGATGGCTACCATTCAGATGGTGACTATGGTGAGCACGACTATAGGCATGACATCAGTGACGAGAGGGAGAGCAAGACCATCATGCTGCGCGGCCTTCCCATCACCATCACAGAGAGCGATGTAAGGGGAAATGACAGTTATAACCAGCAGTCAGTAGGCACAATGAACTTTGAGCTTCTACCATTATTTTCTCATGCTATTGTTTTATCTTAAGCCAATAGAGGTTGAGTATCCCTTATCCAAAATGCTTGGGACCAGAACTGTTTTGATATTTTTTTTTAATATTTGCATTTACATAAGTTTAAACATTTGCATTTACATAAGTCTAAACATGAAATTCATTTGTATTTTGTATATGTCTTATACATGCCAAAGGTAATTTTATACAACACTTTAAATAATTTTTTTTTTTTTTTTTTAAGACAGAGTCTTGCTCTGTCACCCAGGCTGGAGTGCAGTGGTACAACCTCGGCTCACTGCAAGCTCTGCCTCCCGGGTTCACGCCATTCTCCTGCCTCAGCCTCCTGAGTAGCTGGGACTACAGGCGCCCGCCACCGCACCCGGCTAACTTTTTTCGTATTTTTAGTAGAGACGGGGTTTCACTGTGGTCTCCATCTCCTGCCACCCGCCTCGGCCTCCCAAAGTGCTGGGATTACAGGCGTGAGCCACCTTGCCCGGCCAACACTTTAAATAATTTTATACACAAAACAATGTGTGCTTTGTTTTTTTGTTTGTGATATTTTTGTTTCTGTTTTTTACAGGCAGGGTCTCATTGTCACCCAGTCTGGAGTATAGCAATGCAATCATAGCTCACTGCAGCCTCAAACTCCTGGGCTCAAGTGATCTTTTTACTTCAGTAGCTGGCAGGTGCATGCCACCACACCCAGCTAATTTATTTTTTGTAGAGCCAGGCTGGGCTAAGTATGTTGCCTGGACTAAAAGGTTTGACTGCCCTCTTGTCTGTGACCTTTCAAATAAGGTCAGGGGTGGAATTTTCCACTTGTTGTGTCATGTTAGTGCTCAGAAAATTTCAGATTTTGGAGCATTTCAAATTTTTGGATTAGGGTTGCTCAACCTGTATCTATCTCAGCTAGTGAAATATTTTTCTGTCTTTAGGGAAAAGTTCACTGAACTAGGTTCAGAAGTAAGTTACCATTTTGGCCAGGCGCGGTGGCTCATGCCTGTAATCCCAGGCACTTTGGGAGGTCGAGGCGGGTGGATCACTTGAGGTCAGGAATTTGAGACCAGCCTGGCCAACATGGTGAAACCCTGTCTCTACTAAAAATACAAGAATTAGCTAGGTGTGGTGGTGCATACCTGTAGTCCCAGCTACTTGGGGAGGTGCTGAGACAGGAGAATGGCTTGAACCTGGGAGGCGGAGTTTACAATGAGCCAAGATCACGCCATTGCACTCCAGCCTGGGTGACAGAACAAGACCCTGTCTCAAAAACAAAAAGAAGTAAATTACCATATTTAGGCTTTGAAGCTCAATGTATGAGTTTTCTAAATGTCTTTAACCACAGGGAGCAGGTCTTCTGTCTTCATTAGCTCCTAGAAGATAATCAATATATTTTTATTGAATTAGTTACTTATTAGATGAGGATGATTGGTAAATACCTAATTTTCTTTATAATCTGGCCACCCTTTTATTTGTTGAAAATTGAACTACCCATTTGAAACCTCAGAAAAGCTTGTTAAAAAGGACGGCTCATTCAGACTGGCCAATTAGAGTCTTAGTGTACTTGGCACTGCCTGATTTCCAGCAGCATCTCTGGTCCTCACCCTTCCTTCCAGCCACACCCTACTTTCCACATCCTGGACTTTGGACATGTCCATTGCTCTACTGTTGTGCCTTTTTCTGCTTGGAGACGCCTGTATGTAAAGCCTGATCTATCGGGCAGAGCTTCTTCTTCGTTATTCTCTTCCTAAGGCACTGTATTCATGACTTTTGTGTAGCACCTTTACTGTAGCCATCAACACACATGTCTCATCTCTACCACAAGATCTCTGAAAATAGGCCTCTGTGTGAACTAGTCACCTCTGTGTCCCCAACCCTTGAACACAGTATGTTACTCAGCCAGTGCTCTTGGTAAAAATGAATGTGAGGTTTTAAAACAGCAGTGTGCCAGTATTTGTTTTCTTGGAGTAATCAAAGTAATATTCTGACTAATGTTTAGTTGAATTTTGGATAAAGCTCAAAATAAGCATTGGATTCCCGTAGCTTTGGGTTTCTAAACCCTGGAAGTAATGAATGTGACAAATGTGAGACAGGATATTAGAGTTAATAGTGGGTAATCATTCCATTATTTGTGATCCACTGCACATCTGCTACACTGTACATGTTAGATGCTACAGTGACACAGAGCTATGGATCTTGCCTCAAAAAAGCTTATGGATGAGTAGCTAAGGTCAGCAGATAATGGTGACAATGCAGAATAGAAAGGGGTCAGAGGCCGAGTATGGTAACTCATGCCTGTAATCCCAGCACTTCGGGAGGCCAAGGTGAAAAGAGTGCTTGAGCCCAGGAGTTCAAGTCCAACCTGGACAACATGGTAAGACGCATCTCTCCAAAAAAAAAAAAAAATAGCCAGTCTTAATGGCGCTTGTCTGTGGTCCCAGTTACTTGGGAGACTGAGGCAGGAAGATCACTTGAGCCTAGGAGGTCAAGGGTACAGTGAGTTGTGTTCACGCCACTGCACTCCAGCCTGAGCGACAGAGCAAGACCCTGTCTCAAAAAGAGGGTCATGTCGGAAAAGGTCCTATTGAAAGAGGTCTGCCTAAGAGCTCTTGAAGGTTATTTAAAGGAAATTGTTACTAGTGGAGGGTAAGGAATCTTCTATTTTTATTTTTGTGAGACAGGGCCTTACTCTGTCGCATAGGCTGGAGTGCAATCGCGTGATTGTGGCTCACAGCAGCCTCCAACTTTTGGGGCTCAGGCAATCCACCAGCCTCAGCCTCCCAAGTAGCTGGGATTACAGGCATGTGTCACCACTCCGAGCTAATTTTTTTTTTTATCGTTTGTTTTTTTTTTTGTAGAGACAAGGTCTCTCTTTATTGCCTAGACTGGTCTTGAACTCTTGTCTTCAATCAATCCTCCCGCCTGGGTCTCCCAAAGTGCTAGGATTATAGGCGTGGAAAACTAAGGGAATGGTGTGGTAGATGGGCCCTTCAGGCGGAGGGGTATCACATGAGCAGGGAATAGAAAGGTACTGAATCTAGATAAGGCCTAGCAATCGGCTTGATTTGGCTGGAGTCAGAGGCTTTTGGCAGGAGAGGGATGAGTGGCAAAGTGCTATTGTGGCTAGGGGCTAGAGTTCTCAAAAGTCTAGCTAAGCCTAAAAGAATATTACTGAGGGTTGGCCAGGTGCGGTGGCTCACGCCTGTAATCCCAGCACTTTAGGATTCTGAGGCAGGCGGATCACAAGGTCAGGAGATCGAGACCATCCTGGCTAGCACGGTGAAACCCTGTCTCTACTAAAACTACAAAAAAATTAGCCAGCCGTGGTGGCGGGCGCCTGTAGTCCCAGTTACTCAGGAGGCTGAGGCAGGAGAATGGCATGAATCTGAGAGGCGGAGCTTGCAGTGAGCCGAGATCGTGCCATTGCACTCCAGCCTGGGCGACAGAGCAAGACTGTCTCAAAAAAAAAAAAAAAGAAACTGCTACAAGTATTGATTTGAGTGTTAGAAATTTTAATGAGTGGTTGAATTCACAGGTGTGATACCTGAGGATAATGAGGATTGGCTGTGTGTAGTCTTGCAGCCGTTGCACCTAGTTATGGAAAGTAGAGGCCAGTGAGAATCTTGTTTCCACAAATTTCACCCTGTTTTTTTTTTCATGGTAGTATTCATGCCTGATATTATTGATGAAGAGACTAGTATATTTTTGTGGCCTTTTGGAAAAAGGAGTTGGTCTGACATTGGAACAAGCCTACCAGCCAGAATACTTTATTCTAGCCCCAATTAATGTTTGATTTATTAGGAGCCTAAGAATGTGATGAACTTTGAAAATTTTTACCAATAATTTAACTGTAAGAAAAGTATGATCCATTAAAAATGTTTACCTGGCCTGGTGCGGTGGCTCACGCCTGTAATCCCAGCACTTTGGGAGGCCAAGGTGGGTGGATTACCTGAGCCCAAGAGATGGAGACCAGCCTGGGCAACATGGTGAAACCCCTCTCTACTAAAATATAAAATATTAGCTGGGTGTGGCGACATGCGCCTGTAGTCCCAGCTACTCTTGAGGCTGAGGCAGAATTGCTTGAACCCAGGAGGCGGAGGTTGCAGTGAGCCGAGATCATGCCATTGCTCTCCAGCCTGGGCAACAGAGTGAGACTCCATCTCAAAAAAATTTAAAAAAAAGTTTATCATCAGGCTCTTCATTTTTTGGCTGTTGATTTTTTTCCTTATTTTGAGAGTAGGCCTCAAAGAGCAGGAAGGCTATTCTTGATTAGGCGTACTTCAGGGCACAGTGACGCATCCACTGCCTCTTTTAAATCTCATCTGAGTCCTTATTTTTATTTTTTTATTTTTTTAAAGATAGGGTTGCACTTTGTCACCCAGGCTGGAGTGCAGTGGTGCAATAGCCCATTGTAACCTCGAACTCCTGGGCTTAAACAGTCCTCCCACCTCAGCCTCCCAGGTAACTAGGACTACAGGTGTATACCATCATGCTTGGGTAATTTTTATTTTATTTTATTATTTTTTTTTGAGACGGAGTCTCACTCTTGCCCAGGCTGGAGTGCAGTGGCGCGATCTCGGCTCACTGCAACCTCCGCCTCCCGGGGTCAAGCGATTCTCTTGCCTCAGCCTCCCAAGTAGCTAGGACTACAGGCACGTGCCACCACGTCTGGCTGATTTTTTGTATTTTTAGTAGAGACGGGATTTCACTGTGTTAGCCAGGATGGTCTCCATCTCTTGACCTCGTGATCCACCTGCCTTGGCCCCCCAAAGTGCTGGAATTACAGGCGTGAGCCACTATGCGAGGCCTAATTTTTAAAATTTTTGTATACAGATGGGGTCTTACTGTGTTCCCCAGGCTGGTCTCACACTCCTGTGCTCAAGCGCTCATCTTGCCTCATCTTCCCAAAGCGCTAGGATTATAGGCTTGAGCCACTGTACTATCCTGCAGAACAAAGGACAGGGAGATTAGACTAAAGGATGGAGGCTTGAGACATCATACCACAAGCAAGGATGTGTATCATAACAGAAATTAATTGCGGCCAGGCATTGTGGCTCACTCCTGTAATCCTAGCACTTTGGGAGGCCAAGGTGGCCGGATCGCTTGAGCCCAGGAGTTCCAGACCAGCCTGGGCAACGTGGCAAAACTCTGTCTCTACAAAAAATACAAAAATTAACCAGGTGTGGTGGTGTGCATTTGTAGTCCCAGCTACTTAGGAGGCTGAGGTGGGAGGATCACTTGAGTCCAGGAAGGCAGAGGTTGCAGTGAGCTGAGATCACACCAGTGCACTTCAGCCTGGGTGTCAGAGCTAGGCCCTGTCTCAAAAAAAAAAAAGGAAAAATTAATTACACCTGAGGGAAATTCCCATGCAACATTTAATGAATGCCTTCAGTGCTGTTATAATGCATTAATTTCTATGAGAAATGTTCTCTCTTTTTTGTGCCTTTTAGGAAAATTGCATTTTGGTGATAGAAGATAAAAACTTGGCTAATTAGGCCAGGCATGGTGGGTCATGCATGTAATGATATGGGAGGCTGGCATATCACTTGAGGCCAGGAGTTCGAGACTAGCCTGTCCAACACAGTGAAACCCCGTCTCTACTAAAAATACAAAAATTAGCTGGATGTGGTGGTGGATGCCTGTAATCCCAGCTACCTGGGAGGCTGAGGCAGAAGAATCGCTTGAATCCAGGAGGTGGAGGTTGAAGTGAGCCGAGATCACGTCACTGTACTCCAGCCTGGGTGACAGAGCGAGACTCCGTCTCAAAAAAAAAAAAAAATCAGTCACGCATGGTGGTGCACACCTATAATCCCAGCTACTCGGGAGGCTGAGGCAGGAGAATTGCTTGAACCCAGGAGGTGGTGGTTGCAGTGAGCTGAGATCATGCCACTGCACTCCAGCCTGGGCAATCAAGTGAGTGAGAGACAGAGACTCCCATCTTAAAAAAAAAAAAAACTTGGCTAATTAAACAGTTGATGTAATTCCTATTCCATGGGGAATAGTGTGTGGCAAAAGCTTTAACTGTAAATAATGTAAAACCCTGTGCAGATTCGAGAAATGATGGAGTCCTTCGAAGGCCCTCAGCCTGCGGATGTGAGGCTGATGAAGAGGAAAACAGGTGAGAGCTTGCTTAGTTCCTGATATTATTGTTCTCTTCCCCATTCCCACCTCAGTCCCTAAAGAACATCCTGATTCCCCCAGTCTTCAAGCACATGAATTCAGAATGAAAGGTTTGCCATGGCTAAGGAATGTGACTCTTTGAAAACCATGTTAGCATCTGAGGAACTTTTTTAAACTTTGTTTTAGGGACTTTTTTTTCCTTAGGTAAGTAATGATTTATAAACTCCTTTTTTTTTTTGACTATAGTCGGTTGCATGGTTACTTTAAGCGTGGAATCAAATGGAGTGGCATTTAGTTCAGGCGGCTTGTTCCTTGCCATGGCAAAGTATCAAGAAGATCCCCAAGTCAAGTCACATTTGTAAAGCTGCTTCCCAATTGGCTTTGTCACGCAGTGTTGAAGCAGTGGGAGAGAGATTCACCTGTTATAAAGGAACTGACTAACACAAGTATCCCGTCTATATCTGAATGCTGTCTCTAGGTGTAAGCCGTGGTTTCGCCTTCGTGGAGTTTTATCACTTGCAAGATGCTACCAGCTGGATGGAAGCCAATCAGGTTGCTTCACTCACCAAGTCTAGATATTCATGAAAATGGAACAAGTCTGTACAATTTTAAAAAAAGGTTGAAGGAGTGGTTTGTTCCAAAGGAGTGACTTTTTTTTAAAAAAAAAGCTTTGTATATATTAAAATTGATGTTACTAGAATAAGTACAGTACCAAGGACTTCATTATAGAATTTGTTCTGCCTTTAAACATGGCTACCTACCTGGCAGGGCTTTGTTAACTACTGAATACCTGTCTGGTAATCACTAAAACATCTTAATGTTTCCCTTTTTTCTAGTTTGTTATATTCCTATTATGTCCATTGAGAGTAAGCTTAGTATATCAAACTCTCCATTTGACAGTGAAGAGAACATAGTGAAAGTCTGTGGCGGCATTTTTATAAGTAATTCCTTATTTCTGCCTGAAGACCACAAAGCCTCCTGGAGGCGTAACTGCTCAGACCGGTCTTCAGGGAATATTTAAGGACTTAGTGGAATTTATGAACAATAAGTCTGATGAGATTAGCCTGGGAGTGGTGTCCTGCAGCTGTCTAATCTAGTTAGAGTGGCATTAACATTCTAATCTCCTTGAGAATGCCTTTTATAGTCTGTTCAAAGCAAGTCATTGATGGTTCTTCGAGGTAGTGTTAACTGAAGTGTTCTTCAGTTTGTCAAGATAATGTTCAGTGCTTGGCACTTAAATAACATTTTTTGCAAGAACTCCAAGGCACATTATTGAATGCCTTTAACCAAGTGCATTCTGGGAAGTTTGCTTGACTCATTATCTTGCTTTTCTGCAGCATTCTGTGATTTGAGTCATCCATGAATCCATGAATAAAAGTTACATTCTTTGATTGGTAATATTGCCATTTATAACAAGACTCACTAATGAGGGTATCACTTTGACTGACTGATTTGTTAAAGTTTTTAAGCCTCTCATTTTCCTAACCCAGAAATCACAGCCTGATTTTATTAAAAGTAGAGCTTCATTCATTTCATACCATAGATACCATCCTAGTAAATCCAGAACATATACAAGGTTCATGTGAGTCTGCTTTCTTGACATGATAGCATTGTTTGATGCAGTGGATATGTCAGAATGACTAACCTAGGAGTTTAAAACTCCTAAGAAACTAAAACCTGTAAGACATTTAAAAGTCTCCACAATTTTAATGTATACAAAGCTATGTTACTGTGTAACACATTACAGTTCAAATTCACTCCAGAAATAAAAGGCCAGTAGGATTAGGGACTCACTGGTAGTTTGGAGTCTCCCAGCACACATCCCTCCTAGTGGGATGATCTATTCACATATCTCCCAGCTTTTTTATTTTTGCTTCTGTATATCACAGTGAGTGGATGGCCCTTCAGCTTTTTCTCTCCTGGCCAGACATGCAGTCTTGCCTTTAGATATCGCAGAGACAAAATTCACAGCATGTCTTAAATCTTCCAGGATTTGCAAGAACCAAATTGCTCAACAGTATGTATGTTTAGAGGGGTTAGACTCCTTTTTAAAATCTGGATATCTAACCACCTACTTAAATCTGTTTGATAGTGTCAAACCACCCCCACCCTTGATCCTCCCACCCCCAAGAAAAAGAAAAGATGCTCCTGTTAAATGAAGGCTCTTTAGGGGTAGGTGCTAGGTATACTCTTGGCTAGATTGATTCAGCTCAGAATTTTGACTTTTTAAAGCTAAGTCCTTGTAGTCACATGGTTGACTTGAAGGATGAGGTGGTGTGTGCATTTATGAGCTTTTCCTACCCCCCTGAAGAAACTTCATTGGCCTCCTGGTTACTCACCTTGAAGAGAGTACCATCCATTTTAGTGAAAAACACATCTGTCACCTAGGACATGACATGGTTGCAGTTGACAGGAAAAAAAAAATCTCATTTAGTTGTTTTAGAGTTGGTGGCATTCAGAATAGTCCCTCTTGAGAAAGAATTGTAACCAGATTCCCTTTAAAAATGAGTTCCCCTCCCTTTCCCCCCAAAGGACTCATCCTGAAGCAGAAGGTGTGGGGGGAAGGAGAAATGTAAAGGCTTTTACTTTGCATAAGGATGGGGGACTGGGGAAAAAGGTGAAGCGAAGCCCAAGGACACCATGCTAAGGGCAAAAGTAAGAGACAGTCTCAGAACTGAGAGAATTGTGTCTTCTGCTTTTTGAAGTAGACTGTCACACTCAGGCAGCCTGTCAATGCTGAATGTTAGGACTTCTGTCTCCGCTGGAGACACGGCCTGGTGCAAGTCAGCGTTTAGTGTTTGACAGCTTTCTCAGCACTCCCTGACTCCGTTTACCTTTACTCCGCATCCCATTCTCTTACTGCCTATCTGAAGGATTGGATGGGCAGAGTATAGGTGGCGGTGGTTGGTCCTCCCCGTATGTTGTCCATTTAATTCCAGAGCACTGATTTTTCCGAAGTGTGCTCTGCCCTGGGAAAATGGACACATGTTCCTCACAATGGGAATAACTAATTACTTCTTTTCTTACAGAAAAAGTTGGTGATTCAAGGAAAGCACATTGCAATGCATTATAGCAATCCCAGACCTAAGTTTGAAGATTGGCTTTGTAACAAGGTAAGCATATGTTCTTCCCAAATAGACAAAACTCCTTTAGGATATTGCTGTTTTTTTCTGTTTGTTTATTTGACTGTCCAAACAAGGAAATTGTTACTCAATCATCAGTAATATTCATGGTTTGTTACTTTCCTTGGGTCCTCCTACACTGGTATTAGATGATAGAACTAGAGGTTTCGTTTATTAAGATGCACGTTCTGCTGGGCATGGTGGCTCACGCCTGTAATCCCAGCACTTTGGGAGGCCAAGGCGGGTAGATAGCTTGAGGCCAGGGGTTAGAGACCAGCCTGGCCAACATGGCAAAACCCCGTCTCTACTAAAAATACAAAAATTAGCTGGGCATCACGGTGCGCGCCTGTAATCCCAGCTACTCGGAGGTTGAGGCAGGAAAATCTCTTGAACACGGGAGGCAGAGGTTGCAATGAGCCAAGATCGCGCCACTGCACTCTAGCCTGGGTGACAGAGTGAGACTCTGTCTCAAAAAACAAAAAAGGACAACAAAAAGGATGCAGGTTCTAAGCCCAGTGATTAAGATTTTAGGTGTGTTTCATGTTACTGTTTATTGAATTCTAGAGCTCTCAGTTTTTGGCGTAGTCTCTTAACTGTATTAACCAAAATAGTTGAGAACCCTGCTAAAGTTATATAAGGTTTACCATTTTGAACTTGAATGTTGACATTGATATTTTGAGAGTGCTCAAACTGTGTCCCCTGTCCAGTAGGGGACTAGACAGTGGTTAGTTTACCTTGTGTTTGTGTATGTAGGATGGGATGTATAGTGCTCTGTTGATACAAGGAAGAGCTTCACCAGTGGCTTGCTGTAGAGTTTTCAAATTAACTGAACCCTTTCCTCGGCTTGATAATAATGGGATTCTTCTTCAACATACAACAAACTTTGTTTTTCTTGGGAGATTTTAACAGTGTTACATTCTGAATTTTTTAGGTTATGTCCCCATGTCTCAGCTACGTGAGACTTTCTGCTTTTCTGTTAGTTACTGGGACCTACCCGTGGCCCCACTGTTATTGTTACTAGAAAGCCTGGCCTAATGTGAGAAATAATTACAGATAAAACTTTTTTTTTCAGTGCTGCCTTAACAATTTCAGGAAAAGACTAAAATGCTTCCGATGTGGAGCAGACAAGTTTGGTAAGACTGGATTCAGCTGTTTGCAATATGCATTAAAACCTACTAACTGGGGCAGGGAGCAGTGGCTCACTGTAATCCCACCACTTTGCAAGGCCAAGGTGGGAAGATCACTTGAGGACAGGAGTTCAATACCAGCCTGGCAAGAGATAGCAAGACCCTGCCTGTACAAAAAAAGAAATTTTAAATTATCTGGGTGTGGTGGCACACACCTGTAGTCCTAGCTACTCAGGAGGTTTAGGTGAGAGGATTGCTTGAGTCCAGGAGTTGAAGGCTGCAGTGAGCTATGGTCATACCACTGCACTCCAGCCTGGGCAACAAACAAGACCCTGCCTCTCAAAAAAAACAAAACAAAAATCTGACAAATAGGGTTGTTAACTGTGAGCCTGAGGAAAAGTATAGATTTTAGTGTACTTAAACAACTTGTCTGTTTTCTTTAAATCTTTTCCCTTAGGTTAGATAATGCTGCTCATGATTGTGAGAGCACAGAAAGTTCTTTTGTTTTCTAGAATTAAGTCTGCTCACCTGGTTTGCATTCTGCATCTGCCTTTCTTTAGTGCAGGGTAGTGTCAGTCCCACTGTGGCCCAAAGTTTGCATTCTGCGTTAACCAAGTCACAATTAATGAGGTTTTACTATAGGCACAAATGCTTAAAAAAGAAAAAAACGATTGTTTTGTGTGGTTAAAATAAAAACTTGTGGGGATTTTAATGTATTTCTTTGGTGAAAATACATTAGTTGTTTGTCTCTAATTGGATCACTTTCCCTTCTAGACTCTGAACAGGAAGTGCCTCCTGGAACCACAGAGTCGGTTCAGTCTGTGGATTACTACTGTGATAGTAAGTTCATACACGATCTTTTGGTCTTCATGTTAAAAATTGACCTCAGTTGTCAGGAGATGGAGACCATCCTGGCTAACACGGTGAAACCCTGTCTCTACTAAAAATACAAAAAATTAGCTGGGTGTGGTGGCACACACCTGTAATCCCAGCTACTCCGTCTCAAAAAAAAAAAAAAATTGACCTCAGTTGGAAATTTCTGTTCTCCTACCCTTTTGTAAGGAGCAGCAGCAGCTTCGGGTTGTCCCTTAAAAGACAGGATTTTTAGAATCTTCTCCATGTCAGGGTAGAAAATACACTAGGAATGTCACAAATGGATTTGTATGTACTTGACCCTATCTTGGAAAACTTTGGTACATTGGTGGTGGGAATGCATGTGTATGTCATTTGTCTCATTTACCCCTAGCGATCATTCTTCGGAACATAGCTCCGCACACTGTGGTGGATTCCATCATGACAGCACTGTCTCCTTACGCGTCTTTAGCTGTCAATAACATCCGCCTCATAAAAGACAAACAGACCCAGCAGAACAGAGGCTTCGCATTTGTGCAGCTGTCCTCTGCAATGGTGAGGTTCTCATCGATTCTTTCCTTTTTAAAAGAAACAGCTTTAAGAGGCAAATGTGGTTCATCCAGTTTTGAAACTGTCTGAGGCTCCTAAAGCCCAAGATGCAAGGCTCCCTAATGACAGTTTTTGCACTGCTAAATTACAGGACTGATGACTTCAGTAAGTAGTAAAAATAATGTGTATACCTATAGGCAACTGGCAGAATTTTTTGAGCCACAGTTTAGTCCTTGGTACTTTGTTTTTTGTTGTTGTTGTTCTTTTTTGGGATGGAGTCTCACTGTCGCCCAGGCTGGAGTGCGGTGGCACCATCTCGGATCACTGCAACCTCTGCCTCCAGGGTTCAAGCGATTCTCCTGCCTCAGCCTCCTGAGTAGCTGGGATTACAGGTGCCCGCCACCACGCCCAGCTATTTTTTTTTTTTTTTTTTTTTTTTTTTTTTTTTTGAGAGGGAGTCTCGTTCTGTCGCCCAGGCTGGATGGAGTGCAGTGGTGTGATCTCGGCTCACTGCAAGCTCCATCTCCCCAGGGTTCACGCCATTCTCCCGCCTCAGCCTCCTGAGTATCTGGGATTACAGGCGCTCACCACCATGCTCAGCTAATTTTTTGTATTTTTAGTAGAGATGGGGTTTCACTGTGTTAGCCAGGATGGTCTTGATCACCACCTCTGCCTCCCAAAGTGCTGGGATTACAGGCGTGAGCCACCGCGCCCAGCCACGCCCAGCTAATTTTTGTATTTTTAGTAGAGACAGGTTTTTGCCATGTTGGCCAGGCTGGTCTCGAACTCTTGACTTCAAGTGATCCGCTCATCTCAGCCTCCCAAGTGCTAGATGTACTTTGTTTTAGATTGGTTTAGCATTTGCTCTTTTGGTAATACTGGAAACCTTCACATCTTAGAGGAAAGAGAGATATTCCTTTCTTGAGGTTTCATATCTGCAAACACAATAAGGAATTAATTGCCTTTTATTTTTTAATAGAAAACTACTTCTTTGAATGGGGTGGATGGTAGGGAGAGATTTTTAATTGCATTACACGTTTTTTTCCTTCACATTCTCCTTCAGGATGCTTCTCAGCTGCTTCAGATATTACAGAGTCTCCATCCTCCTTTGAAAATTGATGGCAAAACTATTGGGGTTGATTTTGCAAAAAGTGCCAGAAAGTGAGTGGCTTCATTGTCCTTATTTCAAACTACTGCATATGCACATTTGTACAGTGTGCTAACTGAACGCCAAGCCTGTGCCCCAAGTATGTTGAGACACTGTGATCCTCCCTGATTGCCAAGGCCAGGAGGGACACGTTTGTCTTCTTTTAGTGATTATTCCCTACTGTCCTGTGTAACCAGTTGATGAAGTTGCCTGAAATGGTTTCAGATCAGGAGAAAGGCAAGTATGGCAGATGGGTTGAGAACACATGCTTTGCAAACTGCAGCAGTATAGTGCTAACCCATCCAGAAATAACCCATTCCTTCCAGAACAGCGTGCTAATAATTTCATGTATATAGTGCTTAACTCTAACACGGTAAATTTCCCTTTTTTTAGTATCATTGCACATTCAAAAAACTCTTCGTTAGATGGCAGGTTACAAGGTAGAACAATGATACTACAGGGCCACTTGCTTACTGAGGAATTTCCCCATGAAGAGCCCTCCCCCTGTGAAATGTGGCCTTGCTGGCATTTGAGAACTGACAAAGGGTGGAGTGAATCAGTTGGTGGTATAGGGGCACTAATTGTGGGAATACTGTGATAGAATCACATGATTGGATCTTTGTGGTTTCAGAGACTTGGTCCTCTCAGATGGTAACCGCGTCAGCGCTTTCTCTGTAGCTAGTACGGCTATTGCTGCTGCTCAGTGGTCATCCACCCAGGTAAGATCGAGGATCTTTTTGCTCAAGGTAGTGTGGTGGTGGTGCCCAGATTCACAGACGTGACCTCTCCTGTGGTACTCGCAGTATGAGCTCTTTTCTTTTCTTTTTTTTTTTTTTTTTTTTTTTTTTTTTTTGAGACAGAGTATCACTCTCGTCACCCGGGCTGGAGTGCAATGGTGCAATCTTGGCTCACTGCAAGCTCCACCTTCCAGGTTCAAGTGGTTCTTCTGTCTCAGCCTCTTGAGTAGCTGGGATTACAGGTACCTGCCACCACGCCTGGCTAATTTTTGTATTTTAGTAGAGATGGGATTTCACCACGTTGGCCAGGCTGGTCTTGAACTCCTGACCTCAGGTGATCCACCCACGTCAGCCTCCCAAAGTGCTGGGATTACAGCCGTGAGCCACAGCGCCCAGCATCATGAGCTCATTTTTAGGGACTTCTGAATTTTTTTCCTTAATGCCTACTAAGTTTGTCTTTGTCTCATTTTGATGTTTTGTAGTCTCAAAGTGGTGAAGGAGGCAGTGTTGACTACAGTTATCTGCAACCAGGTCAAGATGGCTATGCCCAATATGCTCAGGTAGGTAGATTTTAGCAGCATCCACCTTATAGTCTTGCAGAGTGTGTCTGAGAATAGCAGCTTTAATGGTGGACTTTTCTTCAGTATTCACAGGATTATCAGCAGTTTTATCAACAACAAGCTGGAGGATTGGAATCTGATGCATCATCTGCATCAGGTAGTAAACTTCATCTCCCTTTTACCTTTTGTTTAAGCACTTACAGTTGAAGAAATATGATTAAATGTCCTAACTGGACCAAAAGCTACAAGTCCATTTCTCTGTAAGATTGTAGGGGGCATGGCCGGGCACGGTGGCTCACGCCTGTAATCCCAGCACTTTGGGAGGCCAAGGCAGGTGGATCACGAGGTCAGGAGTTCAAGACCAGCCTGGCCAACATGGTGAAACCCCATCTCAGCTAAAACTACAGAAATTAGCCAGGTGCGGTGGCAGGCGCCTGTAATCCCAGCTACTCAGGAGGCTGAGGCAGGAGAATTGCTTGAACCCGAGCGGCAGAGATTGCAGTGAGCTGAGATTGCGCCACTGCACTCCAGCCTGGGCGACAGAGTGAGATTCTGTCTCAGAAAGAAAAAAAAAAGAATGTAGGGGGCATATTCAGGGCTGTCATCATGTACCCAAGGTTCTGGGGAAGAATACGGTTATTTGTGTACACCAGGAGTTAATACAAGGTCTTAGAGACCATGTTGTGATGAGTTTAATTCTTGGAATTCAACTCTGTATTTCCCCTCTCTGTGTTTGGAGTCGTGAGTGCCCACGTAAGTTCAGGTGAGCAGAGAGGATGTGGCCCTGGAGACTGGTGCTCAGACATCAATCAGAAGAGCTACTCTAAGAAGCCTTGGCTTTAATTTTTGTTTCAGGCTTTAAAAAGCCTTGTGAGTTAAATCTTTCTCAACCCCAGAGCAAATATAGATCCTTTCTTCTCTTCCTTTTCTCTTCTTTTTTTTTTGAGACGGAGTCTCGCTCTGTTGCCCAGGCTGGAGTGCGGTGGCGTTATCTCGGTTCACTGTGAGCTCTGCCTCCCAGGTTCACGCCATTCTCCTGCCTTAGCCTCACAAGTAGCTGGAACTACAGGTGCCTGCCACCACTCCCGGCTAATTTTTTGTATTTTTAGTAGAGACGGGGTTTCACCGTGTTAGCCAGGATGGTCTCAATCTCCTGACCTCGTGATCGGCTCGCCTTTTCCTTCCAAAGTGCTGGGATTACAGGCCTGAGCCACTGCACCCGGCCTCTTCTCTTTTTCTTAGCCATGATACAGAATCCTTAACTTTGTATATCACATCTAGTAGAATTATAAGAAAATGAAAATGTCACAGATTCCAGGGTACTTAGTGGAAGTTAGCTTATGAAGAACTGACATATACAATGACAGAAGAAGGCTAGATTGGGCATTACAAATAAAGATGTTTGGGTTGGCGTTCAGTGCCTTGGCTTTCCCTAACACTTGTGTTTATCATCAGGCACAGCAGTGACCACCACCTCAGCGGCTGTAGTGTCCCAGAGTCCTCAGCTGTATAATCAAACCTCCAATCCACCTGGCTCTCCGGTAATCCTGTTGTCCTATATACAAAACTCGTGGCTGATGGGGAAATTTTGTTTTGCTATACAAGTATTACCCTTTCCTGTTGTATGAGCCAGGATTGAGTAATACACACTTCAACCTTATTTCTTTCTGTTGTTTTAAAATATTAATTTTATGATATATATGTGCATGTATATTTTAAATATAAAATTTCAACTGTGTATTTACACTTTATGCATGCTTGACCTTTAGAAAGTTGTCGCCGGGGCCGGGTGTGGTGGCTCGCGCCTGTAATCCCAGCACTTTGGGAGGCCGAGGCGGGTGGATCACGAGGTTAGGAGATCAAGACCATCCTGGCTAACACGGTGAAACCCCGTCTCTACTAAAAATACAAAAATTAGCCGGGCGTGGTGGCACATGCCTGTAATCCCAGCTACTCGGGAGGCTGAGGCAGGAGAATTGCTTGAACCCCGGAGACGGAGGTTGCAGTGAGCCAAGATTGCGCCACTGCAGTCCAGTTTGGGCAACAGAGCAAGACTCCTCTTGAAAAAGAAAGCAAAAAAGTTGTCAACATGTGTTTTGCTGAGGGATTGCCTTAGATTATTGCTACAGTGTGTCTGTCAGGGGAGCCCTTCCTCCTGGATGATTGCAGTGATTTAGCTCTCTTAAAAGGCTTTACAGTTGAAATTATATTGAAGCTGCTGTTCTTTCCAGACTGAGGAAGCACAGCCTAGCACTAGCACAAGTACACAGGCCCCAGCCGCTTCCCCTACTGGTGTAGTTCCTGGTACCAAATATGGTAAGCCAAACCTCATGGGGCTGTTGACAGTTGGAAGGTCTTAGTTGTTGTCTTTGTTTAATGAGAGTTCTTCTCCCTTTGCGGGTGTCAGAGGGACACTTGGGGATGTGAGACAGAGAAGAAACATTAGGCCTGCTGCATCTCACTGGCTTAGAATTTGAAATAAAGCCAATTTCTTACCTGGAATGACTGTATGCTGGATTTTGTTTTTGCAGCAGTACCTGACACGTCCACTTACCAGTATGATGAATCTTCAGGATATTACTATGATCCGACAACAGGGCTCTATTATGACCCCAACTCGCAAGTAAATGTGCTGCTTTCCTCCTCAATTTCACTAGAAGTAGTTTCGCTTAGTGCATTTATGAGGCATAAAATGAAATATTTCCTGCAAAAGAATATATGACTCAGATTAGTTTTAACTTCTTCAAAGCCACCAAAATGTAATTTTTATATGGAGATTGTAAGTTTTAATTGTAGGGTTAAAAAATGTTTTGAGGTATAATATACACACAAAAAAATACACAAAACAGAAATGTGCAATTCTTTGAATGTTTATACATGTCTATACATTTGTATATTACATGTGTATATACACCACCACTTATTCCCAGCCCACCTAATCCTCATGCCCATTGCTGGTCAGTAACCTATGTCTTCAATAACCACTATTTTGATTTCTGTTGCCATAGATTATTTTGTCAAGTTACAATTTATGGAAAGACCTAGCTAGAAATTTTAAATTGTACTTTTCTCCCTATTGTTTAACCTTTTAGAGTGTACAAATCAGTGGCTTTTAATATATTCACAGTGTTGTGTAACTGTCACCACTGTCTAATCTCAGAACATTTTCATCACTCGAAGAAGAAACCCTGTACCTGTTAAACAGTCACTCCCCATTCTGTACTCTCCTCCAGTAACTACTAATCTACTCTCTGTCTCTATGGATTTGCTTTTTTTATTTTTTTTGTGGCACGATCTTGGCTCACTGCAGCCTCCACCTCCTGGGTTCAAGCAATGCTCCTGCCTCAGCCTGCTGAGTAGCTGGTAGCTGGGATTACAGGCGCCCACCACACCCAGCTAATTTTTGTAGTCGAGACAGGGTTTCACCTTGTTTGCCAGGCTGGTCTCGAACTCCTGACCTTAAGTGATCCACCCGCCTCAGCCTCCAAAGTGCCAGGATTACAGGCATGAGCCACTGTGCCCAGCCCTCTGTTCTTGACATTTCATATAAGTGGAGTCAGACAATAGATTACCTTTTGTGTCCAGCATCCTTTACTTTGCCTCCCTGTGTATTCTTGAGGGTAGAATTTAGCAGATGTATGGAGTGATGTTTTATTTTTGGTGGCATATATAACTTTTAAAAGGGAAAAACAACTTTAACACCCCATAAATAACTCTATTTATGACCGGGAGCTGTATATATAGAACAGTAATAAGTATTTTTAACAGGAACTTGGCATTGATAGGTTGTGGTTTCTGAGAGATTGAAGTGTGAAGCTGTGTGTGACGTGCCTAAGCAGGCCAAGCCTCTGCATACCTCTTCCATCCACTTCTCTCATTTGTGAAGCCTGGCCATTTATTTCCCTGTCAGTTCTTTTTTTTTTTTTTTTTTTTTCCCGTCAGTTCTCTTTGGTGGCCTTAGAAGTTGTGTCTGTAGGCTGGGCGCAGTGGCTCACGCCTGTAATCCCAGCACTTTGGGAGGCCAAGATGGGAGGATCACTAGGTCAGGAGATTGAGACCATCCTGGCTAACACAGTGAAACCCCGTCTCTACTAAAAAAAAAAAAAAAATACAAAAAAATTAGCCAAGCGTGGTGTCGAATGCCTGTAGTCCCAGCTACTCGGGAGGCTGAGGCAGGAGAATGGCGTGAACCCGGGAGGTGGAGCTGGCAGTAAGCGAATGTCGCGCCACTGCACTCCAGCCTGGGTGACGGAGCGAGACTCTGTCTAAAAAAAAAAAAAAAAAAAAAAAAAAAAAAGTTGTGTCTGTTAGCCACGCCACCTTACCCAGAAGAGACAGACACTGTCTCCTGGGTCCCTGTTGAGCAGATAGAGTGAGCGACTGGAAAATAGAGGAGAGGATATGTGACACCTCTCCTCTGTTGCAATTCCTGCTGAGCTTGGGTCCCTTCACCAACACCTCCTTCCAGCTCTGTGCTAGTGTTTACACCCTGTGTGTGGTTGCCTGGTATCCAATGGATTCTATGTGGATGGGCCCAATGATGAGCTGTTGTCATGGCAGATGTCTGAACTCCATGACACGCCCACCTGTTCTGGCTGCCTGGTTTATGTAAATAGTCTGTGGAACAGAGTGAGACAAATTGCTCTTTGGGTGCCCTCTAGGTAGGCCCAGGGATTAAATTAATGGGAACTAGACTTTTTAAATTTTTATTATCATTTTTTTTGAGATGGAGTCTTACTCTGTTGCCCAGACTGGAGTGCAGTGGCATGATCTTGGCTCACTGCCACCTCCTCCATCTCCCAGGTTCAAGCAGTTCTCTTGCCTCAGCCTCCTGAGTAGCTGGGATTACAGGTGTGCCATCATGCCCAGCTAATTTTTGTATTTTTAGTAGAGATGAGTTATCACCATGTTGGCCAGGCTGGTCTTGAACTCCTGACCTTGGGTGATCTGCCCACCACCACCTCCCAAAGTGCTAGGATTACGGGCATGAGCCACTGCTCCCGGCTGGGAACTAAACTTTTTAAAGAAATCATATTCTATTTTTACTCTAGCAGTGTCACACCTCTTTGCTAGGTGGTTCATCACCTTTACTTATACCAAGGTGTGCCCAGGGTCTTTTCTGGGCAGGAAATATCACTAGTCCACAACATACTTTATCTTTTTTTTGACAAAATATGTAATCGACTGACATAGCAGAAAGTCTGCATTAATTGTTTTTTGTTTGTTGTTTTCTAGTACTACTATAATTCCTTGACCCAGCAGTACCTTTACTGGGATGGGGAAAAAGAGACCTACGTGCCAGCTGCAGAGTCTAGCTCCCACCAGCAGTCGGGCCTGCCTCCTGCAAAAGAGGGGAAAGAGAAGAAGGAGAAACCCAAGAGCAAAACAGCCCAGCAGGTTAGAACATGACCCATATTTCTTTCATTGAGGTATTGGGCTGAACTCTTAGTTTTGGGGTTGTAGCATTTATGTCAGTATTATTTGGATTCTTAAAAATTGGGCTTCACATTTTATTCATACTAAGTTCTTAGAGCATTTTGCAATTTGTTATTGTTACCATATCTTGACTGTCAGCCTGTGTACTTAGGGAAAAAAGCCCTGGAAATCTCAAAGCTTTTCAAGCAGTATTTATGAATGACTTTGGTTATATGTGATAACATCTAATGGAAATATTTGTAGGTGGAAGTAAGAGTAAAAGGGGTTTGTTACAGGGCATATAGTTGAGATAAGATCCTTAATGGCTCATTCTCATGGCACAGGGGATTAAATATTTTTTTGTTGGTGTTTGTTGTTTGACATTAGATTGCCAAAGACATGGAACGCTGGGCTAAGAGTTTGAATAAGCAGAAAGAAAACTTTAAAAATAGCTTTCAGCCTGTCAATTCCTTGAGGGAAGAAGAAAGGAGAGAATCTGCTGCAGCAGACGCTGGCTTTGCTCTCTTTGAGAAGAAGGTAATAGCAGGAATGGCCAGTATGTCATGATGGGAACTTACCTAAAACTTGAGTCTCATGGCTTGTCCTCTGTTTCCCAGGGAGCCTTAGCTGAAAGGCAGCAGCTCATCCCAGAATTGGTGCGAAATGGAGATGAGGAGAATCCCCTCAAAGTAAGGGAGTACCACCAGTGTTTTAAAGACCCTATCTGTGGTTTGTGTCTCACTTTAAGGCTCAACTGCATCTTGGCTAATGTGATTCCTACTTAAAACTGAATGTGATCACTGTTGATGGGTATTGGAGCAGTTTCTGCACATAGATTCCATGTCGGGGCTTTGTTTTCTGTGAGAGCAGATGAGATGGAGTGATGAAAGAAGCTTCAATTCCTAAGCTCAGTTAATTAAGTTTCATTGCATCTGTGAGTGGAGAGTTTTAATGGTCTGGAAAGAGAAAATTAAGACAAGAAAAAGCTTGTTTTACTAGATAGATACTGGTCTGGGTGGGCCATTATTCTGATATGTTGTATTTGGGATTTTTATTTGTGGTCAGTGGTTTGAAAATAGTCACTCAGTCTAGGCAACATTGCAAGACTTCGTCTCTACTGAAAATTAGAAACAAATTAGTTGGGTGTGGTGGCTTGCATCTGTACTCCTAGCTACTTGGGATGCTAAGGTAAGAGAATTGCTTGAGCCCAGGAGATCAAGGCTGCAGTGAGCCACTGCACTTTTTGGGGATCATACCATTGCACTCCAGCCTGGGCAGTGAGCAAGACCCTGTCTCATTTAAAAAAAAAAAAAACAAAAACAGTCTTGGCACAGTGGCTCACACCTGTAATCCCAGCACTTTGGGAGGCCAAGGCAGGCGGATCATTTGAGGTCAGGAGTTCGAGATCAGCCTGACCAATGTGGTGAAACCCCATCTCTACTAAAAATGCAAAAGATTAGCCAGGGGTGGTGACAAGCGCCTGTAATCCCAGCTACTTGGGAGGCTGAGACACTTGAATCACTTGAACCTGGGAGGTGGAGGTTGCAGTGAGCTGAGATTACGCCACTGCACTCCAGCCTGGGCAACAGAGCGAGACTCCTTCTCCAAAGAAATAGAAAAAGGTAGTCACCCAGGAATCCATTTCTTAGGCTCCAAGAAGGTTGGTACCAGGAGGCTGTCAGGCCTAGCACTCAAGGACCTGACTGCTCCACGCAGTTGACAAAATGTGATTCATTACTAAAGTGTGACATGCAGTAATGGGGATTTGTTAACATTTCGGATGAGGCATTACTTTATCCAGGTACATAGCCACCGCCATCTTCCTATTGTACATTTCCAGTGACCTGTCCTCCTTTTGTCTCCAGAGGGGTCTGGTTGCTGCTTACAGTGGTGACAGTGACAATGAGGAGGAGCTGGTGGAGAGACTTGAGAGTGAGGAAGAGAAGCTAGCTGACTGGAAGAAGATGGCCTGTCTGCTCTGCCGGCGCCAGTTCCCGAACAAAGATGCCCTAGTCAGGCACCAGCAACTCTCAGACCTTCACAAGGTGGCCATGCTTCTGAGCTGATCTGAGGGGGCGAGGGGAGGCAGTGAGACAATTTGAGTGCCCTAACAGTCCTGACGGTTCCAAAAATACCTGCCATCTAATGATGGCCTTACAGAAAGCTGTTCCCGATGACAGTGGACGGAGTCTGGCAGCTCCACACACATCAAACTATAGTTTTTATGTGATTGTGTATTGTTTGGGCTTTGGCTCTTAAAGTACAGTAGATGTTACTAATGTTAGGACATTTCAAATTAAGATGGTCTGAGTCCTTACTGTGTCTTTCAAATCTTTTGTGTAGCAAAACATGGACATCTATCGACGATCCAGGCTGAGCGAGCAGGAGCTGGAAGCCTTGGAGCTAAGGGAGAGAGAGGTGAATGGGAAACTGTGCCACAAGGAAGAGGATATTGGGATAATTGCCTTTAGCTTTTATTTGTAGCATTTAGTTCCAGATCCCAGGGGCAGGGTAGGAGGATTTGTCATACCCTTGTCATCTGACCATTGTAGTTCATGTAGCCTAGACCCAGCCTCTGTGTGCCTTGTGAGCCTCACATTGTCCCTTCATCATAAGGGTGCACAAGGCAGAAGCACACTGCCGAGACTCTCTCACAGCAATGCCAGAGCTTGCTGCTTAAATACGCTGGATTTTGTTATGGAGAGAGTGGTCTAGTTTGGCCTGGCCAGGGAAGCCTTCATGGGCAAAGAAGTGCGCTTCAAATTAATCCCAAGGGACAGCAGGACGTGAGGTTATTGCAGGTGATATGAAAGGAAGGGTGGGCAGGGCATGGCAAGCAGATCTGGGAACAAAGGCAAGAGAGAAGCCTGTGACACAATAATGGGCAAGCAGTTAGTGCTGGTGGTTGGGGCAGGTTGGCGGCCAGGTGGGCAGGGATTTAAATGCAAATAGAGGCCTGTGGTTTAGAAATGAGCAAGTGGGTTTGAAATCTCCCACCTGAGATATTTCTGAAGTGTTTGTAGTTAAGGCTTTTGCTTTTCTTCTCCCCACACCCTTCCTGCCCTACTATCTATGGTTCCACCTCCCCAGCGACTGCTGAACAGGTCTCTGGAAGCCTCCTTGATGTTGGAGGTATGCCTTTCCAAATGTTGGAGGTATGCCTGTCCAAATGCTGAGGAGAACGGGCAACTCTGCCTTCCTCTTCGCAAGCTGTACCCACTGCCCAGTGGGCTGGTTGAGTAGCTTGACAGAGGGTGGCTAATTAAATAAAACTGCTTGTTGGAGACATAGTTCTGCCCCTGGTTCCACACAATTCATATTTACAAATTTAACATTTCAGATATGACTAGGTATGATGATGGGAACAAGGGAATTTGGTATTTCAGAGCAGTCTAAAAAAAGCATTCTTCAGATTTAAAAATACTTGAGGGGATAGTTTTGAATAGGTGCATTAGACGGTTACAGGTTGAAGTCTGTGAACATTTCCAGCAGTGTTTTTTCTCCCATGTAGATGAAATACCGAGACCGAGCTGCAGAAAGACGGGAGAAGTACGGCATTCCAGAACCTCCAGAGCCCAAGCGCAAGAAGCAGTTTGATGCCGGCACTGTGTATGTGATGTGCACATTTTCCAGTTCGTAAGCTGGGGCCCTGGCTGTTTTAAGTAACTGTGTGTTTGCCACTGGCAGGAATTACGAGCAACCCACCAAAGATGGCATTGACCACAGTAACATTGGCAACAAGATGCTGCAGGCCATGGGCTGGCGGGAAGGCTCTGGCTTGGGACGAAAGTGTCAAGGCATTACGGCTCCCATTGAGGTAAGCAGTGGGGTCAGGTCTTGATGTTTGCCAGGCTTACAGGCCGGTTCCAGAGATGAGATCAGAGCACTCATAGAGCCTGGGAGCCAGGAGCAGCTTTACCTTAGCATGAAGGGGCAGATTACAGGCATGAGCTCACACCTGTAATCCCAGCACTTTGGGAGGCCGAGGAGGGTGGATTGCCTGAGCCCAGAAGTTTGAGACCAGCCTGGGCAACACGGTGAAACCCCGTCTCTACTAAAATACAAAATATTAACTGGACGTGGCAGCGTGTGCCTGTAATCCCAGCTAGTCAGGAAGCTGAGGCAGGAGAATTGCTAGAACCTGGCAGGAGGAGGTTGCAGTGAGCCGAGATCACGCCACTGCACTCCAGCCTGGGCAACAGCGACTCTGTCTCAAAAAAAAAAAAAATTTAGTAGGGTTTTCACCCATGATAAGAAATCTTTAAATTGATCAGAGCCCACATTGAGGCATCATATCCCAGGATCGGAGGCCCCTACCCACTGGCCTTCTAGGCAGGAGCTCCACCCGTAATTGCCCCTGCTCTGTCCTGGGAGCACAGCTTAGGTCAGACTCTTGTAGACCATGTTCATCCTGTTTATGTGAGTTCTGCTGACATTGAGCTATCCTGTATAATGTGTGCCTGTAATTACCATACCTTTCCCAGACCTTCAGAGGAATACTTTGGGGCCCTTTCCTAGGCGTGGATGCTTGCTGAGCAGGCATTGAGGGGTGGGTGATTTGCTTCATCTGCCTGTGTTCCGTAGCCCATTTTATTCCTCCAGTCCTTATACTTGCTCCTGGTCTCTTCTGGAGAAATCCTTGTCTTCATATACAGTTTTCTCTCTTCTGTCTCCTGGTGGGTGGTCCTGCTGGGTAAGGAGTGGGCATGGTGAGAGGTGGAGCAGCCCATACCCTACCTCCCAGCTGACAGTCTCTGTGCTTTCCCAGGCTCAAGTTCGGCTAAAGGGAGCTGGCCTAGGAGCCAAAGGCAGCGCATATGGTTTGTCGGGCGCCGATTCCTACAAAGATGCTGTCCGGAAAGCCATGTTTGCCCGGTTCACTGAGATGGAGTGAGAGAGAGAGAGAGAGAGAGATGACAAGGAGCACAAGAAGTGGTCCATCTCCCGAATTCGCTGTTACCGCCTGTCTCTTTAAGGGCATGCCTTGTGCTGTTAATAGATCTTAGGGTGAACCACTTCATTCTGCAGGGTTCTCCCTCCCACCTTAAAGAAGTTCCCCTTATGTGGGTTGCCTGGTGAATGGCCTTCCTTCCCGCCAGAGGGCTTGTGAACAGACCGGAGAGGACAGTGGATTGTTTATACTCCAGTGTACATAGTGTAATGTAGCGTGTTTACATGTGTAGCCTATGTTGTGGTCCATCAGCCCCTCACATTCCTAGGGGTTTGAGATGCTGTAGGTGGTATGTGACACCAAAGCCACCTCTGTCATTTGTTGTGATGTCTTTTCTTGGCAAAAGCCTTGTGTATATTTGTATATTACACATTTGTACAGAATTTTGGAAGATTTTCAGTCTAGTTGCCAAATCTGGCTCCTTTACAAAAGAAATACCTTGAGAAATGGGTGTCCTGTGTCTCTTTATTCTTGGGTGGGTAGGTGGGTCAAGCATGTCTGAGCCAGTCAAGCCTGGTGATGAAATCAGTTTATTTCTTGCCCCCATCACCACGTTCTGATTGATTGATTGATTGATTTTGAGGCAGGGTTGGCCAGGCGTGGTGGCTCACACCTGTAATCCCAACACTTTGGGAGGCCGAGGCAGGTGGATTGCCTGAGGTCAGGAGTTTGAGACCAGTCTGGCCAACATGGTGAAACCCTGTCTCTACCAAAAATACAAAAAAATTAGCCAGACGTGGTGGTGTGCACCTGTAATCCCAGCTACTCGGGAGCCTGCAGCCTCGACCTCCCGGGCTCACGCGATTCTCCCACTTTAGTGTTCCAAGTAGCTGGGACTACAAGCACATACCACCATGCAGGCTAATTTTTTAATTTTTTACAGAGATGGGGCCTCACTCTGTTGCCCAGGCTGGTCTTGACATGTTCGGATTTTTAAATTCAAGAGTTTAACATGTTTTAGCCGGGCGTGGTGGCTCACGCCTGTAATCCCAGCACTTTGGGAGGCCGAGGCAGGCGGATCACCTGGCGTTGGGAGTTCAAGACCACCCTGACCAACATGGAGAAACCCGTCTCTACTAAAAATACAAAATTAGCTGGGTGTGGTTGGCCTGTAATCCCAGCTGCTCGGGAGGCTGAGGCAGGAGAATTGCTTGAACCCAGGAGGCGGAGTTTGCAGTGAGCCGGAGGTCGCGCCATTGCACTCTAGCCTGGGCAACCAGAGCAAAACTCCGTTTCAAAAAAAAAAAAAAAAAAAGTTTAGCATGTTTTAAAACTCTTCATGGAAATCATGGTAACTTAGTAGCTTTTCTGCTAAGACCAAAGTGACCATGAGTGCTTGCACCTCTCTAGTTTCCACAGACTTTATTCCACACATGCCGGAGTGTGGAGTTGTCACTGCTCTGCAGGGCAGATCCTCCCTGCTTTTGGCCATGATACAGGTGATACCTGGTCCACCCTCTGCTGCGATGGAGAAACTGAGGAGGTCATCTCCCCCTGGCAGCACTCCACTCACTGCATCTTCTCAGCTGCTAAGGAGGTCCTGGGGGCATTGGAGAGTTTTCTGTTTTGAATGGGTATTTCGTCCTCAGCACTCTTCCACAGGGCAGAGAACATCATTTTGACCCAGAAGACCATGCCTGACCAGGTCAGGAAGTATACCTGGATCTCAGGCTGTTCTTGGGACCAGATGATGTGATGGGTTGCTCACATTGCCAATCTGGCCAAACTGAGTGCTTAAGCTCCACAGATTGGGCATGCAGTTAAGGTGGCCTTTTCTCTGCAGTTTACTTTTGAAGCTAGACTTGCTTTTGTGGGTGGTCACGTTTTCCTCTTTTCGGGCAGGGCGTTAAGGAATAGAAAATGCTCAGGAGGTCCTCACCCTGGCCTGTAGGGTAGTGCCTTGGAGAAGCTGAGCCTAATCACAGCTCTGGCTAGGGAGAGGTGGACGCAAATGCAGAAGCCCCAAGCCTGGGTTTCTGCAGAGTAAGGCTTGGGAACTTCACAAATGAGGGCCCAAGCGCCCAGAGCTGGGGTGGAGAGTGTGTCACAGATCTGGTCTACAGAAGTTGGATAAGAAACTGGCCTCACCTCCAGAGCCCTCACGGCATCAAGGGTGATGCTGGTGTTCCTCGCACCTGAGCAGCAGTCCTGAGTACCCTAATTAGACCCTTTTGACATCCGGCCCGGAAAGCTCTTCCAGGTGAGCATACCCAGAATAGGATCTGGGAAGCTCTTAATTATATGTACCCAGCTCAGCAAAGGTTGGGTGGAAGCGTCTTCCCTAGGGGAGCCATGGCCAGGCATTAATAGGAGCCAGCCCTCTAGCAGCCTCAGATTGACTTCCCAGCACCCGGAAGGGCACCTCAACCTGTCCCACACTGCTGGTGCTTAGAGTTACCTGTCAAAGCTGCTCAAGGCTCTCCCATGTGTGCTGTGGACCACGGCATCTGTTGTCAACACCAGCGTGGCCTTTCCTATGAACATGAAGCTGAGGGTTCCTGTGAATGTGAGGGTCTGAGCCAGCTCCTCAGAGATGGAGGCTCCCTCCTCTGGCCTCACCTGTTACCAGCATACCTAGCCAGGTGACTGCAGCCTTCACCCTGCATCTAAATTGATGGCCCCAGTCCTTGAGGTTTGACAGGCTGTTATCTTGGGCCCAGGTATCCTGCAAGACCATATTTGGGTGATCCTTCTGGTTTGGAAGCACTAGGATCCCAAGCATCCTCCTGACTGGCCCATCAGGGTTTACTCCAATCCCAAGCCCGGTTAAATGTGCTGTGTGCTGCCCATAGGGCCACCATTCCTCTTAGTCCTGTGTGATGTTGAGATGCTGTGAGAGTAGTGCAATCCTCTCAATCAGGGGAACCCAAATCTTGAATTTGAACGGTGCTCTTACTGAACTAGAAGGAGCCTCCAAGGATTCCCAAGTCCAGACTGCCCTTGGCTGGGACAGCTGCTACAACGTGCAAGGCTTTGAGGGCCGTCCAGGAGCAGCTGTCATGGCTGTGCATCAAACAAGTTTCAAAGCCCAGATGAGCATCCCGGCCTGAGCTAAGCTCCCCAGGCATGCATAGTCTGGCTGGGGGTCTCAAGGGCGCCCAGATCCCAGCCACCCCGATTCCGGAGGAATGAATGCCCTCAGGGACAGGTGGGGTGTGGGGGAAGATTGCCCACAGTCGATACTGGAGGAGGGTACTGTGTTGTTGGTGGCCACCAGGTGGCAGCATTCCATCATCTTTCCAGCCAGGCTGGTATAGGTGGTGGTAAGGAGAGGACTTCCCACCAAGTCCTGAGGTACTGGAGGTTCCCAGGGGCTCTCTCCACGTCTCTGGGACTCAAGGAGACCTGGCTAGAACTTCGGCCTTGAAACTTTCTGGAGTCAGGCAGGTGCCAAGTCTGCCTGCCTTGCAAGTTCCTGAGGGTCTCTGACCCCCAGGGACCCCCTCTGGCTAGATGGGGAAGTCGTCCCCACAGCGCCCAATGGGGCAAGAGCCAGGCTGACCCTGTGCACAGTAGGCACTTCCCTCTCAGCAATTCTTTCTGACCCAGGTAAATAATTTCTGCAGTCGATAAAGTGCATTTCTGCCTCTCACTCCCTTTCCCTACCACGTGCTTATTGACTCACAGAAGCACTGTTGCTAGAGCATCAGATTCTCAGCTTCTGTCCCTACAGCCCATGGGGAGTTGGAGCCCAGCTTGTCCAGGGCTCCCAGATGGAAGCAGGGGATGCCTGTAGTCCTTCACCCCAGTCTCCCAGAAGGTGGCAGGAGGGAGGTGGACTCATGGACTTGGGTTAAGGTCAGAACCCTATAGGGTGGGCCACACCCAGCCAGACAGAACTTTCCAGCAGAAGGTATGAGCCAGGGGCAGGGCCCTCCCATCCTGCTTAGTCCAAGCTGCACTGCCATCCCATTTAAAGAGGAAACTGAGATTCAAAGCTGTTGCTGGACTGGGCTGCTGCTGGCAACTGCTGCCCCATCACCACTCCAGTGCAGTAGAATTGGGTCTCACCTGCAGGTACAAGGTTGAGGTCCAGCCCTGGAGTGAGCTGGGTCTTGGGATGCCTCCCAGTGCCCTGAGGAAAGAGGAGAAAGACAGGGAGAGGCAGGTGAAGACAACCAGAGGCAAAGTGAGGCCTAGAGGATGCTGGAAAGAGAAGCTGGAGGAGTCTGCAGCAGCCACAAGGGGACGGAGGAGGCTGAGGGGGCAAGATAACGTGGGATGGGGCCGCCAGGTCTAGAGGAGTTGGTTCTGCGCTACCCACGGGTGCTGAGATAGGCCTCTGATCTTGGGGTGAATTCTGCACACCAATGGGGGAGGCCGAGGCAGGTGGCCAAGAGAGGAGGGGCTAGGGTGCCTGCTCGCGTCCTCTGCTGCTTTTATGTGCAACGGAGGCTCCAGGAGCCCCTGGCTCTCAGCTCTGGGCGGGCATCACCATCCTGAGTCTGGCTGGACAGGAGCTATTTGAGAATGATTCATGGATGTAATTAAGCCTCCCCCCACCATCCCCTAGTGTGGGCCTGGAACAGGGTCAGGTGCAGGTGTGGGAGCCCTGCCCAGCCTGTCCTGCAGGGTTGGGTTCAGCCTAGGGCCCCCTGGCCCAGCACAGCCTACCACCACCTAAGGGCGCCTAGCCTCAATCTGTAAGACCTGGAGCAAGACAGGGCTGAGCCCAAATCCTGAGAGGCACCAGAGCTGGGGCTTCTTCTCCTTCCTCTTACTCCCCAACTCCTGGGCTGAGGAGCCATCCTCTGCACTCATAAGCATGCCATGTGTACGCACCCACACGCAATGCAGGCCAGCCCTCAGGCATCCGGCTGCAGCAGGCAACATGCATGCTTCCCCATCACCCTTGACATTTGAGGTGGCATTACATCCAGATCCTGCAGACCCCCTCCCTGGTTGGTGTGTGAAGCATGCACACTTGTGCATAACCCCACCCAGCCACTGGCATATAGAAGAGCACACACAAGCCAGACACATTAATGAGCAAGTGTGCAAGTGAACCTGGCTCCTGAGGGGGCAGGAATCAGATGTTCTTGCTACCCCTGAGGAAGGAAACCTGGTCTGGCAGCCTTCTGTGAAGGGAGAGGGAGCCCCCAGGGTCACAGCGTGGCAGAGCACAAGCCGCCACCCAGCAGGCACACCCTTGTGCACACAATGTCATTCTGAGGCTTTCCCCTTTTCAGGTGGGTGGATCTTGGGGGTGTCCACCCAGAACAGGCTTCTGAGCTCACTGAACAGGTCCAAGTCTGCCAGCCATGGCTCAGCTCACTGGCAGAGCTGGAGAGGGGAAGGGAAGACTGAGGAAGGGGCATCATGGTCTCTAAGACTGGCTCAAGGTTCATTACCTTCCCTTCTAACACCTGCAGCCATACCTGCAGTGAGGACAGGAAGGAGAGGGAGCAGCCTCTCCTGTTTCCCTGACAGACTGGGAAGCTGAGGTCCACACCCATCTCATCCAAACCCAGGGCCCCAGTCCCCGATCCAGTCATTTCCATGTGCTGGCATCCTATTAGCTCTGCCATCCCCTCCGCCTGGAAGGCCCTAGGACCTGGGCCTGCCACCCTGCTCAGGTTAGGAGTGTCCAGAAGCAGCTGGGCTCTGCCTCCTCCCTCCACCGTGAATCCCTGAAGACTGGATGGATCTACCTTCCCCCAAGCACATCGGCGGCACCGGCTTGGCTGGGCCTCTCCTCTTATGGCCGGGAGCCCCAGCCCCTTAGCCTCTACCAGACAAACTGAGCAGCACACGTGCCCGAGCCGCCCCCAACCCCGCCCTGGCCCCGGCCCAGGCCCCGGCCCCGGCCCCGGCCCCACCCCCACCCTGCAGATTTTTCTGGTTCTTATTAATGTAAATGAAATGAAATCTGCTCAGAGTGTCCTTAATGGAAAGTGTTCCTGGAATTTGTGCACACGTGGTGGGGGGGGGGACACCCTGAGATTAACTCTTGTGCAGCCAGACCCAGACTAGTCAGGCTGTGGTGACTGGGGCTGGGGTGGGGATTGGTGGGGACCAGGACATTCACTCATCCCCTCCCAGAACTGTGTCCTGACAACATCAAGGATGGCACAGGCTCATCCATATTCTACCCTCTGCCCTGGGACCAGCTGGACAGGTCCGGAAGTGCCTCAGAGCCTCAGGGGAAGGAGATCTTGACAGGAAACAGGGAGTCCTGGAAGGCCTTGATCAAGGAGGAGGCTGGCCAAAGACAGGGGCATAGGGCTGGAGGGGAGAGTTGACAGACTATGCATCTTGTCCTCATCTGGCTCTACCCTGATTTTGAAGGGGGACCCAGGCAGACCCTGCCTCTCTGGACCACCCTACACAGAGAAGGCCCAGCCTCTGAGATCCCCTCCCCCAGCCCCTGCCCACCGCACTCCTGAAACAGATCTGCCAGGATGCTCATCTTCATGACTATGGGACAAGAAGGGGGAGTTTGAGACCCCGGAGTGGATGCCCAGGGCCGCTGGCTGCAGGGGATGGGGATGGAAGAGACTGGACCGAGCTGCTGCGTGCCCACCCCCCGTCCTGCCGCTGTGTCCTCCCCACATCTGGATGCTTGTTCTGGCACAGCCCCCAGCCTGGCCCAGCGGAGCCGCAGCCGCATTCTGCTGCCTCGTGGCCAGGACAGGGATGTCTGCTTCATTGGCGGGGGTAGGGAAGAGTCTAAGATTTCAATTTCTCCCAGGTGTGGCTCAGTCTGGAGGGTGCCTTGGGGAGGCTGGCTCAGAGGCCGGCACCTGGGGCGGGGGGTGTGCAGAGGGGGGGAGGGGGCCACCAAGGGGGTCTCAGGGAGGAAAAAGGGCTCAGAGTGGGAGGTCCGTGGAAGGAGACAGGGGCTCTGTGAGGGGCAGGGGACTCAGGGAGGGGGGTTAGAGAAACAGGGGGCTTAGGGGGCAGGAGCTCCAGGAGGAGGGCTGGAGGGGCAGGAGGTTTGGGGGGTTGGGAGCTGAGGGCTCAAGAAGAGGATTGAGGAACACGGGGCTTTGGGAAGGGGGTTGAGGGGGCAAGGGGTTTGTGGGGGTTGGAAGCAGGGGCTTGGGGAGGAAGGTTGGAGGGAGAAGGGACTCAGAATGCGACTGACTTCACTGGGGGACAATGGGCTGCCAATCCTTCCACCCATACCGGTCAGGTGGCTGGGGGAGGGGCGCTGACCCACTTAGCTGCCTCTCCCCCAGGCTTCCACTAATGAGCGCTCTGGGCTTTGGGAGGCAGCCTTCCCCGCCCAGGCTGTGCCTCAGGCCATCCCTTCCCCCACAGCCCCTCATTATCTACTGGGGGTGTTCATTAGCTCAGGCATCCCCCCTTATCTACAGCTGCGCTTGCCTGTGGCAGTGAGGAGGAGGCCCTAGGCCCCAAAATGCACCCTCTTTGCCCCTAGTTCCACTACGCCCCCAGGACTGGGGAAACAAAGGCTACCAGATTGCTGTTGTGCAGCTCAGCTCTGAGCAGAGCTTTGATTCCACCTGTGGGTCCCCCAGCATGCCAATGAGGGGGGTGCTGTGGCGAAGCTCACAGGAGAGCTAGAACCCAGGTGCTGGCAGACTTCCCATGGGAAGTCTGCTCTGCTCACCCCAGGGGCTTCCAGTACCTGTGATCAGGAGTCCCATTCGGCAAGGAAAGGGGCTCACAGAGGGTGAAGTCCTGGATGTGTGGGGAGCACAACTCTGAGGGATGCAGAGTAGGGGGCAGCACAGTTCTGGGGAGGAAGGTGTGGGGTCAGAAGGGATGGTGGGAAGAGGGGAGAGGGCCCTATGGGGCATGGCTTCTCATGGACACAGCTCTGCAGGAACAGACAGCGCATCTGCAGGAGCGCAGCTCTGGGAGGGCGATGTAGGGGGAGCACAGAGTGCGGGCACCATCTGGGGGAAGGATGAGGGTGGGGAGCACGGCTCTCGAGGATGTCCTATGGGAGGACAGTCCAGGGAGAAGCCCGCCTGTCTCCCACAGCCTTGGCCTCTTCGGACTCCTCCCCCACATTCCTGGAGTGCATGGGGAGGTTGGCTTGCTGGATTATGCCCAAGTCCCTGAGGCTCCCTCTGATTCTGTCCCGCTGTCCATCTGTCCTCCCTCCCCAAGGAGCCCAAGGCCCAGGTGGCACTCTCCCCTCACAGTCCCCTCATTAGGGATGGGCTTTGAGATCCTTCGGCAGCATCTGCCCCCACCCCCACCCCCATCACCAAGCCAGCTGCAGGCCTGGCCCCTGGAGCCTGATAAATATTTATGATGAGATAAGCATGATAGGCCAGAGCCCAGCCCAAACCTTTGTCCTGGGAGCAGAAGACTGAGGCAGGACTTGAGCTTCCAGAGGCGGGCTGAGTCTCAGGGCTGGGGTAGGGGGAGGCCTGACTGTGTAGGTCTCCTGGGCTCTACCTGGGAGGGGGTCGGGATGGGACAGGGCTCAGGAGCCGGGGATCCTGAAGGGGCTGCCTCCAAGGTGCCACCCTGGCCAAGGCGGCTCCCCCCTACCCCTTGCCCAGCCTGTTTCGATGCTGCCTGTCTGCACTGCACGGCTGGGTCTGTTGGGACAAGGCCAGCTGGCCTTCTGTACTTGCTGCCACCCTGGCTTCTGACTTTCTCCAGGTCTTGGTGACTTCAGGAAGCTCCCAAACCAAGACTACCCTGACCATTGGGTCTGGAGCCAGGCTGGCAGGAGGGCCACCTTGGTACCCCTCTGAGGTACTGAGGTACTCCAGCCTCCTTGCTATAGGCCCCAGGGCTCTCCTGTCCCCAACCTAGGACAGGTTCCCATGGGCCGGCCCACCTTCCCCTCCATTTATCCCCTAAATATCTCCCCCTCTAGGTGCCAGAACCAACAACAGGAGGGTCTGGGCACTCCATGAGCAGGAGGCCGAGTGCTGCTGCAGGGAGGGTGACACTGTCCTCAGCGGGCCTGAGCATTAGTAGGCTCTGTACCCCAGTGCTGGCCACATCCTGGACCTTCATGAGGTTCGCTCCCAAGCCAGGGCAGGGTCACCTCTTAATACACACACACACAGCCAGCTCTGTCACGTGGGGAAAAAGAGAGACCAGAGGAAGAAAGCAGCCAGTGTGGGGTAAACAGGCATCGGGGGAAGGATACATGTATGTCTCCCAGGCTCTCGGCCAGTGGAATGTGGGTAAACATTGGTGCTCTCAAGACATAATATTGTCCTTGGGTCGTGGATGTATACATGGCATCTAGAACATGATGAAATATGATACACTAGGCTGGGCACAGTGGCTCATGCCTGTAATCTCAGCACTTTGGGACGCTGAGGCGGGTGGATCACCTGAGGTCAGGAGTTCGAGACCAGCCTGGCCAATATGGTGAAATCCCATCTCTACTAAAAATACAAAAAATTAGCTGGGCATGGTGGCACATGTTTGTAATTTCAGCTACTCAGGAGGCTGAGGCAGGAGAATCACTTGAACCCAGGAGGCAGAGGTTGCAGTGAGCCTAGATTGCGCCATTGCACTCCAGCCTGGCAAAAAGAGCAAAACTCCATCTTGGGAAAAAAAAAAAGAAAGAAATACGATATACTCAGGGCACGAGTGAAAATTGTATGGGAATGTGGTAAATAAGACACCCAGGGCAGAGTTAGGTCTTGTATTAGGGGCATGGGTATATGCTGCCCTTAGGACACACTGAATTCCTGCTGAAGTCTGGATGACTGCTGAACCCAGTGTGGGGTTGTTGACACACGTAGCAACAGTCCTTAGGGCTTTCAAAGCAGCCCAAAGCAAACCAAAAAGGAAACGTCATGGATGGTGAACCCAGCAAGCCTCTGGCCATTCCTGGACCAGGAGTTGGGGTCCAGGTGACTCATGGGGACACCCATGGATTCCAAATCTGCCCACAGGGTGAAGTCCTCACTCCTCACAAGGCATCCAGCCCAGCTCTGCCAAGCAGGGCTGATGGCTGGAGATGAGGAGCAGGGTCAGCCTAAAGGAGGCCCAGGGAGGAGCCCCTACCTCCCTCACCCTCTGGCTTAGGCAGCCTGGGAGCCGCCTGTCCAAGCTCTCCAAGAGAACCTTCAGGTCCATTGGGTGCAGGGCAGAGCCAGCGTGGGTGTGTCCTCAGCTCTGGGGAACCTCTCACCTGAGGTTCCAGGTGCTCCTGTGTGTTTGGATATAGGCCCGGGCTACTATGGGGCACCATTTGTAGTCTCTGGGGCTGCAGGGGATGCACCCCACATGGCATGGTCCTGGTGGGAGAGAGGGTGAAGGTGGAGACCGACACAGGCTCCAGGCCAACCTGGCTTGGGAGCAACTTGAGAGTTCCTGCTCTGGACAGGGATCTCAGCCACCTTGGGGCAAGTAGTCCATGGAGGCTGGAGGGCCCCAGTTCCAGAGAGTGTGGGCACTTTCTTTTTTGTTGTTTGTTTTTTGTTTTTTGAGATGGAGTTTCCCTCTGTTGCCCAGGCTGGAGTGCAGTGGTGTGATCTTGGTTCCCTATAACCTCCACCTCCTGGGTTCAAGTGATCTCCTGCCTTAGCCTCCTGAGTAGCTGACGGTACAGGAGTGTGCCACCATGTCCAGCTAATTTTAGTAGAGACGGGGTTTCACCATGTTGGCCAGGCTGGTCTCGAACTCCTGACCTCAGGTGATCTGCCCGCCTCAGACTCCCAAAGTGCTGGGATTACAGGTGTGAGCCACTGTGCCCGGCCCACGTGGGCACTCTCCATCTCCTTAAGGTCTCTGTGTGTGTGTGTGCCCATGCATGTGAGCAAGAGGAGTAGTCTGGGTACACCAAGCCCTCACTCCCTCCTGGGATCAGGACCACCCCCTACCTTGTATGGTAAACGTACCTGATAGCAATAGCTTAAGCGTACCCGGAGAATGACCCTGTATGGAGGTGCACGTAAATGCGTGTTCTGAGCTAGGGAATGAGGGAGTGGCCAACCCAGAGATTCATTCCTTATCTATGAGGAACATTTGAGCCCCCATCCTGGCCTATGGTACAAGGCCATACAGGGGATTGAAGCCTAAATTTTAGGTTAATTGAAGGTTGCCAGGTGGAGGTCATGGGGAGGGGGTGTTGAGTGAAAATGCTCTATAAACCACATGCTGTTCAAAAGCAGCTGCAGTTCTCCTGTCCAGCCCACTGCCACTGGACGTTCCCCCCGTATGTAAGTCTCCAGTCAAACCCCATGTTTTTTTTTTACTTTGAGACATAGTCTCACTCTGTTGCTCAGCCTGGAGTGCAGTGGCACCATCTTGGCTTACTGCAACCTCCACCTCCCAGGTTCAAGCAATTCTCCTGCCTCAGCCTCCAGAGTAGCTGGAATTATAGGTGCATGCCACCACTCCCAGCTGATCTTTGTATTTTTAGTAGAGACGGGGATTTTGCCATTTTGGGCCAGGCTGGTCTCGAACTCCTGGCCTCAGGTGATCCACCCACCTTGGCCTCCCAAAGTGCTGGGATTACAGGCATGAGCTATAGTACCCAGCCTCCCCATGTCTGATTTGCTAGCTCTGAGTCTCTTCTTTGGCTTTTTTTTTTTTTTTTGAGGCGGAGTTTCTCTCTTATTGCCCAGGCTGGAGTGCAGTGGCACGATCTCAGCTCACTGCAACCTCCGCCTCCTGGGTTCAAGTGATTCTCCTGCCTCAGCCTCCCGAGTAGCTGGAATTACAGGCGCCTGCCACCACACCTGGCTAATTTTTTGTACTTTTAGTAGAGATGGGGATTCTTCATGTTGGCCAGGCTGGTCTCGAACTCCTGACCTCAGGCGATCCAGCCACCTTGCCCTCCCAAAGTGCTGGGATTATAGGCACGAGCCACTGTGCCCGGCCTTCTTCAGCCTCTTGAAACTGCCTTCCCTATTGAGGTTGACAGGGGCTCGGCACGACATACCCCCAGCCTAAATCCAGCCTTAGTGGTTCCCTTTCCAGCTGCCATTCCAAGGGCCTTAGCACTGCCAGGATGGTTTTCATGCCATGGGCAGTCAGGACCCTGGAATTTGTTAACCTGGGTTGACCTAGTCTCATGGGGAGGCAGGATCTTGAAAGGGCAAACCTGGGCCAATCTCCCTCTCCCAGAGCTGGGCCTAGCAGCTTGGGCGGGTGTAAGCCCCTTCTGGTCTCAGTCTTCCTGCCTGTGATGAGGTAGTTGGACTGCGAGAGCCCCTATCCAAGGTACTGCCTTGACCTTGGACAGAGGGAGCCCAGGCAGGAATGTCTCCTCTTCCCTTTCACCCATCAGTTCACAGCCCCCTGGAAGAGCAGGCCAAGCCAGCCTCTTGAGAGAAGGCAGGAGGCACAAGAGTGCCTTGGGTTTGTTCTTACTTCTCCAGAGTCAGGCAGCATCTCCTTTTTGGTTCCTCTCCCTAGCCCAGGTAGCCCCAGGGTTTACCCAGCCCACCTGGGCAGCCCAGGAGGCAGCAGCCCGCCCGAGGCTCCAGTATCCCCTCGGAATTCCTGTGCCGAGGCCATGTTCTCAACAGAAGAGAAGCTTGGGGGTGGTTCTGGAAATTTGGATTTTATTTATATTATTACTCTTTTTTTGAGACAGGGTCTTTCTCTGTCACCCAGGCTGGAGTGCAGTGGCACAAACATGGGGTTCACTGAAGCCTTGACCTCCTGGGCTCAAGCTATACTCCCTGCTCCCAAGTAGCTGGGACTACAGGCATGCACCACCATGCCTGGCTAGTTGTTTATATTTTTTGTAGAGACGGGCTTTCGCTAAGTTGCCCAAGCTGATCTCGAACTCCTGAGCTGAAGCCATCCTCCTGCCTTGGCCTCCCAATGTGTTGGGATTACAGGTGTGAGCCACCACGCCCCCGCTGGAATCTAGATTTTAACAAGTCAGCTTGAAGCTGGCAAGCTGGGAGAGTGGATACCCCCAACTCCCTCTTTGCTGATTTCCTGCATGTGGGGGTGCATGTGAGCATGCAGGCAAACACACACACACATATGCACACACACGCGCGCACACACACACACACACAGCCAGATCTCCAAGGCCACAGGCAGCCCATATCATCTCCAAACCTCGGAAACACTAATGCATTAATGGAAGAGCCACAATGCTCCCGGGTGTGTCTAACAAGCATCTTGTGGCGTCACTGGGCAACCCAAGAGACTGACTCTGATGGTAGAATGTCAGGCCATGGGGCCAGTGAGCCTGAATGTCCAGCCGCTAGCATGGGGACTGTGGGTGTGAGAGGGTCAGTTGGGACCCAGTGGCTCCACAGGTCAGTCCTGAGCCTGAACCACAACCTGTCAAATGTCAACTATGGTTCTGGCTGCCTGGCTGTTTGGGGCTTCCTGAGAGTATCCTCAGTAGTGGCAGAACAGGACCCTTTCTGTTCCTCTCTGGGACCTCACACCAAATCAGGAGGAGGACAGATCTCCTCCTCTAGCCCTGGAGGCTAGGTCCTTGGAGGAGATGACTGTCACCTTGAGGAGCCACCCTCCAGGTGTGTGGCCATACTGGTGTGTGTGGCCACCGGCCAGGTGTATACAGCAACCCTCCAGGTGTGTGTAGCTGCCTTCAGGGTATTACATGGAGCTGATCTCTGGCCATGCGCTTCTTTTTTTTCTTTTTTTTTTTGGGTGGGGGGATGGAGTTTCACTCTTGTTGCCCAGGCTGGAGTGCAATGGTGCAATCTCAGCTCACTGCAACCTCCACCTTCCAGGTTCAAGTGATTCTCCTGCCTCAGCCTCCCAAGTAGCTGGGATTACAGGTGCACACCACCACGCCCAGCTAATTTTGTATATGTAGTAGAGACAGGATTTCACCATGTTAGCCTGGCTAATCTCAAACTCTCGACCTCTGGTGATCCGCCCGCCTTGGCCTCCTAAAGTGCCGGGATTACATGCGTGAGCCACTGTGCCTGACCTAATTTTTGTATTTTTAGTAGAGACGGGGTTTCACCATGTTGGCCAGCCTGGTCTCGAACTCCTGACCTCAGGTGATCCACCTGCCTCAGCCTCCCACAGTGCTAAGATTACAGGTGTGAGCCACCATGCCCAGCCTGGTCATGTGCTTCTTCTTTCTTAGGACCATGACCAATGACACTGACTCCCAGCCTGTCACTCCCTGAGGTCAGGAGCTGAGTTCCATGGTTTCCAAGCCCCACGGTCTGGCTAGTTAGGAGCCCAGTTAAGCAGGCTCATGACTCCACCCCAGGCTTCCAGGCTGCAGATGGTGCCAGATAGGGGTGGGTGGTGGGAGCTAGGGGATTACTCCCAACAATCCATTCTCCTGTGACTCCACCACCAGGGAGAAGGGGCCCAGCCTGGCTTTCTGCCCCCTGGAAAGGTAGGGGTGAAATTATCCCAGGCTGGATAGTTCCCCACCCCCAACTGCTCTATCCAAGCCCAGCCTCCTCTGTTAACCCCCTCCGGCCACATCCCAAATCCCCAATCCCAGCAGCAGACCTCGGTGTTTGCCTGTTGCCATGGTGATGGGATGCACCTTTCTGTTACTATGGCAACCAGCCAGGGGTTTTTAAAATTCAGTTGAGGTAATTTCCACCCCTCAATCCTCATCTTCAGACACCTCGTTTCTTCTTTCTTCTCTGAATCTTAGAAGGATGGTGGGAGGGGGGCCTGTAGCCACCAGCCAGAGGTGGAGGGTCAGAGGGGCTGGTGGGAAGACTTGGGCCAATTCCTCCCTGACTCCTCTACCCAGACTAGATCCAGAATAGGACAGCTTCCTCCCCATTCCCTTCCCAGGCCCTTATCTATGGGGAAAAGATAAGAGCTTCACATCTCTTGGCAGGCAGAGGCCAGCGCACCTGGGAGGTCCAGGTGATGGTGCGGCCAATGTGGCCCTGTGCCCACGCAGGAGCAGGGAGAGTCAGCAGGGGTCCTCCTGGTCCTCCCCACTGTGTCCCCAGGGCTCATCTGGGGATCTTGGGACACTGGGGATCAGACCCTGGGATCTCAGGGCACAGATGTTGTTTATGCTGTGTCCTGGTGCTAAGGAGCTTAGCTCAGTGGAACACCAGGTTGACGGATTTGGACAGAGGGCCTCTGAGAAGGCTGACGGGAAAGGGGGTGCACACACTGTCCAGTACCTCCCCTCCCCCTGCTGGAGCTCTCAGTCTGTGGGCACCCGCTTCATGAAGTCTAGGCATTGTAAATTCATGAGGACCAGCACCCCTCCCTGCCCCCACCTGCCTCCTGGCTGGAGAAGAGGAGCTGACAGCCCAGGACAGGCAGGTAGATGCATCCTGTCTCCCCACCCCACCAGCAAAGCAGGCTGGGACTAGGGGCAATGGAGCCCCAGATGCCATGCACTGCCCAGTCCTCATCTGCAGGTAACTCTTCCCCCGCTTGACTTGTCTCTAGCAGTCGGATTCTCCCACAAATGGGACCTCCCACAGGGAAGAGGTTTCAAGGAGGGAGGATCTGGGAGAGTCCTGTGGCAGGGATGCCTCCCCACCTGCCCCCACCTCTGACCTGGGCATGTTTTCCCTTCCTACCCATCAGTCAGGGAGGGGCCCTTCCATCTCACGATGGACGCTGAGCATTGCTGTAACTCTGACAGCCCCACACCTGGTTCCCCAAAGCCAAGGACTACAGGGCCATCACATGGGTGTCAGAGCCAAAGGGAAGTCACTTCTTGCCTCCCTGTCCCTTAGACACACGGGCCAAGACCCTATAGCTACAGCCCTTCTGGGGTACAGATGAGCCAGCAAACCTTGAGAGGCGACAGAGAACCCCTGGGTGAGGCCCTGCCCACCTCCCACTCCTCCTTGCCCAAGGCAGGGATGTCCCAGAGACCAGATGATTTGTTTGGGGTAAGCATTGTCCTCCCCAGTCTCTTTTACAGAACAACAGCCCCGGAGTCCACTCCACCTGGGGAAGGGGGTCCCTACTGCCTGCCCACCGAGGCCCCACAAGGCCATCACAAGGGTCCACAAGTGCCTGAACACCTGGGTCTGCAGCCCCCCCACGTGCAGGATAGTAAAGTCTGTGTTTGACACTTTTCATGAGTTATTATTCCCACCAGCCCTGTAGGCTCCACCAGCCCAGACAAAGCCACAAGGTTCTCCATGGTAGGCAGCGTTAATTCTTTTCTGTCCTGCTGCCAGCTGGTGGGAAGGGTGAGGGAGGAGGGGTTACTGGGACCCCTGGTAGGAAGGTGGTGGGGCCCAGAGCTGGGGCAAGGATGGAGGAGTGCTGTGCCAACCCACCCACCACCACCTGCCCACTGTTCTTTCTACCCCTGCTCCTCCCAAGCTCCCAAACCAGAGAAGCCCCAGGCTAGGGCTGGGGAGGAGGGAGCCCAGCCCAAGCCATAGGTGAGTGTGGGGATGTCCCATGTAGGGAACCCTAGTCCTGAGCTTTCCCTCCCCTCTCAGCAAGGGGTCCAGCAGCTGGGCAAGCAGAGGGGGATGCTTATCTCCCAGGTCCCTCATAACCTTCTTGGGTTGCGGAACCCAAGGAAGGCCAGACTCCCTTCTTCCCCCAGCAATCTGTGGCTCCCCGGCTCTCCACAGAGCTCCCAATATCACGGAGCTGATCCTGAGCCCCACTACAGCTCCCCCAAGGCCTCCATGCTTGAGACCCTATGGCTGAAGTCCTGGGGGTCAGGGGTGCTGGGGGTTTGTCATGTGAGCAGCAGGCATCTGGTCAACCCCTCTCAGTGTGGCTGGCTTGTGCTTGGCATCAGCTAAAGCAACAGCTAGCTGGGGCAGGCCCTCCAAGAAAGTTGGCTGGCCCTGGCAGGCTTGTGCAGCACTGGAGACCCTGTCCAGTCAGACAAGGAGTGCAAGTGAGAGAGAGACCAGAAGGGCGCAGGGCTGATGCAAGCCCCTCTGCTGGGGCAGGACAGAGGTCAGCAGGGTGGGAATGGAGGCAGCTCCATCCCGAACACCTGATGGCTTAGGTTCTGGCACGGCCTAGACTCCTGGCACCGTTTTTCCTTTAGGGTCAGAGCCAGCAACCTGCCCCCCACATCTTATGTATCCATATCATGCAGGTGGCGGGCCTCAAATTCCACCAGGCCAGTGTTCCTAGACTAGCCAAGAATTCAACATCAAGAAACTTGAATTGCTCTGTCTTAGTGGAGCAGGGTCCCTGGGGCTCCAGGATCAGGTATCAAGGCCCAGAAGTCTTCCTCCCAAGGAAGCACTTAAAAAAGAAGTGGAGGAAGGGCCCATGCTGTTTATAGCCTGTGTGATGTGCCAGCCCAAACCCAGGACATATGGCCTTGTTCTTGGGGCAGCCTCCTGCCAGTCAAGACATGAACATCCCAGCTTTAGAGCTGGGAAACTCAAAGGTTCAGAGAGGACGGGAGATTTGTCCAAAATCCCACAGCTCATTATCTCCCCAGCCTGGGAGCTGGACAGTGGGGCCAGGCGGCATTGCCTAACCAGGGCACAGGGAGGAGGCACTGATTCAGGTCGCCAAGGCAGGGCTCTCCACCAGCACAGGGGGGTAGAATGGGCCTCCTGGTAGGGAGTGAGGGCCCAGTTCCTGCGGCATGGAGCTGAGGCTTTCAGGGGATCTGTCAGCGTGGGTAGGGGTGGTTGCTGAGGGGTGGGGTATATATGCTGTACTGTTAGCTGCTTAGGTGACCCCGGCACACAGACAAAGAGGAGACCAGAGTTGGGAGTATGGGGGGTACTTGGGGGGCATTGAGGTGGTCCCCGCTGCTGGCTGACGGGGCTGAAGATGAGCAGCTGAGGAGGCCCTCCTAGCACATCTGACAATACTGTGCTCCCTGAACCTCCGGAAGCAACCCTGGTGTCAACAGCCCACCTTGGTCTCTTGAAACATTGACAGGCCACCCATCCCAGGTCTCTCAGGTGCCTCTTTCCTTGCTCCCAGTCCTGTCTTCCAGAAAGATTCTGAGCTCCCTGTAGGCAGAAACCATATCTGGCTCATGTCCACCACCCACCCCCTCTCCCTGACCCCCCTACCCTGGGGCCTGGGAAAGGGAGGGGCACACAGGCTGTTCTGTGAGGCAGTGAGTGAGTTTTCCGTAGAGCTTTGGAAATGTACCTTGTGGTCGTCACTAGGTCAGGTGACTGAGCTTTTACCCAGGGTTGCCAGAATCTGGGGACCAAATGTGACTGAGCCAGAGATGGTGGCCGTCCTCCCAGAGCTGAGTCTCCTGGAAAAGGAGGAAAAAGCAGATAAAGAGTGGTCCGACCTGTGATGGGGCCACAGGAGTTGTGAGATACAAGGGAGGGGCTGGGGGCTTTGAGGAGAAGTCCCTGAGCTGAGCTAGCTGGGTCCAGGGGTCTCCAACTGCAGCCCAGAGCAGGAAGCTATATGAGGACCTGGGAGGAGCCCCTTATGGCTGAAGGGGTCTATTCAGGCTTTCTCTGAGAGCTGGTCTCAGGGGAAGAGGATGAAAGGGAGCTCTGAGCAGAGGTTCTGGGGGAACTCCCTGTCCACCACGGACAGCCTAGGGACATGCAGCCGGGATGTGGCAAAGGCAGGGCCCTGGGTCACTGCCTGTCAGGAATCTGAAGCACAGGCCAGCTCAAATCTCACTGGCAGCAGGCTCCACACATCTCCCTGGAGACTGAGAATGCAACCAGGGAGTGATCAGAGGACATTCAGGCCAGGAACATTGGAGGTGCAGACTCAGGGGGTACTTGTCACCTCAGCCTGGTCTGAACTCAGCTGTGTCACTTCCCAGCAGGCACCCCATTCCCAGGGACTGGATTATCTTCCCCCAGGGCCTGCTGGGGTGGCCCCGGATGCCCTAGCCCGGCATACACCTGCCCCACTGCCTACTCCTCCCAGACACAGTGTCAGTTCCCTCACATCTGGGCAGGGGAAGCCTGCTTTTCAACAGCTGCCAAAACAGACCCAGCCTCCTTCTTTGGAAACTGTCTGCCCAGCTCAGGCTGCCTGAAGTGACCGTGGGGCTGGGGCCCTCAGTGGGGTGGGATTGGGGAAGGTGAGGGAGGAAGCCCCTCAGCCCTGCTCTGGAGCTCGCATGAGCTCCGCAGCTGTCCATTGCCCCAATCTTGCCTGATGACCACATGGACCTCTGAGCCCCCAGCCTCATGGCTGACCACTGCCTGCCCGCATTCAGCCAGGCTGAGGTTCTCTTGGGCCTTCCCCAGACAACCTGTCTCCTTTTCTGGCCTTTGCTTCCCTTCAGAGACTCTTCCCACGGCCCTGCATTCCCCACCACCACACCGGCTGAGCCGAGCTGTCTTTCCCAGTGTCCCAGTGCCCACCCCCACCCCTATGGCAAGGACAGGCTCTCACACCAGGGGTGCACCATAAGCATCGTCACCCCTGGCCATGACTCTCCAGGACAGGTGCTCTCAGGGATGATGCCTGACCACCTGGGACCAGCTGTGCTCCCTCCTGCTCCTCCAGCCCTGGCTCCAGTCCCCTTGGCTTTACCAGGCTCTGAAGGCCTGACCTAGACTCAGGCGCCCATCTGAGGCCCACACAGCCCAGCTGTGCCTGCCCTCGCCCACCTGGAGAAAGAAGGGGCTGGCATATCTTCTTTCCCCACTCCCCTCACATCTGGAATTGGCCTTGTTAGGGGGCCCTGTGATGGGGAGAGGAGGGAGGGAAGCCTGGCTAGGTCTCAGAGCTCTCTCAGCTGAGAAGTGGGGATGATTGTCCCCCCAGTCTATGGAGTGTGGGGCTGCTGTGGACAATGGGATCTGGGCCTCTGCTGGGAGGTGTTGACCTCAATGCCTCTCTCCCTGCCTGACTTCAGTGCTCTCTGTATCCTGATGGAGACTTTCTGACAGCGCAGGGGGTGGGTTGTGGGGTCCTGCTGCCTGTAGAGCTGTGTGTGAGCTCCTCAATGGCCCAAGGGTACACAGGGGTCTCTGACTGTACCCTTCCTCTTAGACCTTGTGCCAGTGGGGAGTGAGAGTGTACCAGCCCCTCCCTCTGGGCACTCCAAAATGCACCCCTTGGAGAGAGAGTACACCCCTCAAAGTTCATTTCCCATTTCCTGTGAGTCAGGTCTCAACCTGACAGGCATCCTCTCTCACCTCCCAATCACCATTTCCTTCCACCCTTTCCCCCTTTCCCCCACTTAATCAGAATCTGCCCCCACCCCCACAGAGTGACTTCCCCTCCTGGCTCCTCATTCCCCCTGCAGTGGGGAGGGGCCAACATCCCCAGCTCCCTGCCTCCCTGCAGACCCTGTCTTCTCCCCTCTGCCCTTCAGGGAGCCCTACCCCATCCTGAAGTACTCCACCTTTCTGAGTCCCCTCTCCAACCTGGGGTTCAGTGTCCCAGGGACCCCACCCCCAGCAAACTTGGCTCCTTTCAGCTCCCCTCCCTTGCGGGCAGAGGCAGGGCGTTCAAGCCCATTTAATCTTGGCAGAATGCAATTTCCTGCTTCAGGGAGCTGGCGGGTTTAGGAGGCTTAATGAGGGGGGAGGGGGAGACAGGGAAGAAGAGAGGCTGAGACGGGGCTGGGAGATGGAGATGGAGAGTCCCTGAGAGGGGTGGTTGAGGAAGTCTCGGGGATGCGTGTCTTTGGGGGTCACCCTGGGGTCCTTGGGATCACACAGGGGTCAGCTCTTCTGTGTCAGCCTCTCACTGGTAGGTCAGGGGCCCCTGGGCGAACCTCCCAGCCCCAACTCTGTGGGGTGTGAATAGGGGGAGGGGAAGGGGCGTCAAAGTGGCTCACTGTCATCAAGAAGAGGGCCGGGGGTAATGAGATACGTGCCTGTGTGCACGGACAGGCAGGGGGACATGCACCTCTACGGCCAAGGGGGTGAGAGGTGCAGGTCCCAGTGCGAAGGCTGGGGAGGGGTCCTGGGGAAAATGTGCAGCTGGAGGTGCTGGGTGGACTGGACACTTTGGGTGGGTCCCACGGCAGGACAGAGGGTGTAGCTGTAACTGGCAGCCCCAAGCCCCCCAGGTGGTAGAATGGGCAGCCAGGCTGGAATTTCAGCCCCAAATGGGATGCTTATCTGTATGCTGCCACCAAGGAGGCAGAGACGATAAAGGACAAAGGGGCCTCTGGGCTGCTGGAAGCCCCACACCTGGTGGGGGCGGGGTAGCCAAGAGCCCTGCCTAACACCTGGAGCACAGACAGCTCCTGGGGGAGATTGGAGCCCCTGCCTACAACCCACCTGACCCCCTGACGGCACCCCTACCGCTCTATCCCCCAAACTGGCTCAGCAGATCTGTTCCCAGAGAAGCCCTTAGAGGAGCCGCAGCCCATCGGGGCAGGGAATCCCCAGGCAGGGCTTGGGGGAGGGTTAGGGATGGCCCAGGACCATCCCTGAGCCCACTCCTCCTTCTAGGAGTGCTCATTCATGGGGGCCTGGGAGAAAGGCTGGTGAGGACCCTGGGAGGCTGAAGCCCTCAGCTCCTTGGTACCTTGGGCACAGCCTTCTCCCTCAGTATCTGGGCCTCAGTATCTTATGAATTAGGGCACTAGGGCAGGGACTCTGAGGAGTAAACCCTGCCCCCTTGGAAGCAGACAGGCCCTGCCCCTGTACAAGGACCCTCCATGGGTGTGCTTGGATGGCAGCCAGGAGTGCAGAGGAGGATGCTGGGAAACTGGGGAGGGCAGAAGGTATGAGAGGGACCTGGCCTATGGCCTCGTGCCCTCGTAGAAGCCTCAAGGCGCACCCGTTTGCCACCCCTCCTGAAAGCAGCTTGTCCTACAGATGGGTTGTCCCATCCCTCGGGGAAGGATGGGTCTCATTCGACCAACAGAGTCCTCACAGAGGCAGCAAAGGCCCCCCAGGCTGGCAGTCTCCAGCAGTGCCCAGCCCCAGCCCCTGGTTCCGTGCAGCTCTGCTTCCTGGGGCCAGCTGAGCCTGCCCACCTAGCCTAGGCACCTCCGGCTGGGTCCTCCCCAAGGACTGTTCGAGGGCCCACGTCTGCCTTCACTCTGCTGCTCTGCTGCTCCGTCCAGGCCCCCCTGGCCCTTGGAAGAGCCAGCCCAGGTGAAGCTCATGTGCCACTGCCGCTGCCCTCACCCTATCACCCATCGCTAGGAGGTTGTGAAGCTGCCTGAGTCCTGCCCCAGACAGCACCACACTCTGGCCTCCAGGACACACCATGGCAGGGCATGCCTCCAGGCTCTCCCACCACTGTTCACTCATCCTTCAGGACAGGATATCTGTGATGCGTCCTTTAAGGCCCAGCAGCAGTGTCACCTCCTCTAGGCAGCCTTCCTTCAGTCACCCTCTCAGCCCCAGGGCACCCTCTGCACCCCGTCACCCGGACACCTCCCTGCTGACCTGGGGCTTCATCTTCTTGCCCTACAGCTCCTGGTGCATAATTGTTTACAGGAACTGTGGGCTGGGTGTTGGGGTCAGAGCCAGAGTGGGAGAGCCAGAGTGGGGCTGTCCTATTTAAGGAAGGAGAGAGGTGGGGGCCCAGGAGACCCAGGTGGCCTGCCATTCCCCTGACAACCCACGTGCTGGTCCCTCCTCCACCCGCCCTGGTCCTGCGGAGGACAGTAATGTTGTCTTTGCCTGTGGAGGCTCCGGTGGGTGTAACGTGTGTGCTAGGTGGGCCACCATGCAGGCCTGGATGCCCAAAGATCAGAAGCAATGGCAGAAGACAGGGTCAAGGCTGGGCAGTTGAGGACTGCCCCAACCTGAGTGGACCCTTCGGTTGGATGAGAAGATAAATGCGCCCCCACTCTCTCCTGGGGCCGCAACAGAGCAATTCCACAGTCTCTTGTGCCCCAGTGATGGCGTCTACGTCTCCCTGTCATCTACCGGGGAGGGCTGATAAGTCATAACAAAGGTGACTCAGGGAGCCTGCGCCCTACACACTAGATGCTGCTCCGGCAATCTGTGCTCGGTGGCTAGTTTGATCCTTTCGGCACCCTGTGAGGAAGAAACTTGCTCTCATTTAACAGCTGAGGAAACTGGGGGCAAGTGCATACCCATGGGAGGGTGAGAGCCTCATACAGCCAGGCCTGGAGCTGGGGCCCATCATGGGGCCTGCAGGAGGCGTCCATGCACATGCGTGCACATGCACCCCCAGCCCCAGCCTCGTGAGTCCTTCTTCTCTCTTTTTTTTCTTTCCTTCTCCTTCCCTCCTTCCTTCCTTCTTTCCTTCCTTCCTTCCTTCCTTGCTCCCTCCCTCCCTCCCTCCCTCTCTCTCTCTTTCTTTTTTTCTTTCTTTCTTTCTTTCTTTCTTTCCATGGGGTCTCGCTCTGTCGCCCAGGCTGGAGTGCAGTGGCGCAATCTTGGCTCGCTGCAAGCTCCACCTCCAGGGTTCACACCATTCTCCTGCCTCAGCCTCCAGATTAGGTGGGACCACAGGTGCCCGCCACCACGTCCAGCTAATTCTTTTGTATTTTTAGTAGAGACAGGGTTTCACTGTATTAGCCAGAATGGTCTCAATCTCCTGACCTTGTGATCCACCCATCTCGGCCTCCCAAAGTGCTGGGATTACAGGCATGAGCCACCGCGCCCGGCCCTTCCTTCCTTCCATCCTTCCTTCCTCTCTTCTTTTTCTTTCTTTCTTTTTCTTTCTTCTTTCTTTCTTTTTCTTTCTTCTTTCTTTCTTTCTTTCTTTTCTTTCTCTCTCTTCCCTCATTCCTTCCCTCCCTCCTTCCTTCCTTGTTTTCTTTCCTTTTCTTTTCTTTCTTTCTTTCTTTCTTTCTTTCTTTCTTTCTTTCTTTCTTTCTGTCTCTCTCTCTCCCTTCCTTCCTTCCTCTTTCTTTTTTCTTTTTTTTTTTGACAGAGTCTCACTCTCTCGCTCAAGCTGGAGTGCACTGGGCTCACTGCAACCTCTGCCTCCCAGGTTCAAGCAATTCTCCTGCCTCAGCCTCCCGAGTAGCTGAGACTACAGGCGTGCGCCACCAAGCCCAGCTAATTTTTGTATTTTTAGTAGAGACAGGGTTTCACCATGTTGGCCAGGCTGCTCTTGAACTCCTGACCTCAGGTGATCCACCTGCCTCGGCCACCCAGAGTGCTGGGATTACAGGCGTGAGCCACTGCGTCTGGTCTCTCTCTTTCTCTTTCTGTCTCTTTCTTTTTCTTTCTTTCTTTCTTTGTCTCTCTCCTTCCTTCTTTCCTTCCTTCCTTCCTCCCTCCCTCTCTTCCTTACTTTCTCTCTCTTTCTTTCTTTCCTTTCTTCCTTCCTTCCTTCCTTTCTTTCTCTCTTTCTCTCTTTCTTCTTTCTTTCATTTTTGAGAAGGATTCTTGCTCTGTCCCTAGGCTGGAGTGCAGTGGTGCAATCTCGGCTCACTGCAACCTCTGCCTCCCGGCTTCAAGCAATTCTCCTGCCTCAGGCTTCCAAGTAACTGAGACTACAGGTGCCCACCACCACACTCAACTAATTTTTGTATTTTTACTAGAGACAGGGTTTCACCATGTTGGCCAGGCTGGTCTTGAACTCCTGACCTCAAGTGATCTGCCCACTTCTGCCTCCCAAAGTGCTGGGATTACAGGTGTGAGCCACCACGCCCAGCCCCAGCCTCATGATTCTGATGTTTGGGTAGGTCGAGTAAGGCCTGGTGAGGTCTGAAGAGCCCTGTGGACAGCAAGGCCAGAGCTGCAGGGCTTCCACCTCTGCCCAGGCTCCACACTTCTTTTTCTTTTTCTTTTTTTGAGATGGAGTCTCGCTCTGTCTCCCAGGCTGGAATGCAGTGGCGCCATCTTGGCTCACTGCAAGCTCCGCCTCCTGGGTTCACGCCATTCTCCTGCCTCAGCCTCCCGAGCAGGTGGGACCACAGGCGCCCGCCACCACGCCCGGCTAATTTTTTTGTATTTTTAGTAGAGACAGGGTTTCACCGTGTAAGCCAGGATGATCTCGATCTCCTGACCTCATGATCCACCCGCCTTGGCCTCCCAAAGTGCCGGGATTACAGGCATGAGCCACCGTGCCCGGACTTCTTTTTTTTTTTTTAAGACGGAGTCTCACTCTGTCACCAGGATGGAGTGCAGTGGCGTGATCTCGTCTCACTGCAACCTCCACCTCCTGGGTTCAAGCGATTCTCCTGCCTCTGCCTCAGCCTCCCAAGTAGCTGGGACTACAGGCATGTGCCACCACACCCAGCTAATGTTTTGTATTTTTAGTAGAGATGGAGTTTCACCATGTTGGCCAAGATGGTCTCAATCTCTTGACCTCATGATCCACCTGCCTTGGCCTCCCAAAGTGCTGGGATTACAGACATGAGCCACCATGCCCGGCTTAGGCTCCACACTTCTGAGAGGCTCAGGTTTCCCTAGATGCCAGGCCCTTTTCTGCCTGGAGTCTATCTCCCAGCCCTTACAGGACCTCTCCAAGGTGTGGGGTCTGGGTGGAGCCCGGGTCCTTAGGCATTCAAATTCCCCTAACTCTAGGCCATCAAAATCTCCCCTTCTGCCTTTCTGAGGTGGCTCCCATCTCTCAGCTCTAGGCCTGTAGGCCTTGCCTACCACTATTCCAAGACAATTTTGTTGAAATTTCAGGCCAAATTGGGGTGGAGAAATCAGTCTCTGTGGCTGGTGCCAACACAGGGTTGGGAGGACATGAGGTTGCAGAATGAATGAATGACATCTTTTTTTTTTTTTTTTTTTTTGAGATGGAGTTTCCCTCTTTTTGCCCAGGCTGGAGTGCAGTGGTGCAATCTCAGTTCACCACAACTTCCGCCTCCCGGGTTCAAGAGATTCTCCTGTCTCAGCCTCCCGAGTAGCTGGGATTATAGGCATGTGCCACCACGCCCAGCTAATATTTGTATTTTTAATAGAGACGGGGTTTCTCCATGTTGGCCAAGCTGGTCTCGAACTCCCGACCTCAGGTGATCTGCCACCTCAGCCTCCCAAAGTGCTGGGATTACAGGCGTGAGCCACCACACCCAGCATGAATGAATGACATATGACCAAGACACAGTGCATTTGAACCAGGCCAGAAGGACCAGGAGAACCCCGCTAGGGAGACAGGGAAAGGCATTCCTGGTGGGAGAATAGCCTAGGCAAAGGCTTGAGGGCAACATGATAGAAGACATGATGAGGGGTGGCCCTTCAGAAACCATAGAGTGACCTGAGGGCCTCCAGGCCCTGAGGTTTGCCTGGGAGCCCCTCCAGAGATCCCCCTGCTGCCTCTGCCTCGGCCACAAAGCAGGCCAACTGTGCTTTGCTTGTTCTGACTCCGACCTTCCACGCAGACCTTTCAGGGCCCCTGTCTCCCTATCTGTCAAGTGGTATCTTTGTCTGCAGTCTGGCCTGTACCGGGTGAGGGTCTCTGCCTGGGAAGATGTGGAGGCCTCATCCTGGGCCTGTGGGGACAGCATGGGTAGGGTTGGGTTCTCTAGAGTCTAGGACCCACAGCCACGCAGTCCCATCTTTCTTGGCGGGGGGTGTCCTTGATCAGTAGGTGACAAAGGGAGCAGGAACTGACACCTGTCCAGACAGCTGGGAGCTCCAAGATTCCCCCCACAATAAGCCCCATTGTGAGAAAACTCTAGGAGCAGCTAGGGGGATGTTCAGGGATTCAACACAGAATTTCCTCTAAACTCTGGCTGGTGGCAGGGCTCACATGTCTTGTGTCCCCACCTCAGCCCAGCCCACATGTTTTCCTCTTCCCTACCTGAAAGCCACAGGGTGGTAAGGGTCCAGCCTGGACACCGAGCCAGAGATCTAAGCAGGCCAAGGCCCCAGCACTGGGTCCCCTCTCTGAGCAACTAAAACTCCAGCAAGAAACACCCATGTTGTTGAGAGAATAGGCCCCAGCCAGCACTACCCGGCCCCTCTCTGGAGAACTGGGCCCCCATAGCATAGCCTAGGCCCAACCAGACCCCTGGCTGGGAAACGTGGGTTTCCTGAGGCTATGGTCAACCTAGGGCCTTGGGGTGCTGCCTAAGGTCCCATCTTTGGCCCCCCCAGCAGGTTATGACCCCTCTTGGTCTGGGGTCCATATGTCCTTGGCTATAGAGGGTACTGACCGCTGGGCACACTCAGCTGGTGGGGCAGCTGGGGCAAGGGAAGGGTGAAGCCTCAGGCAGTCCAGGGAGGGAAGCTGGGGCTGAGCAGGTGATCTGTGGGACCTGTCCCTCAGGGGAATCTGGGAGTGGCAGACCAACCCTGGCCTGGCTCCACCCTCAAATCCAAGCACTGAGACTGGGGGGTTAACACAGCGGGGGTGAATTTCCTCCTGGTTCCAGCCAGTCAGATTTCCACATGCCTCCCCTTCCCTGGGCAGGAGCCGGGCGCACAGAGAGAAGAGGAGCACTGAGGACTGCAGAGGGGAGTGGGGTGGGAAGAGGCTAGGCAACCCGCGGAGGAAGATGGTCCTGGGGGTGCTTTAAAAAAAGACAAGGCGGCCGGTGCAGTGGCTCATGCCTGTAATCCCAGCACTTTGGGAGGCCGAGGTGACAGATCACTTGAGGTCAGGAGTTCTAGACCAGCCTGGCCAACATGGCAAAAATCCATCTCTACTAAAAATACAAAAAATTATCTGGGCGTGGTGACACACACCTGTAATCCCAGCTATTCAGGAGGCAGAGGCAGGAGAATCGCTTGAACCCAGGAGGCAGAGGTTGCAGTGAGCCGAGATCACACCACTGCACTCCAGCCTGGGCGACAGAGCGAGACTACGTCTCAAAGACAAAAGAAAAGAGGCTGGGCGCAGTGGCTCATGCCTGTAATCCCAGCACTTTGGGAGGCCAAGCAGGTGGATCACGAGTTTAGGAGTTCAAGACCAGCCTGACCAACATGGTGAAAACTGGTCTCTACTAAAAATACAAAAATTATCTGGGCTTGGTGGCGTGCACCTGTAATTCCAGCTACTCGGGAGGCTGAGGCAGGAGAATCGCTTGAACCTGGGAGGCGGAGGTTGCAGTGAGCCGAGATCGTGCCATTGCACTCCAGCATGGATGACAGAGCGAGACTCTGTCTCAGAAAAAAAAAAAAAAGAAAGAAAGAAAGAAAAAAGAAAAGACAAGGCAGAGGGGCACAGGCCTCAGTTTCCCCTCAGGGACTATGAGGACTCCAAATGTCAGTGGTAGAGGGAGGGTGGTTGTCTCCCTCTGTAGCAGCATTGCCCCTCTGTGCCCTCTACTGGTGTCCTGGGTAACCTGGACCTGTCAAGGGCTGGGCCAGCCAGGGCTGCTGCTTGAGCCCAGAGACTTCCCTGCGAGCTGTGACCATGACTAAGGTAGGGCAGGGGGTGGTACACAGTAGGTGCACAGGCAGGTTGTGGCCACATGAATGCATTCCTCTGGGTGGCAGGAACTAGGTTTCCCTGATTTAGTCTGTGGATGCTGGAGCCAGGCAGGACAGAGTGTGAAGTCTGGATTTATGACCTCTCCCCATGCAGCCCTCCGCAATCCCTTCCTCACCCCTCCTCTGTCTCTTATCCCTCCATCTAGGTTGGTCCCTGCTCCTTCTGGCAGCAAACATGGGCTTTGCAGAAACTTGTCCTGGGATTAAATCTTAAACTGCTGTCTCAGGAGAGTGGGGGAGGGAGACCTACCCAGTGAGCCATGTGTCTGGGGTATATAGAAGCCGGGGAGGAGGCCTCTCTCCCCACCTCAAAACTCCAGATCAGGCCCAATGGATGGGCTTCTAGGGAAGGAGGAGGGAACCTGGCCAAGTCTGAAGGTACCCGGCAGCAGCCCCCGTGCTCTAGGCAGACCCTGTTCTTTCTCTCCTGGATATTCACAGCCTCCTCTCTGGCACCCCAGTAGCCAGGGGGATGTTTTAAAACCTGAAATCTGACTATGGCATATGCCCCATCACCCTCAAGTCAGCCGTTGTCCTTTATTCTTTCAGAGGTTGCAGTCCAACATTCAAGGGGGTCCTAGCCTGGAATCCCCAATAAGGTCATCCAGGCCCTTACTCCTCAAGGTCTCGGCATTCCCCTCTATTAAATGGGTACACAATGATGTTCCAGTCAAGGTGAGCCTGAGGCCTAATTCTTCGCGGGAGTTCACAGATAGCACCGGTGAAGCCTCCAATCCCTGGGTGAAGGGTCAGAAGTCAGGATTGGCCAAGGCCCCCACTCTGCCCAGTCACGTTTGAAAATCAAATCCTAACAGCACAAGAAGGCACCGAAACCCCAGGATAGGAGCACAGACTTGGCCTCACTGACCTACCAACCACAACACAGGGAGCAAAAGGGTTCATCTTTCTAGATGGAGTGCTCAGGAGCAAGCACCAGGCTGGCCAGGGCAGGCCTGGCTCCCCACCCACCTGGTACTGGCCCTGCTTCCCCAACCCTCCTCCAAGGCACTGAAGCCATGTGCTGTAAAGAGGAGATTCTCTGGAGGGAGCACTCCTCATTGGCCAGTCCGGGCACTGCTGTGCACAGAGGTCTTGCTGGTGAAGCCTCTCCAGTTCCTGGCTGGAGGAAGCTGGAGACCAAATAGGATGCTCTGGCCTCAGATCTCTGGTCTGAGATATGAGACAGTGATCTCATATCGCAACTCCTCCTTGGGCATGACCTGGAACCAGGCTTAGGGAGGAGGACCAGGATGACAGGGTGCCCAGTGTCTGCCCACCAGCCCCCCCTCCTTTTGAGGGGCTGCTTTCATCTGGGCCCCACTCCTCTGCTGGGAGCAAGGAACTAGGGGAGGCCACGCCACCGCTGTCATGGAAGGGACATTCCCCAGTCATTTGGAACTAAGTAAGTCCAGATCTCAGCTTGCAGTCCTGGCTGCAGGACCCTCCTCGGGCCCCCCTCCCCCAGGACTGTGGCCACACAGACACATGGAGGGAGTGTGCGCAGCAGATGCAGGCCTGGGAGGCAGCCAGAAACCTCCCAAGATCAGAGCCTGTCACCGCAGCTTTGTCAGGGAGCTGCCTAGGTCTCTCCTAGTCCTGAGGAACACCTCTGCCTAAGGGACTATGCCTGTCCCTGGAGAGCTCACGGTTAAAGCTGCAATGCCTTTTAAGTTAAAGCAGAGTCTATCTTGAGTCCTTGATGCTGCAACTTAAGACCCTCTCTCCTCCATCCACCTCTTCAGCAGTGTGGGGAAACAGCAAATGGGCATCTCTCCATGCCCCATTCTCAGCTCCAGGTAAGGGTGAGAGGGGAAAGCAGCTCACAGCCCCATCGAGTTATTCATTCAATACCTACCACGTGTCTGTCTCCATTCTGGGTGCTGGAGGAGGAGCAATAGATAGACAACAATCTCTGCATTCTTGGTTGGCAGCTTAGCATGAAAATAAGTAAATTATATCGTATGTTGGAATAAGAAAAAGAGAGGGAAGGTAAGGGAAGAAGAGAGGGAAGGTAAGTGGAGATGCAGAATGCTGGAGATGGTGGTGGTCAGGATGGGCATCACTGAGGAGGTAATATCTGAGCAAAGGCCTGAAGGAGGTGAGGGAGAAGCCATGGAGGTGTCTGGGATGGGCATCCAGGCCAAGGGAACGGTTGCTGCAGGGCCCTGAGGCTGGAGTGTGCCTGGAGTGGGAGGAAGAGGGAGGAGGACACAAGTCAGAGAGGTGGGGAAGAGGTGTGCAGGGTGAAGGGGTGTTGATGACCACTCCAAGGATTTGGCTTTGTTTTCTGTTTTAGTTTTTGGTCAAGATGGAGTCTCACTCTGTGGCCCAGGCTGGAGTGCAGTGGTGCAATCACGGCTCACTGCAGCCTCAACCTCCTAGGCTCAAGCAATCCTCCCGCCTCAGCCTCCAGAGTAGCAGGGGCCACAGGCACATACCACCACACCCAGCTAGATTTTTGTAGGTTTTTTTTTTTTTTTTGTGACAGAGTCTTGCTCTGTAGCCCAGGCTGCAGTGCAGTGGCGCAGTCTTGGCTCAATGCAATCCCCGCCTCGCGGGTTCAAGCAATTCTCCTTCCTCGGCCTCCTGAGTAACTGGGATTGATTACAGGCGCAGGCCACCACATCTGGCTAATTTTTGTACTTTTTGGTAGAGATGGGGTTTCACCATATTGGCCCGGCTGGTCTTGAATTCCCGACCTCAAGTGATCTGCCCACCTCGGCCTCCCGAAGTGCTGGGATTACAGGCGTGAGCCATCGTGCATGGCCCAAGGATTTGGCTTTGACTCTCAATAAAGTAGGAGCCATGGAGAGCGATGAGTGAGAGAGGCGGGACCTGGCTTCCATCTTAACGAGGCTCCTCTGCTGGCCCAGGAGGCGAAAAGTGGCCACCTGATATTTCATGTGTTCTGAGGGTGAAATTTAACGTATTTGCTTGGCCAGGTGTGGAGGCTCATGCCTGTAATCCCAGCACTTTGGGAGGCTAAAGCAGGCAGATCACGAGGTCAGGAGATTTAGACCATCCTGGCCAACACAGGGAAACCCTGTCTCTACTAAAAATACAAAAAATTAGTCGGGTGTGGTGGCGGGCGCCTGTAGTCCCAGCTACTCGGGAGGCTGAGGCAGGAGAATGGTGTGAGCCCAGGAGGCAGAGCTTGCAGTGAGCTGAGATCGTGCCACTGCACTCCAGCCTGGGCCACAGAGTGAGACTCCATCTCAAAAAAAAAAAACCAAACAAACAAAAAAGTATTTGCTGATGGTTTGGGTGTAGATGAGAAAGAAAGGGTTCAGGCTGAAAGGACAGAGCCGCCCCTGCTGAGCTGAAGAAAGCTGAGAAGTTGCTAGTGTGGGCCCCCTGTTTGGGTTCCTGATGCAATGTTTATTCCACACAGGGAGGGGCTCCTCAGTCAAGTCCCCTCCCCCTTCACCCTTACCACTTTCATGGCTGGGGCTGCCTGATCATTACTGACCCAGGGCCTAGGTACCCAGAGACAAAACCCCTGCCAGTGCTTCCACCCAGACTCTTACTGGGGAGCCCTCGCCAGAACCAGATACAGACTGAGCTCTAGGCCCAGGACTGGGCTCCCCAGTGGGGGCTGGGTAGGCCCAAGGGAGTGAGGGATGGCTGTCTGGGCTCTGTCTAAACAGGATGTACTCAGGCTGGCCAACGGTCACAGGTCACTTCGAATCCAGCCGAGCTTAGGCCCACTCAACCCCACCTCTCTTACTATCCAACATACACACAGACACACACATGCATAGACACACAGAATGAAGGGTGTGGGGTAACAGGCAAGGATCTCAGTGCCCCGTGTCCCTTTCTCGCTCTGGACTCACATGGAAGCAGTTGCTGATAGATTCATGTGGGGCCCACTGGGAGAACACAGAAGGGTCTGGGTCCCCAGGGCAGGATCTTTTAATGTCTGAAAAGGGGTGTAGGACCTGCAGGGGCCCAGTGAAGCTCCTGACCCAGCCATGAGGACTGGCTTCCTAGGAGATGATGCCTGTCTGGATCTAGAAGGAGACAAGAAAGACATTCCAGGTACAGGGGAACAGCATGTGCCAAGGCCCAGAGGTGAGAGTCTAGAGCTCCTGGAAAAGGCTCGGGATGCCTGAGGGGCCCAGTGCAGAAGGATGAAGAAGGGATACTGAGCCTGTGCTGAAAAGGGCAGTGTTTATTGGTGAAAGAGGCAGCTAAGGGCCCACGTCTAGAGGAAACACAGGGTTTAGACTGGTGCTGAAGTCCGGGAAGAACATTTGTGGTAGAGGGAACAACAGCAGAGACGGCTTGGAGGCAGCTTTAGGGAGAGGCCAGGTCATTCCAGCTTTTGATCGGCTCAGAGCCAGCCCCTGGGGCAGGCTGGGCAGGAGAAGGCTGCACACGGAACCTCAGTGAGTCCCCATGGCCTGCCTCCTCCTGGTGCCACCCAACCGCCTGCCCCGAGCCCCCTCTCCAGCCCCCTTCCCAACACTCCCCCTCCCTGGGATCCAGTTCCTAGTGGGTGGGGGCTGGGCCAGAGAGCAGGCAACAGCGCCTGGGGCAGGGGAGATGAGAAAACCAGAAAGCGAGGAAACCTGAGCCAGCGACGCTGGGGCTGGGCGGGCCGGGGCCTGCTTGCCCTGCCAGGCCCAGGGAACAAGTTCCCCCCTAAGACTAGGGCAGGGGAGGAGGTGAGGGAGTGCTGGTGTGGCTGCCGCCCTCATCCAATGGGGATGGAGGGTCTCTGAGGCCCAGGCCCTCCAAGTCCAGCCTTCGTGTGCAGAGGCCAGGAGGGCAGGCCCCAGTGCACCTCCAGGCTTCCCTCTCCCCACCTGAGGTGAGCCACGGGGAGGCAGACAACAGGGACCTGCAGCAGGAGGCCGGAGGCTGCAGTTCAGTTCCCATGCATCCTGGAAGAGCCAAAAGGAAGAGAAACAGGCACAACCACCGCCAGAAACAAAGTCCAGGCCAGGGTGAAGGGCAGGGTGTATTTGCGGGAGGAAAGCTTCAAGGTTTTCCTGCCCGTTGCTGGCACCATCATCCAGGTGGGGGCTGGGCCAATGACTTCCCTGTTGTAACCCTCACTGTTGGCTCGGTCACCCCTCACAAGCTCCAGGACCTCAAGACTATGAAGTCCACCCTGAAGCTCAGCCAGGTCCACCCAGATCCGAGTGCAGTGTATCCCACGCAGCCGGGGCACACCTGGGAAGGAGGAGGAGGCTGCCCCAGGAGGGTATTCCAGAGGTGGATTCAGTGCAGGAGCTGGACCTGGCCTAACCAGCTGTGTCTGCACACACCCCTTCACCTGCGTGACCAGACTAGCACCAGGGCGGGCCATGGGGGAGGCTGAATGAAACTTAGGCCTAAGATCTGAGTGTCCTACCCAACAGGAGGGAGGTCAGGCCAGTAGGAAGCCAGCCTGTCTCTCTCCCTTCAGATGACGCCACAGGGCATCCTGGGTGGTTCTCAGGTGGAGTTAGAACAGCAGAGTGGCTTCTGGAGAGGAGGACAGAAGGATTGTGGGTGTCAAGGAGAGCACAGGGTGGGGGGCAGCCAGTCCAGAGGAGCTGAGAGTAGGGCAGGGAGTTGACTCCCTGAGTCTTGGCTTCTTGGCTGTGTTCCCTCTCCGATCTGGTGCTGCAGGGATTTGCTCTCTTATTTTTGCTCTCTTATTCACATGATAAAGATGCGTGGAGTTCCAGAAGTGCCCTGTGGGACTCCAGCAGGCATCCAGCTCCTGCGTGCCTATCAGGGTTGCAGGCCCTTGGCTCCATGTGGGCCCTGCAGCCTGGCCTTCCTGTCCTGGAGCTTTCCCACAGCCACTGAAAATGCCTTCTCCAGGCACCACAGCCTGGTGGCTCCAGGCCTCCCCCAACCCTCCCTACCTCCCCACTCTCCTCCCTCATGCTCAACTGTACAATGGGGACAACAGGGCCTGCTTCTCAGCCCAATTGTGAAGCACCTGGGGGTGAATAACCGCAAAACTTCCTGGCATGCAATGCCTCCCAACCTGGTATCCAGAGCTGGTTTTGAGGGGTCTGTGGACCTCTGAAATTGAAGACAAAATTGTGAAAAGCTATACAATATTCCCCTGAATAATATAATATACCTCGGAGATATGGCGGGTTTGGTTCCAGACCACCACAATAAAGCTAACATTGTAATAAAGCAACTCACAAATTTTTTTGGTTTCCCAGTGCATATAAAAGTCATGTTTACACTATACTGTAGTCTGTTAAGTGTGTGATAGCATTATGTCTAAAAAATGTACATATCTTAATTAAAAAATACTTTATTGCTAAAAAATGCTAATGAAGTGAGCACATGCTGTTGGAAAAATGGTGCTGATAGACTTGCTCGACACAGAGTTGCAACAAACCTTCAACTTCAGAAAACACAATATCTGCAAAACGCAATAAACCACAATAAAATGAGGTCTGCCGATATGTATATGCACACACACACACAAACTATAACAACATATTATGATGATACAAAATGCTCACCCCAGCACTGACACAGAGCAAGGGCTCAGTGTGGATTCACTGCTGCAATAACAATTTTTTTTGTATGATTATTCAGCCCTCTCGAATTGCTTAGGAAGGAATTGGCATTCCACCCCATGTAGCCAGGCTCAATTCTAGCTCTTTGCCCTCTTCCTGGCCCCCTTCCCTGGTCTCCCTGCCATTGAAGGCCTCTGTGTGCTGGGCCTATTCTGTGTGTCTGAGTGGAGCTTCATGAACAGATCAGTTGAGCCTCTTTCCTTCCCAACCCAGTACACTGGAGTCTCTGGCAAGTCCTGACAGCTCTTCCGTGGTAACCAGCATGATGCTAATGATGCTGGAGATAGTGATAGAAGTGGCCAGGCTATAAGGAGACCATGGAGGCTGTGAGAGGATGGAAGGGATGGTGTTGGAAGCCATAGAGATGGTGGCTTAAGCTGTATTGGTGATGGTGGTGCAGTGGTGGTGACCTCAGGGGTGACCCTCATACAGATGAGTGGGGATGAGGAGAGATGGATTGTCACAGTGTTTTCAATGAGGCGTGACAAAGGGGAGAGGTGCAGGTGCTGTCACAGCAGCTCCATAACTCCAGGATGGTGTTTGCTCACCTCAAATGCCCTGCCTGTGCTTGGAGCATGAGGCAGCACTCTAAGTCCTGAGTCAGGAGACCCTCAGCAGGATCCCTAGTGCCCAGCTCCACCTTGCACTTGGAGTCAACCAGTCAATGGGTCAGAGGGAGAGAGGTCTTTTCCTGGAGGTCTTGCTAGCCAGGGAGAGAAGTGGGAGGAGGAAGAAGGCGGAGAGGAGGAGTGAGAAGAAAAAGAGAAAGGAGGAAGAGGGTAAAGAGCAGGAAGAAGGAGGAGGAAGAAGAGAAGGAAATGCATGGGGTGGAGGAAGAGAAGGGAGAGGAGGAGAGGGCAGAGAAGGAAAAATCCAGGAGAAGAGAGGAGAAGGAGGAAAAGGAGGGAGATGGAAAAGAGGGAGAAGAGGAGAGAGGAAGAGGGAGAAGAGAGGGGAGAAGGAAGGAGAGGCAGAGGGAGAAGAGGAGAAAGGAAAGAGGAGAAAGAGGAGGGCACAGAAGACAGAACAGGAAGAGGATGAAGGAGAGGACAAAGGGCCAACGCCCCTGGGAGCCTCCGCAGGGTGCCCGGGGCAGGGCTGAGAAGTGGTCCTGGTGGTGAGGCCATGACCTTGGAAAGTTGGGTTGGGCAGAGGGTCCCTTCCTGGGGTCACGGTAGGCCCTTCTCAGTTGCTGAGCCATTGGCTCATCACCAGGCCATTTGAAAGCAAATGTCCCCTTGAGGAGAGAAGGTGCTAGCTGATCTGGCCTCTCTAAGGTATGGAACTATAAGGAGAGTCTGTGGGAGCTGCTGGCCTGAAATAAGGGCTGGCGATTGAGGCGATCACGGGGAGTCGTTGAATGGCTGGAGAGAGCTGTGTGGCTGGGCTGCCCCCGACCTGGCCTAGGCTGGAGGCTGAGCCCGCGGGAAGGTCCGGCGGTGCCAGCCGTCCCAGGGGCTGCACCGCCACCTGCTGAGCAGCCCGGGCAGTCAGGGGTCCTGCGCCGCGGGGCCCACGCACGGGACCAGGGGCACGGCCGGCGGCGAGTGGGAATGAGGGACGCGGAAGGGGGTGCTCAGGTGAGCGCAGGCTCGTTGCTCCCTGGCGCTGCAGCCCTTCTCGCCAGGGAGTTGAATGCCCGGGTAAACACCAGGCGCGATGTGTGCGGTGTATTCACAGAGAGACAAAGCCAGGGCGGGGCGGGGGCGCCGCCCGCGAAGCGGGGGCGGGGGCGAGGGGTGCAGACTAGTCTCCCCCGGCGCGGGGTGCCCACCGCCTGGGAACCCTGAGCCCGGCCCACGGACAGGTGGAGCGGGGGCGGGGCGGTGGCTGGGCGGGTCCCGCCCCGGGGGTGGGGCTGGGCGGGCCGGGCGGGGCGGGGCTGCGCTATGCAAATGTCGCCCACGGGCGGCCAATTGCCGGCGCTCCCCGCGCGGCTCTGAGCGCCCCGTCCCGCCGGCGGCCGCGAGACCAGAGCGAGCGAACGAACCGCGGCGGTCCGGAGAGCCCCGAGCGCAGCGCAGGACCTGGGTACGCCGCGAGGAACCGTGCAGCCCAGCGCGGCCGCCCGGCCCGGGTCCAGCAGCCAGGAGAGCGCAGCGCTTCGAAGCCGAGTGCGCGCCACCGCCCGCGCCCCGCGCTGGGGAATGCGCCCTCGGCGCGCCGGCCAGGGGGCGCCCGCAGCCCACCCCAGGGGAGGCGGCCCCGAGCGCCCCTGAGCCTTCCCATGGCCCGGGCTGGGGCCCGGGCCCTCGGCTGCTGACGCGCCCGAAGCCCGCGGAACCGGTTAAGCCGCGGCCGCGGCGCCGATCCCGGCTGAGGCGCAGCGGCGAGAGGTCGCGGGCAGGGCCATGGCCCCGGGGGGCCGCTAGCGCGGACCGGCCCAACGGGAGCCGCTCCGTGCCGCCGCCGCCGCCCGGGCGCCCAGGCCCCGCCGCTGCGGAAGAGGTGAGTGCAGCGGGAACCGGGAGGGAGCGGGCAGGCGGCCGGGCCACCCCGCGACCCCTCTGGGACCCGCGGCACTGCAACTCCGCAGAAGTGTCCGGGGAGCGGGTCTCGTCGAGCCGGGGGGCTGCCCGCGGACATAGGGGCAACAAGGCTGGGGTGGGATTCTTACCTGTCCTGGAGGCCCGGACCCCTTACCTACGGGGCGGCGTATGGATGTGTGGATGATGTGGCCTGCGGGGTCACCCATGTGCAAAGCAACTTTTTCCTGCAAGGTTCTGGGTGGGTGCTCTCATACACCCCCACCTTCACGCTTCTGGAGCGGGAGTTCCGATCCCCCTTCTGCCTCAGCTCTCTCTCCCATTAACGCCCGAGGCAGCGCTCTTCCCCGTAGATGCGCTTGCCCTACCTCAGTGTCTCTACTTGAGGACTGGCCAGCCCGAAGGGAAGCGGTATACTGGCAGTCCCCACGTGGGGGGTCTCCCACATCAGCAGAGTGGGAGGACCTCCAGTCCTGAGGCATTTCTCCCAGCATTGTGCCAGCCCCTTGACCCCCAGCTGCCACCTTGGGTTTGCTTTTACAGCAGAGTCCTGCCTGGATTAGGGGCACGGCTGTATGTAGTGTGTAGGTGAGCTTGGAGAGCCTGCGGTCAATCCCTAGTTTGAACCAGGGGTCCCAGTGGTGAAGTGGGCAGGGGACAGCGGGGGCTTGGCGGGGTTGCCCCCAGCAGATGGGACAGGAGGGTATCAAAGTTGGCCTAGGAATGAGGCAGTGCTGGCGGGAGTTGGCTGGAGCTGGGGCTGGGGGCCCCACTGGATAAATAACTCCTAATTTTTGAGATAGCTGTGTTTTGCCACCAGAACATTACTGCTTGGGAGAGGTAAGGGAGACGCCAACCAAAGACACCAGTATGTCCACCCTGAAGCTGGGCCAGGTTGGGGACCTCTGTCCTCCTGAATTCACCCAGATAGTCTCCCAGTAGTTATCCTAGTTGCAGAGAAGGGAAAACTGCACCCAGGGGTTGGGAGCCCCATCTCAGCCCAGGGAGTTGGATGGAGCTGAGGCCTCTTCCCAGGCTACCCAAGGGGTGTGCCAGGACCCCGTAGGGTATAGTGTCTAGGCAGGCGGGGGGCACAGGCATGCCTACTCCTGCTGCTCCCCCTTCAGCTCCGAAGGAGCCAGGCCCGGAAGTGGGGAGGTGGGGGCCGGAGAGAAAGCAGGGGCCAGAGAGAAGGCGGCAGCCCACCCAGCCTCAGCCCCTCGCTGCTCAGCATACCTTGGGGGGAGGATGGAGCCAGGCTCAGGTGACCTTGACTGGGAAACCCTGGCCACAAAAGGGGGGTTTCAGTCCCAGCTATGCTGGGGTGGCTCTGCTTCCTGGTCCTTGAGGTGTTGGGGGATGGGGAAGCTGAGGAGCCAAGAAGGAGACAGAGCTCTTGTTGAAGTGGGGGAGGGAATCTGAGGGGCTGGGTAGCGGGTGGGGTGCTGTTGATAATCTCCCCATGTTCCCCTACGGCCCCTGTTCCTGCCTCCCTTCCATCCAGGCAGTCCTCAGCTCGGAGGAGCCAACCTCCCTTCCTGGAGACAGGCTGTCCACCCCCACCCCCAACTCCAAGCCTGGGCGGTCTGGATCCGGCTGTACAGTTTGGCCACCTGGCCCCCTGTCCCATCCCAGGTGCCTCCGGACTCCTTCCTCTGGCCGCCTCTTCCCTGCACCCCTTGCCAGCCCCGGCTCCTCGTTTCTTTGTTCAAGCGTCTCTCCTCCGTCCCTCCCTCTCTCCTCCCTCTCTCCTCCTCCCTCCCGCCTGCCTCCCTCCCTTGCTCCCTCCCACCAGCCTTCCTTCCCTCCTTCTCTGCTTTCTTCCTGGTGGGCTCCCAGGTGGCGGTGGCTGTTCTTCCTCTGTCCACTGACCTGGGCTTGGTGTGACTTGGGGGCTTTTCTGGGGCTGGGGCTGGGTGACAGGCATCTCGGGACTGGCAGAGGGGAAGGCACTGTGGGTTTGCCCTTTCTTTCCCTCTCTGTCCTTCTTCTCCTTTTCTTCCTTCCCTCTCCTTCTTTCCCCCACCTGCCAGGCTGTCCAAGAGGGGACCTGGACTTGAGACTGAGGCCCCAGCAAACTTGAGCCCCTCCCCATTCACCTCTTTAAAAGGCCAAAGCATTTGGATGGGAAGTCCCTGTAGGGACCCAGTAGAAAGACTCCCCACCTCTCTGGACACATTGGGTGACTCCAACCCTGTCCTTGGTGACACTGACTTTGTCACCATGAACATGGATGAAGGAAAAAATGAGGTCATGGGGAGGGGGGAGGCGGGAGGCAGGTTGACAGGAGCCCCCGTTACATAGTATCGAAGCTCTCTGAGGGACTCAGACGGCATCTTGCGCCAGGACAGTATCTCCCAGCTCCCCTGAGCCCCACCCCACTAGCAGGTCAAGTTCTTGAGCAAACTCATGCTTGTAAGGACGTGTGTGGGCCTGCAAGTGTGAACGTGTGCATATCCACAGCTGTTATCAGGGGCCTCCCAGGTGCACCTTGAGGGTGACGGTGGCTGCACAGCCATTTCTCCCACCTGCCCCCACTTCTCAGAGCCTGCCATTCAGTCAGCACTAGCTTTGTGCCTCCCAGACCTGAGGAGGGGCTGGTTCTGATTCCCCCATCCCCCAGCTAGCCTCCCCAGGAGGCAGCATCTATGACAGGGGATCTGGAAGGACCATGAGCGGTGTGCCAGGCCCTCGGGAGAGAACATTCACACAGAGGGTACCGCGTAAGGAGTGGGCCAAGAGGCTGAAGCTGCACTTCCTGTCTGAGGAGCCATGAGTGGTTTGCCTTGGCAGGAGAGGCCAGGGCTGGGGGAGGTGGGTCTAGGGATGTCATCAGGGTCTAATGAGTGGGGCCTAAGAGTCAGACTGGAGCCTGGGCTTTGCCTCAGCATTGAGCAGCTATGGCAGGGGAGTCCCAGGCCATAGTACTGCCAACTCCCATCCCAGCATCCTAGAGATGGGCCTGGGGTCCTGCCTGCCACGGAAGAAGGGAGTACACAGGGCAGATCTGGGGGATGGGGCTCACATTTTCAGTCTCGATGCCCCCACCCGCAGTGCATCCGGTTGGGGGTGGTGGTAGGAGTTGGCGCTGGTTTGTGCCGGGAGGGAGCAATATGTTCTGACAACTGGTGCTGGGCTGCGTTTACCCAACAGCCAGCCTGCCTGGGGAGACAATATTTGAAAAACACAGTATTGAAACTTGGACCTGCTGGGGCTATGGGGGATTCTGAAGGTGGCAATGCCGCTGGCCCAGATCCAGCCCCAGGCCCACTGGCCATCCTAGCTTCCCTTCTTTGCCCTCTAGAGGCGGAGCTGGAAGTTTTCCCTGGCAGGAAGTCCTTCTGCCTGTCTGACCTGGGTCTCTCCTGCTTTGATTTTAGTACAAGTGGACTCTGCCATTCTCTGCCTTTCCTTTTCTGACTGGTGCTCCCTCTCTTCCATCTTGGGCTGTCTGCATGTGTCTCATTCCCCCACTCTCTCCTGTGCCTCCCCTCTACCGTAATAATCAGGTCCAGGTTTCTCTGTACTGGGAGAAGACCTGTGGCTGGAGCAGGCAGGGATGCACCCTATCTGTTCCCCATTCCTCCAGGTGGGAGGGAGAAGGAGTAACCCACTTTATTGGCCACAGATGCAGGGGAGAAAGGAGAAAGCATGCTGGGAGCTGGAAAGAGCCCTAAGATCACCTGGTTGGTCTGGGCCCTGTGAATGGAATTCAGCATGCCATGAGGGGTAGGGTTTGAGTCTCCAGCAGCCCCCATCAGTTCTGGTGACCCCAGGCTGGGGCCTATTGGTACTATCTCCCCAGACAAAGGCAGGCCAAAGAACGCACATGAGGTGTGCACACAGGGGCATTCATGGCCCCAGGCTGGGGGTGGAAGCGTGGAGGTACCCATCAACCTCTTTGTTCACCTTGGGTAGAAATTGAACTCCCCCATCTGCCTCACACATTCCAATCTTGGTTCCCCTTCCCAGGTTTCTAGAGAGTGGAGCCTGCTTCCTGGGCCCTAGGCCCCTCCCACAATGCTTGTCGCCGGTCTTCTTCTCTGGGCTTCCCTACTGACCGGGGCCTGGCCATCCTTCCCCACCCAGGACCACCTCCCGGCCACGCCCCGGGTCCGGCTCTCATTCAAAGGTAAGAAGCTGTTTTGTTCTTCCCCAGAAATCATCCTCTCTTTACAATAGCGCTCGGCTCCTCTGCACACGAGAGAAAGGGTGGGTCAGGACAAAACCAGGACAAATTGTACAGCCACATAGGTTGTGGGGGAGAAGGGAGACCGGGGAGGTGGTGGCTTGCTGGGAAAGGCTGGAGAACTGACCCATTTAGACACTTAGCAAAAGAGTCCAGAGTCTGGGCATCTTCCAGAGTCAGACTGTGGGTTCCTGGGCTGGGTGGCCTGAGGTCTGTAGGGCATGTCTTTCTGTATGATAATTGGAGAGGTGGCAATGTCACTCCTTCCAAACTTATGTCTGCTGCGGCCCCTCCTTGCCACTGCTATGCATCTGGTCCTGCCCTGAGCAGCCCCTGGGGTGGAAGGTCAGGCAGTTGGGCAGACACTGGAACCTCTGGACACTGGAAGAGCAGGACCTGCTCTCTTGGGGTGTGGGTGCTCGAGGAGCCTTCCTATGGTCTCCAAGTGGGAAGGGTTCCTAGAATCCAGGAGGGGACTGTTGGCTGTGACTGGCAGGGAGGCCGCCGGTGGGTTCAGGCAGAGCACGTGCTGCTGTGAGGGCCTGAGCTCCTGAGCTCCAGTGAGCACTTTGATGAGAAGTCACTGGGAGGTTTCAGTGATGGGCTGGGGTCTGCAGAGTGAGAGGCTGGTCGCCCGCTCCATCACCATTGCACTTAACCCACTGGACAGGTGCACGCACACGGTACACACATGGGTGTACAAATGGCTCACTCGAGAGCCACTTCCTCAAGGGTGTGTGTGGTCTGAAGAGTCTCCCCTGGGCCCAGGGTGAGGGGCAGTGGCCATGCTGGGGCCTGGGGGACCTGGGGTCATTGGGAGTTCTCAGCCTTGGCCCTCCTCTGGCCAGAGGTAACTTCATCCAGCCGCCTGCCCTGGGTGGGGTCGACTCAGCCCTGGCTGGCCAGATTTCCGGGCAGCCATACTGGGGTGAAAGGCTGGGGTGACCTTTCCTTCCTCGGGCTTGGCGGAGGCCCAGCCCTCACCTCACCATGTCCCCCAGCAGGGCCCCTCCCCTGGCCTCGTCCCACCCTGCCCCTTGATGGGAGGAGTAGGGGAGTAAGCTGCTTATCATCACTCTTCCCAGTCACCCGGCTCCTGGAATTTCTGAGGCTGTGCCTGGAAGGAGTCCCCTGCAGGGCCTGAGAAATGGGCTGAGAAGAGTTAATTTGTTTGGGCTGGAAAGCACCCCCCTTCCCCGGGCCCCAGGAAGGTGAGATATTTATTCTGCTGATACCTCCACCCTTCCCTGGTGGAATTCTTCAGAGCAGATTAATAAATCTTGAAGGGGCCAGTTCCCCCAAACCCCTCCCCAGCCCAGGGTCTGGCAGCGAGAGTAGAGTGTCTCCTCCCCCGATAGTGGAAGGGAGGGGTGGCTTGGTCTCCACACCCCTGGGACCTTGCGTCCGCTCTGGGTGTTGTTTTTGTCATCATGCATGCAAGTAAGCAGGAGGGGCAAAACAGAGAGGGGTCTTCCGTGTGCTCCTTCTAAGCCTCCCTGGACCTCCAGGGGCAAAGAGTTTTGTTCCTGTTTTCCAGAGAGAGAAACTGAGGCTCAGGCAAGGGCAGGGTCAAGGTCAGGCAAGAGGCAGAGGCAAAGCCAGAAATAGAACCCTGGTGTCCTGGCCTTGCCGGCGCCCACATCGCGTCAGGTCGATTCCCTCTCAATTAGCTCTGAAGCCGACACCCGCAGTGACTAAAAGCTGAGCTCACTGGCAGCCAGCCTGGGTGTTGCCGGTTGTGGCGGCCTGGGGTGGGGCTGCAGCGCACCTGGGGCCACCCATCCCAGGGCTCCTGTGCCTTTGCACAGGCAGGTTCCCCTGCCCTGAATGACCTTCCCTGTTCCGACCTGGTCTCGTGTCCTAATTTTGTGCTTAGACTTCACTTACTACTGTATGACAGGCCCCGTGCTGAGTGCTGGGGACTCTGTGGTGAACAAGATAGGGTGCTCACAGTCAAGCTGGTGGAAAAAGCAATGGATATCCAGTTGGTCAGGGCCATCTGGGAGCCCAGCACCTGCTGTGTACCAGGCCCTGTGTATCCCCCTACACTGGGTGGTCTCAGCCTGGTTATGCACACATGAAGTGGCCCTCAGTGAGGAGCAGGCGCCCACCAAGTGTGTGTGGAGTGAGAATGGAGACCAACACTTCAAGAAACTGGGCTCCCACCATCTTCCTCCCAGAGTACACGTGGGTGGCACAGAGAAGGTTACTCTCAGAAGCACTGCTGGTCACTGTGGCTCCATGTCATAGTTTTTTCATCTGTGCCTTGGATGGACACAGCAGTTGACACCCCAGGCCTCAGGGGCTCAGGCTGGGCACTCCCTGCCCTGCCCTGCCCTGGGTCCTGCTGTAGTGGGGAGGTGCCGGTTCCTGCCTGGGTAGGGCTGGACCCTCCAAGCTAGAGGTGCTGGCATAAGGGGCCACACTGCCCAGGGTAGATAAAGGAACAAAGGCAGGAACTGGGCCAGGCTTGGGTTTGCTGCCCGCCCATCCGCCTGGGCACCCCAGCCAGGTCTAGAGCCAGAAGGGTGTGAGGGTCAAGCAGCCCAGGGTTCCCTCAGATTAGGGGGGCTCCTATGGCCCAGCTTCTGGGCTTCAGCAGCACAGCCAAAATCAGGCAGAAGTGAGGGTCAAATGGAGATTTCCAGGAGCAGGTGAGGTGTTTGTTCATTCCTTGCTCTTGAGAGAGTGGAGCCTGGGCTGGAAGCCTGGACAGACCCTCCTTCCTTCACCCATCCATGCCTGGGCCTGGAGTCCCCTACACTGCAGAATCACTGCCAAATCTCAGAGAAAAAGCTCTTCCTTCCCCCACCTTGAGATGACCCAGGCTCTGGGGCACCACCTCCCTCCGTGGCAGCAGCAGGGAGGTGTGAGGGCCCTGCCAGGCCCTTTGTTCAGCCTGGGGAGTGTTTACTTTTTCCCAGGAAGCTACCCCACGACACACTGCTGCTGCCTGGGCTGGGTTTGGCCAGGGATTGGGGCCAAGAGATGTTTGGTGGGGTAGAAGGACCCTGTGATGACATGAGACAGTTGTGCTGCTAGGGAAGCTGAGGCAGAAGTAGGGAGAGGGAGCAGAAGGTCACCCTGCCAGGGGAGGTCAGGAAAGATGAACATAATCGAAATAGTAGTAGGAGCCCATGAGGATAACCAAGCAATGGTCCCTCCAAGACCTAAAGAGGGTCTGCCTAGGTTTCCTGTGAGGAAGGAGGCTTACGGGGGCTGAGCGGCTTCCCAGGTCACTCAGGAGCAGGACTGAGATGGAGCCTGCATCCGCCTGATGCCTGAGGCTGTCCCAGGACTGAGAGTGGAGGGCAGGGATGGTGGTGGTGCTGGAGGCACAGACCCTTCACATGAGCTAGGAACAAGGAAGATTCCAGCATTCTGCAGTGCTGGTTTAGGCTTCCTAGCCTCGTTTCCCAAAGAAAGGGCTGGGGTCGCACTGGGCAGGCTCCCCATGCCCTCTGTCTGCCGAAGCAACGGAATTGGGGTTTGCTTATTTCCAGGCTATAAATCCGGCCCTCCATCACTCTGGCCCTTCCACTGAGCAGGGTCCCTAGGAAGGCCTCTCATGTCAGAGATGGGAACATCAGGGCCTAAGAGAGGAAAGGGCTCCTGTTCCAGAGCAGCCTGGAGTTTGAGCCCTCCAGGCCAATAGCCCAGAACAGTGCCACCGCTCACATCATTTGCATGTGGCATCAGAGGACCAAGGTTGCCAGGTTTGGAGATGATGAGGTTAGAGGTTAGGAAGGGTCACAGCCCGTTGACTTCCCCTCAGGAGTTGATGTGAGTTGAGGTGCCTCTAGCAAGCCTTGATGGGGCCTTAGCCCTCAGGCCTGGTGCAGGAGTAGGGGTGGGGCTGGAGAGCTAGAGGACATGCTCTTGCCCCCCAGGGGCTCCTTGGCCAGCCAGAGCAAGGCATGGGGCTTTGGTGGGGGAGGAGGGGGAGGAGGCCCAGGAGCTTTGAGGCCAGTGTGGCACCAGGGAGCTGGGCAAGGGTCAGGTGGCTCTGGCAGCTACAGTGGGGGTTGGAGCTCACAAGCCAGGGAGGGTAGGTGTTCCAGGATACGCCAGGATGAGGGAGGAAGGAAGACCCAAAGCATGAACTTGAGCCCAGATCCCTTGAGGCCAGATCTGGAGTTTCAGTTTTCTGGAAATGGGAGCTGCCTTACTCCTGAGAGACTTGGAAGTGGCCGCTTTGGAGTTGGGAGGTCCTGGAAGCTGCACATCCCCCAACTGGCTAGGAATTGGTCTTTGGAGAGAATGGAGACAGGGTCCTTGTGCTTGCTGGAGAACCTGCCTGACGCCCAGCCTGGGTCAGCCAGGCCAGGGGCTGGGGCTTTCAGCTGTGGCCTTCCAGGTCAAGTGGAGCTTCAGATGGGACCTCCACTGTCTGGGCCTCCGCAGCACAGGCCTTGTCTCTGGTTCCCTGGCATGATGCCCGCCCCTCCTTCCCTGGCTCCAGCTTCCCTTGGCACTAAGTGAGGAGCTGGTGCATGCTCAAGGAGTAAATCATGTTCCTTGGCAGCCCCCACTGCTTCGTAATCGTAAAGAATTTAAAGAGAAACCGCCAAGATAAAAATCTCACCAGCCCATAAAGGCATCTTTCACCCTGCAGCTTGGGAGACAGTGAGCCTCAGAGTGGGCTCTTGGCTGTCTGCACCTGTGTGTATGCACCTCCGGCCCCTTGACTCCTCCAGAGGTGGTAATAGCTCAGAAGGTGGCTTTAGGGCCATGGGTACCTGGTCCTTGACTCCTGGGAGACCTCCATCTCCTCACTCAGGAGAGTGGGGTGCTTAAATTTGGTGTAATGCAGAAGTGGTGATGGTGGTGGCTGAGCTAGCTGGTCCCAAAGGCAAAACCCAGTTCTACCAGTGTTAGCTGTGTGAGTTCAGCCAAGTGGCTTAGCCTCTCTGAGCCCTGGTTTCTCCTGTGTAAGGTGGGAATGGCAGTGGCCCTGTGGAAGCAGCATCATGAGGGCTCAGACTGTCTTGCTTGCATCCTGGCCATGGGTGGATCTTGCTTGGTGAACATCATTCTGTGTTCCCACTGCCTTTTCTGGAAAATGGGAGTAAGAACAATACTGGCCTCGTTGTGTTGTCAGGAGGATTAACTGTGTGAGTATGGTCACTGTGGAAGAAATCTCAGTCACCAGGAGCGATCCTGAGGCTGGTGTGCAGGTGAGGGCAGGTCCAGGGGCATGCCCCAAGGAGTCCCAGACTGCCTCACCCCTTCCTCCAGAATTCTAACTTTTGGTAAGGGAGATGGTATTTGGAAAGGACTCCAGGAAGGACCCTGAGTCCTGTGGGGTGGGTGGAGTAGGGTCAGGAGGAGGAAAATTCCTACCATGGGTATCTGGGCAGGCTTCATGGAGGAGGCTGCATCTTGAGCAGGGGAGGGGAGGTTGTAGGGGAGGGAAGAGCTGGAGCACAGGGAGGGTGCATGTGGTGCAGCACCTGGGGAAGAGGACAGATGCTAGATGCAGTCTTGCTTTTGGGACAAGGATGTAGAGTTCTACTTTCTGTTTCTGGTTTTTAAGCTCTTTTTCCTCATGGCAGAGGTACTAAATATGTATTATGGAAAAATTCCAGTGATACGGATGCATTTGGCGGGAGTGATGCCTTGGAAGTAGCTCCCTAGAGACTGGCTCCAAGGCCTGGTTGGGACGCACAGTTGGCTGCAATAACTCCTTCTGTGAATGCTGCTCCAGCTCCTGCCGTGTGTCCTAGGGGTGACCAGACCTGGGCTGCTCACTCAGGCATCTGCAGGGCTGGGCAGAAAGCATGTTTGCCTGGCTTGGCCTGGTGCTATCCTGGGAATCTGAGCCCCGCCTCAAGAAGCCCTGGGAGCTTTGGAGAAGCAGAGAGGATTCCTGCTGCATTTTTCTTAGAAATAGCAAGAGGGCCTTTGCCAGAGGCCTGGATGCCAGAAGGCTATGGTCTGAATCCAAAGCCTAGCTCACGTGGGTGCCAGAGCTTGGCAGGCCTACAGCCCCCCACCCAGCCTGCTGGGCAGCCCCAGGGAGAGGGTGGAGGCCTCCTGGGCTCCAGTCCCTGACCACTGGTCCTGACCCAGCAACGAATGGGGTCTGGGCAGTGGCTGCTGGCCTAGGATTGGGGGGCTAGCCTGTTGGGGAGGGAGTGGGGCTCATCGGGCTGACGGGCTGGGCTGACTTCTGGCACTCTCACTGGGCCGAGGGGAGCACTGGCTATCTGGTGCATCTCTGCAGGGCAAAGACAGACCCAAAGCAACCGGCCCCTCCAGGGATCAGGAAGCCTCAGCTCCGGATCCCCCTTCCCCCACTCTTCTTCCTTCCTTCCTCCCCCTACTCCCCCTTGCCTCCACCCCTCCCTTTGCCACCCCTCTTGGCTTCCTACCCGGACATGCTCTTTCCTCGGACGTCTCTGTACCCAGCCAAGAGCCTTGTTCCTTCCCACTTGGGGCTCGGTGCTGATGCCCTCATTTCCCCCGGCCAGAGTCCACTGCCTCGTGTGTCTGCTGTTCAGCCAGCACGGTTGCCTTCTAAGGGTCATACACTACAATTGGCAGAGCGGCTAGAATTTGGGAGCCCTTTGGGCTCCTACAGCTCCAAGGCTGAGTGGCTAGCACTCCAGGGGGCCTCTCCCAGGGCTGCCTGTATTGCCATTTTTATCAGCGCCTTCCTGGCTGGGCCTGGGGCCTGTGCGGAGTGCTCACTGCCTGCCCTTGACTGGCTACCTGCTGAGTCCTGCTGAGGTCCTAACCCAGCCTCACTGCATCCTCCAAGGCTGACCCCAAGCATGCACCTGTCTGCCCTGTGCCTCGGTTTCTCCATCAGAATGTTGGGGAGGGGCTAAGACTGTCTGGAACATCCCGGGAATCTCTGGGTGGGTGTTGTGAAGGGGCTGCAGGGACCGCAGGAATCCGAGGAAGGCCGCAGAGATGGGGGCTGGGCCCAGGGGAGGGGGAGGGTTTTGACACCCACCAGCCTGTTGGTCCCATCTTGGCCTGTCTGTCTGGGTGATTTATCAGAGTAAATGAGCCATGGAGAGTTTGTTGTCTTTTGCAGTCATGGGGAGGAGGAGGTGGTGGAGGAAGGAGTGAGGGGTTTCCGGGCCAGGTCTGGAATGTGGGAGGAGGAGGTGGGTCCCCCGGGGGCCTCTGAAACTGGAGGCACTCACTGAATGGCCTTTTCACTCTCCCCACCTGAGAAATGAATCAGTGCAGCCCTCCCCTTCAGAACAATCCCCTCTTTCCATCCCCTTCATACTTCTTGGGGCACATTCCTGTGTGATCTGCTTGTCTGGTCATCTTCTCCCACCCCCTGCTCAGGACCAGGTCTCTTGACCACAGTGTCCTTCCAAAGCTGAGCCGGAGCCCTGACTTGCCCAGCTGGTGAATGCCCAAATGTGTTCTCACAGGCAACCATGCACACTGTTAAGTTCCAAGTGGGACGTCTAGGCCTCTGGAACTACCAGCCCAGGCCTAGGATGGTCAGGTGCATGGACCATGGGGAAGGCAGGGGTCAGTGGAGGTGCCGAGGCCGGAGAGACCCCATCTGCTGGGACAGAAGGTCCGAAGTCATTGGGTGTCCTTCGGGGATGAGGCATGGATCCCCTGGTTCCCGGCTGGCGAGTCAGGGAGTGATCCTGCTGCTCCGTCACTTCTGGCTTTTCCTGGTTTGAGGCTGAGCTGTGCCCTCAGCCTATCCTGTCCTGGGCGGAGTAGGTGAGCACTGGGGCGGAACGGGCGTGGGAACAGCATGCCTGGACCTGCTGGCCCCAGCCCCCTGCCCCCTGCCCCCAGCCTTTAGTCACTGAAATGGGAGGGAAGTGTACAGTGGCGTTTTGGCCCAGCTGGGCTCTTTACCCCTGTACGGTGTTTACTGAACAGCTGGGATGTTTACAGTAGCCCTTGCAAAGGGGCCCCTCGTTGCAGGGGATTTCCCATCTTGAGGGTCCCACTGGGGCTCTTCTGACCTCACCAATTCCCTGCACCCCTGGGATAGATGTGTCAGGGATACAGAGACCATAACCATCTCCACCTTACCAGAGCCAGTGGTGCCTGTCCCCTTGGCCTCTGGCCTTCGGTTCCTCTGCTCTGGAGGAGCCAACATTTCCCACCACATTTCCTAGAGTGGCAGCTCTAGGTGGTGAAATACGGTAACTGGGTCCCCAGTTCAGACATTTAAATTAAATTCAATCAGAGCGGTTATTGAATAAAAACACGCGGAGTCATTTACATGTTAATTATGTTGAATGGACTACTAGACCATAATTAGTTGCTAATTGGGTGAGAGTGGCTGTAATTGGTTTTGTTGGCACCAACCTGGCTCACCTACCTGGGGGGAAGCGGGGGTTGGTGTGGATGGCTCCTAGGGAGGCCCTCTGGGTCTCCAATCTGGAAGGCCTGGCTAGAGATGCTATGCGGGGGCAGATCTCCAGGGGCTTAGGGTCAGAGGAACCTGGAACCTCTCCCCAGGGAGGGTGCAGCTGGGGTCTGGCTTCTAGGGTTCCCATCCAGAGCATAGGGGGAAAAGGGGGAACTGGAGGAGCTACCCCAGATCAGCAGTGATAGTCTCCCCTGCCCAGCCCCATGTGGGACCTGGGCTTGAACAAATGGTAAGTGCCCAAGAGTGGGTCTGTGGGAGCCCAAGGCAGGCGTCACTCAGGTGTGTCTCTGCACATACTGGGCCCTGGGTTGGCCTGATCAGGGTGGCGTTGGGGTGTAAGTGGGTGTGCCAAGCAGGAGGAAGGTACGTACAAAGGCATCTGGGCCTCCCTGCCCCCCCGCTTAGCTTGGCTGGGGTTCCCGGGGTTGTAGGTCTGTGGCCATGGGCTGAGGCCTTCCGGCTGGCCGCTCATTAAAAGAGGATTAGGCTGAGAGCCAGGGGGCCAGCCCAGTCCCCAGGCCTTCCTCTGGGGCTCCTCACAGCTTTGGGGGAGTGATAAAAGGGCCGGGGCCACCCCTTCCTGGATCCTGTGGGGGTATCCGGTAGGGACCACCTGGGCCCTGCCATGCCTCTTGCCGCCACTGCTACTATAGCCTTGGCTACCTCAGTTTCCCTCCTCAGAAGGTCAGGAGGTCTGTCTTTCCGGTGGGTGAAACACTGACAAAGACCCAGGCTGGTGCCTCCCCTTGTCCCCCAGTCCCATCTCTCTTCAGCTCAGGGATTAGGGCTGCACTGGCTCACTAGAGGTCAGAGGTCTGAGCTAGGCTGCAGGGATCTGTCTATCATCCCCAGTCCCCATCACTGCTGGGGGAGGTGACGCTGTCAGTCAGGGCCTGCTGCTTTGTGGGGCTATAACCAAGGGGGCGGGCTGCCCACCTCTGCTCCAAGACTCCTCTTTTTGCGGCAGCCCACACCTCACTGCACGCAGACCTGATGTCCTGGAGACCAGCAGCAAGGGGTAGGGGCTGCCCACTTGGGGTCTTCGGGTGAGGGCTGTGGACACGCCTCCTCAGTGCCTGTCCTCACCTGCCCGCACCTTTAAAGTAAGGTATCACCAGCTGCTTCCCAGATATGAGGGACCGGGGGCCCCCAGGACCCAGCCCCGTGTGCCTTGAGAAGGTCCTGCCTCTGGACCTGTGCCAGGCCGCTTTGGGCTGGGACCCCAAGTGCTTGATGGCCATGAGAGAGTCCTGGAGGCCAGGAATGGCTGCGGAAATGAGGTGTCTGATGCCAGAAAAGGCTCTTCCTTCCCGATGATGGGAAAATCCTTCCCGGATGTCACCCCTCCCAACCTGTGCCCAGCCTGGGTGAGAGTATGGGGGTGGGGAGCCCTTCCCAGGAGACAGCACCCAGGCACACCACCCTTCCTCCCCCTAAGGTCAAAGCTTATCTGGGCTGGAGTCCTGATCCCCACAGAACCCTTGATTGTGCCCAGCCCCTCCCTCAACATTGCCATGGCATTCGAGGAGGCATGGCGCTCCTGCTGCCAGAGCCGGGCGTGGGACAAGTGGAGCAGATGTGGGGATTGGCCTTAGGACATGACCAGGCTGGGTCTGCATCAGCCCTGGCCCCCACTGATGCCACCTCAGGTCCCAGGTTCCTTTGTTCCTTCTGTCCCAAGTCCCTGTCCCTTAAGGGAGCTGGGGCCTGGTAGGATCTGGCACCTGCTGATGGCAGGTTTTGGAGGAGGATACCCAGGGCTACTTGCCCACCCCCTGCTCTGACTCAGGCTGCTTGGAGGAGTGAAGGCTCCCAGTTCCTTTGCCTCATGGTGGAGTGGGGAGCAGGGGACAGGACACCCTGTGACCTGGGTTGAGTACCACTCTCCTTTGGGCCTCAGTCTTCCTGTCTGCAGCTGGGGGTGCAGGGCTGTCACAGGGCTCCTTGTTTCCCTTTTCACCTACAGTCTGGCATGAGTGGGGTCAGAAGTCCAGCTGTGGGTTGAGAAGGCTGGAACCTTACACCTTCTTTGCTCTGGGACCCGGGGAAGTTCCCACCCCTCTCCACCTTGGTTCCCCTCTGGTAGGCTGGGTTTGGATGAATGGTTTGGGATTTAGCTCTATTCCTGTGGGTTGGGGATGGGGTAAGGACACACTGGAGTTGGGAAGGCTGGAGCTGAGTCCACAGGTTGCCTCTTCCTGCCTTATAGCCCTCTCTGCTCCCCAATCTAGCACTAGGAAATGGAGTAGCTGGGGTGGGAATGGGGATGGATGCCCTACAAGAGATAGCGACACGTGGAAGCCTGCTTCCTTGGGGAAGGACTTGGGACCTCATTCCACTCTCCTTTCCCTGAAAGGCAGAGACACCCATGAAGGATGGGTTGGGGGAAGACCTGAGGAATGCCAGGCCGTGAGCCTCTCTCTGAGATCAGAACGGGGTCACTGATCCTCAGGGTCACTTTGAATATCAGTACCAGGAGGGCCTGAGAGATGGTCTAGACTAGAGAATGAGGCTCAGAGAGCGAGAGTGCCCCCAACTCAGGTCATGAAGCTCACCCAGAAACTCAAGCCATAGCCAAGGATCCCTGATCCTGGGTCCCACCCCTTCCCCACCATGCGCGACCTCCTGGGGCTCCCCCTCCCCCCACACTGTTTCCACAGTGACCAAAGCGTCACGTCCTGTGACACCAGAGCCATTGACGCCATATCCCGTGGCCACTGGGAGGGGTCCCGCAGGTCCTGAGTCATGTGCCCTGTCCACGGGGAGCGAGTCACCTTCCGGCCCTGGCCCTCCTGGCAGGCAGTCTCTACCACCAGGACTGGCTTCCCCTGGGCCTCCCCCTCCTTCAGCCATGGACCTAGGTGGGAATCCCACCCCCATGCACTCTGGCATGTCACATCCCTTCCCTGTGCCCTGTGCCCTTGGTATTGTGAGCACAGGGCTTTGTGCACAGCGGGTGTTCGATAACTGAGCAAGGGGCTCCCTCCACCCCCACCTCCACCCAGGGGCAGACTGGGGGCAGCAGGCAGAGAGGGTCGAGGCCAATCCTCTGCCCCTAAGCTGGGACTCAGTTTCCTCATCCTCTGAGTGTTCTCTACGGCCTTTCTCACAGAGGGAGCTGGAGTTTGGGAGTGCTGGGGCTTTGCAAGAGGGTAGGGGACTCGGACTTGGGCCTCGGGCTCTGGGAGTCTTGGTGCAGGGTTGATATTATAGAGGCCCAAGGCTGCGCAGGGTTGGAGCTTGGGGATTATGGCTGATTGGGTTCCTGGGGGCTTAATGGCTGAAGCTTCCCCTTACCCGGAGTGCCCGTGTCTGAAGGCGCCCACTTAAGCCTCTAGCCCCTCCCCCTGCCATTGCCCCCAAAGTGCCCCCTAGCCCAGGGGATGGGTAAGGGCATGACCGAGCCATGCCCCCAGCCAGGGTATAAATAACCCCTGGCGGGCTGTCCCAGCCTGGGGGGGCTCCACTGGCAGCCCCACTTCCTCTCTGGCCACTTCCCAGCCCTGGGGGTGGGGGAATGTTTACTTTCCTGTTGTCACTGTGGGTGAGCAGCCAGGCGGGTGAGCGGCCAGGCGGGGGACTCCGAGTGGCCCAACAACAGGTGCGGGACAGGTGCCTGGGCCGCCCTGCCCAGGACTTCAGAGGCGCCGCTGGACAGGCGGGTGAGGCCATCGCCAGGCAGGATCGGCCCTTTGATCCCTCGGCGTCCCTGCGTCCCAGCGGTTGGCCAAGGTCATCACCTGCATTCCCTTGTCACCGCATAGTCAGGGCCAGGCAGGGCAAGACCTTTCCTTACCCACTAGTTTCTCAGAGTGAGGTCCTGGGACCAGACATGGGCTCTGGGTCAGCTGGTGGAACCCCCTGACCCCAGCCCACCTCTGCCCCACCTTCAGGCTGTGTCTAGGGCCTCGGATCCCAGCTGTTCTCCCCCTCCAGGTGCCTTGGGGCCTGGCCCAGGCCTCTCCCTTGACTGCCCCACCTGTGAAATGGGTTACCAGCTGGGGAGGGGAGATGAGACATGTGTGACCCCCTTGGTGAGTGCCTCATGTGTGGTAGGACATGTGTGCGCCATGTGCATGCCTGTGCCACGTGTATACATGCATGCACTCTTCTGTGTGCTGCTATCTTAAGCCCCCTGTGTGTGTGAATATTCATCATCCTCATTACAGTGTTCCCTCTTTTGCTGAGCTAAAGATAGCTGGGGGTGGGTGGAGAGGGGGCTTGCCAAGGGGACCCCTCGGCTCTCCCTCCCCTTGGAGGCAGGTTCCCAAGCTTCTAGGAGTCCTTTGTCTGTCATTGTCTGAGCCCCCTCCTGTCCTTCATCCTTAGGAAGGACTTTTCCCCAGCATCCTGGAGTTGGAGGGGCCAAGGCTGCTGGACTCATGCAAAAGGGAAACTAGAGGACCCAGTTGAACCCTGCCTTTAGCCCCAGGGTTGTAGCTCCAGGGAGAGAGCCTCTTTCCCAGAAATGACTGTCCTGGCTCATTCAAGGTGGCCTGAGAGTTCCACCATTAGCAGCCTTATAGGGTCTGGGGGAAGCTGGGGTCCGTAGGGCAGTGTGTCCAGCAGGGCTTTCTGGTCTCCTGGCTAACCTGCTTCAGACCAAGTGAGGACCTTGCTGTGCACCAGCTGTGCCCTCTGCCTGGTGGGCAGCCAGGGTAAGAACAGGGCATCCAGGCTCCATGCCAGAGTCTGCCGGCTGTCCCAGATATACCCGGTCACACCCCTATCTGCTCATTAACCCTTTTAAGCCCCTGTGTGAAGCTGGCCCCACCCTGAGCGTGGGAGCATTAACCCCCACCTGAGCAAAAACTCTTTGATGCTGTTGCGTACCCTGGCCCGCACCTACCGCCCTTTCATTGGGACCCAGAGACTAGCTAGGGCTGTCTATGAATCAGGGGTTTAGCTTTGGGTGTGGCGCCTTCCCTGGCCTGCCTACCTGTGCCACTTTGTCCTCTCAGTCTGTCAGGGACTGGAGAGGGAGCTGAGAAGGATCCAGGAAGGGGAGCTGGAGGTTTAAGACCACTGTGTGGGCTGGGCACAGTGGCTCATGCCTGTAATCCCAGCACTTTGGGAGGCTGAGACAGGTGGATCACGAGGTCAGGAGTTCGAGACCAGCCTGACCAACATGGAGAAACCCCATCTCTACTAAAAATACAAAAATTAGCTAGGCGTGGTGGCGGGCGCCTGTGATCCCAACTACTCAGGAGGCTGGGGCAGCAGAATCGCTTGAACCCGGGAGGCGAAGGTTGCAGTGAGCCAAGATCGCGCCATTGCACTCCAGCCTGGGTGACAGAGTGAGACTCCATCTCAAAAAACAAACAAACAAAAAATAAGCTGGGTGTGGTGGCTGACGCCTGTAATCCCAGCTAGTCAGGAGGCTGAGACAGGAGAATCGCTTGAACCCAGCAGATGGAGGTTGCAGTGAGCCGCAATCTCGCTACTGTACTGCAGCCTGGGCAACAGAGTGAGACTTGATCTCGTAAAAAGAAAAAAAGAAAGAAAGAAAAAAGACCACTCTGTGGTGGGGGTCCTGAGGGGAACCTCAGGGCCTCAGTCTCCCCTTTATCAGAGGGGGTATGGCTGGATGGTTTCCTGAAGGTCCTAATTGGTGCCCTGCCCTCCACCCACAGAGCTGAAGGCCACAGGCACCGCCCACTTCTTCAACTTCCTGCTCAACACAACCGACTACCGAATCTTGCTCAAGGACGAGGACCACGACCGCATGTACGTGGGCAGCAAGGACTACGTGCTGTCCCTGGACCTGCACGACATCAACCGCGAGCCCCTCATTGTAAGGGCTGGCCCTGATGTGGGACGTGGGGTGGGCACGGAGCCCCAGGGCTCAGGGCATGTCCAGAAGGCTGCACCTTCTGACCCCCCTCTCTGCAGATACACTGGGCAGCCTCCCCACAGCGCATCGAGGAATGCGTGCTCTCAGGCAAGGATGTCAACGTGAGTTTGGTGGGATCCACAGGTGGGAAGGGGGAATCCACAGGTGGGAAGGTACTGCCCCCAGTGAGGGGGCAGGCCTGGCCAGGGCACCTATGCAGCCTTCCCTGTGGCCCCAGGGCGAGTGTGGGAACTTCGTCAGGCTCATCCAGCCCTGGAACCGAACACACCTGTATGTGTGCGGGACAGGTGCCTACAACCCCATGTGCACCTATGTGAACCGCGGACGCCGCGCCCAGGTAAGCCCCAGCCACCCTGGCCCTGTGCTGCCCCCGCTGGTGGCTGCATCCCAGGGTCCTGATGGGAGGAGGGGCTTCAGCCCCAGCCCTGCCACTTCCGAGCCTTTTGACCTTGGGTGAGTGACTTCTTTCACCTCGCTGAGCCTCAGTTTCTTCACTTGAAAATGGGGCTAACCGCTGCCTTTCTCACAGGTCGGTGTGAGGAGGAGGCAGTGAGCTAAAGCTCCCAAAGCTCCTAGCACTGTGCCTGGCACATAGTAAGCACTTGCTCCATATGTGGCAACAGCTCTCTTGGCTATGCCTGTGGACCGTGCCCCGACGGCCGAGCCAGAGGGCCTGGTGGGGGCCTTGCAATAGGAGGCTGGACCCCTGGGTCAGCTTCTACCATGTGGCCTGGGGGAGAGCTGCCTTCCACCCCCAGGGCCAGGGTTGTGGGGAGCTGCCCCTTCCCCAGCTCTGCCCCTTCCTGCCTGCTTCCACCCTTTTCCATTTCCATGTGGGCATGTGTGTGAGCTGGCGTGAACTTGTAGGGCATGTGTGAGAATGACTGGATCTGAGGGGCACCTGTGTGTGCAGGTGTGTGCCAAGCCTGTGTGTATGTATGTACACACGCATAGACGTGCTCTGGGGGGCCCACGTGTTCACGTGTGTTCCTGGCCTGTGTGGTGTTAGAGGCTGGCAGCCCGAGCCCGCTCCCCCAGCCCCTGCCACCCCCAGCTCTAACCCCTGTTCCTCGTCTTCTCAGGCCACACCATGGACCCAGACTCAGGCGGTCAGAGGCCGCGGCAGCAGAGCCACGGATGGTGCCCTCCGCCCGATGCCCACAGCCCCACGCCAGGTGGGCCTCATCCCTCCAGGCCTTTGCCAGGCAGCACTGCCTCTGAGCGGAACTCACCCTGGGCCTGCACCTGAGGCCAGCCTCCCCAGGGCCTCCCCTCTACCTCTGTGCCCACACCCTGTCCCCACCCCTTCCCCTGAAGAGCCCTCAGGCTCAGAAGGCATGCCCAGCTGGACTCATGTCAGCCTCAGTGTGACCCCTGCAGGCAAGAAATAATGAAGCCGCCAGGTGGGGAAGACAGGAGCCCTGGGGACAGCCATGCCTTAGCCCTCAGAAAGCATGTGTGTAGACACACAAGAGCACACACCGGTGTGGATGTGGGCCTTCCTCACTCAGCACCCAGAGTGGAAAGTGGCACATGAGTGCAGTCTGACACCTTACTCCCAGGTGTTCGTGCCCCATGCCTCCCATGAGTCATCTGTGGACACAGGTGTCCTGCACACTCATGTGCTTGGGGCGCTCTTCTCCCGTGTGGTATCTGTCCACTAGTGATGACCTGGGTCTGGGCTGGGAGAGCTGGGGCTGGGCAGGGGCGGGCAGGGGGGCAGGGGCTGCCGGTGAATGACAGAGCATGTTTGTGGTGGGGAGTGCAGAAATGCAGGATCGTGTGGATTCTGTGTGTGTGTGTCCATGGTGTGAGCAGGCGGTTCCGTGTGCTGGCGGTGATATGTTCAGAGCTGTGTGTGCACCCTTGTGTGTGCAGGAAGTCACGTGTGCAGTGTGTAGCTGGAAGTAGGCCTGTGTGCACCTTCCCATCGCCATCCTGCCACCTGCTGCCACCTCCTCCTGCCTCTGTTCCTCTCTCCTTGCCCCTTTCCTTCCCTCTGCCTGGCTTTCTCTTGTGGCCTCTGTGCTCACCCCTGTCCCAGTGCCTTTTCCAGCCTTCCTAGCATCTTGCAGGCTGGGCTGGGAGGCACAGGGGGCTTTGTGAATTCCATGTGGTCTGGGCTGGACTCCTTGACTCCTGGCTCCCTGGGGAGATGTGGAGCCTGGGGGCTGTGCTGAGGGACAGGAGAAAGGTCATGGCCCATTGGTCCATCCTGAGGACCACAGGTAGGACACAAAGCCTGAGGATACAGTAACCTTAGAGCTCTCTGGCCTGGCTAGACCTGATGGCAAAGGACAGGACCCCAGGCCCTTAACCAGTCACTCCTGCCCTGGCCAGGTCTGCAGCGCTTTCTTGACCCAAGACAGGCAGCCACAGCAAAGAGCTGTGCCTCTGTAGCCCAGGGGGCCTTGGCCAGTGTCTTTATGAGCCAGTTGGCATGGAGGGGCTTCAGCCCCTACAAGCCCACTCCATGTCCATCTCATAGCCCACAAGGCAGGGCCCCTTGAGACTTGGTCCCCAGGTCTTCCCTAAGACCTGGGACTAGGAAGCACCCCCCTTGGAGCCCACAGCATGGCCCTGCCCTGGGAGACCTGGCTGGATGGAGTTTAAGGCCAAGGAATGCTGGGGAGTGTAGGGGGTGGGCTCGGGGTATGCCTGGGGGCTCATTCTCACCCTGGGAGCCTGGTGACCCTTACACTTCCTGGCTGGGGGACTGGCCTGGACGATGCTGAGCCCCGCTCTGCCTTACAGGATTACATCTTCTACCTGGAGCCTGAGCGACTCGAGTCAGGGAAGGGCAAGTGTCCGTACGATCCCAAGCTGGACACAGCATCGGCCCTCATCAGTGAGTGCCCCCCAACCCCGCTCTACAGTCTCAATGTGTGGCCTCTGCCCCTGGAGATGGGGCATGGCACCAACACTTACCCAAGGGCAGAGACCATGACTAGGCTGTCCCTGAACTCCCCAAAAGGCCCCACCTGGCAAGGGGGAGAGGGTGCAGGCCAGACCCCACTGTGAGCTGAGGTCAGAGACTGGGTGGTAGAAGCCTCCGCCTGGCCCCTTTGGATGGGGGACCAAGGAAGCCAGGTCCTACCCTGAAACACACAATGTGGTCCATGCAAAGTCCAGAACCCTCCTGACCATAGGCTTCCTAGAAGAGAAGATAAGCCGAGTGCGTATCGGGGCTGGTCTGAGGGGCAGTCCCATAGCATGTTCTTGGTGTGTCTGAGAGGCTGGGAGAGCCCTGTAGCGAAGGACCAATGGAGAGTTCCGGCCCTGTGACCAGACGGGGAGAGCATGTTCCTGGTCTGGGTAGGTGTCTGGGAGGGTTGGGGGCTGTTCTCTGAGTAGGGGTCCTGCCGGGGTCTCAGGAGCAGCTGCTGCCCCTAACTGCAGGTTGGGTGAACCCATCACTGACCCTGGCTCATGCACGCTGCCTGTTTTCTGATTGTTCAACACAGTCTGCCTCTCAGAGCAGCTGTTGGGCACTGTGCCACCTCCAAGCCTGGGAAAGGCCCTGGGGTCAAGGGGCAGACATTATCCTCCCCCTCTTGGCAAGTGAGAAGGTCCCAGCCTGATGGCACAGCCCAAATCACTCTGATGAGGAAAGACAGGGCCTGCCCTGGGGGAGCCTCAGATGTGGTATGTTAGAGGCAAGTACATTATTAAATTTTCAGGAATTTTTTGAGCCAGTTGTTAAAGACAACTATTATTAAAAGTTAAGGCCAGGCTCAGTGGCTCACACCTATAATCCCAGCACTTTGGGAGGCTGAGGGGAGTGTATCATTTGAGGTCAGGAGTTTGAGACCAGCCTGGACAACATGGTGAAACCCTGTCTCTACTAAAAAATAAAAAATAAAAAACATTTTTTAAATTATATAAGTTTACGATTAAACATTAAAACAAAGGTAACAACAATAAAAAGTAACAAACACTCAAAACTAGCCGGGTGCGGTGGCTCACACCTATAATTCCAGCACTTTGGGAGACGGAGGCGGGCGGATCACCTGAGATCAGGAGCTCGAGACCACCCTGGCCAACATGGTGAAACCTTGTCTCTACTAAAAATACAAAAATTAGCCAGGCGTGGTGGCAGGTGCCTGTAATCCCAGCTACTAGGGAGGCTGAGGCAGGAGAATCACTTGAACCTGGGAGGTGGAGGTTGCAGTGAGCTGAGATCGTGCCACTGCACTCCAGCCTGGGCAACAGAGTGAGACTCCATTTCAAAAAAAAAGAAAAGACTTGAAAATTGAAATTGATCTATGGGCTGCAGAATGGATGTTGTGTTAGCAGGCATGAAAACAACATTTGTCTCCTTGCACACCTCCATCAGAGCTCTGATGGAGACCAAGACCAATAAGCAGTAATATTTTGAAAGGAATCTTTTTTTCTGAGCAGTGGGTTTAAAATATTCAGAAAACCGGCCAGGCACAGTGGCTCATGCCTGTAATCCTAGGACTTTGGGAGGCTGAGGCGGGTGGATCACTTGAGGTCAGGAGTTCGAGACCAGGCTGGCCAACATGGGTGAAACTCTGTCTCTACTAAAAATACAAAAATTAGCCAGGTGTGGTGGTGTGCACCTGTAATCCCAGCTACTTGGGAGGCTAAGGCAGAAGAATAGCTTGAACCTGGGAGGTGGAAGTTGCAGTGAGCTGAGATCGCACCACTGCACTCCAGCCTGGGCAACTGAGCGAGACTCTGGCTCAAAAAAAAAAAAAATCGGTAAACCATGCTGTAAGCAGATGTGCTGTCATTCAGGCTTTGTTGTTATTTATAGAGCTCAGGCAGAGTAGATTTTGCAAAATTCTTTTTCTTTTTTTTTTTTTTTTTTTTGAGATGGAGTCTCGCTCTGTCGCCCAGGCTGGAGTGCAGTGGTGTGATTTCAGCTCACTGCAAGTTCCGCCTCCCGGGTTCACGCCACTCTCCTGCCTCAGCCTCCTGAGTAGCTGGGACTACAGGCACCCGCCACCATACCCAGCTAATTTTTAGTAGAGACCGGGGTTTCACCGTGTTAGCCAGGATGGTCTCGATCTCCTGACCTCGTGATCCACCTGTCTTGGCCTCCCAAAGTGCTGGGATTACAGGCGTGAGCCACCACGCCCACCCCTATTTCACATAATTCTTAAGGGCCCTAGGGTTCTTGGAATGGTAAATGAGCACTGGCTTCAACTTAAAGTAACCAGCTGCATTAGCCCCTAATAAGAGAGTCTGACTGTCGTTCGAAGCTTTGAAGCCAGGAATTGATTTCTCCTTGATAGCCGTGAAAATCCTAGATGGCATGTTCTTCCACGAGAAGGCTGTTTCTTTCTTTCTTTTTTTTTTTTTTTGAGATGGAGTCTTGCCGTATTTCCCAGGCTGGAGTGCAGTGGCACCATCTTGGCTTACCACAACCCCTGCCTCCTGGGTTCAAGCGATTCTCCTGCCTCAGCCTCCCAAGTAGCTGGGATTACAGGCGCATGCCACCATGCCCGGCTAATTTTTGTATTATTAGTAGAGAAAGCGTCTCGCCATGTTGACCAGGCTGGTCTTGAACTCCTGACCTAAAGTGTTCCTCCCACCTCCGCCTCCCAAAATGCTGGGATAAGAGGTGTAAGCCACTGGCCCTGGCCAGAAGGCTGTTTTATCTGCATTGAAAATCGTGTTTAGTGTAGCTCCCTTCATCCATGATCTTATCTAAATCTTCTGGAAAACTTGCTGCAGCTTCTCCATCAGCACTTGCTACTTCACCTTGCATGTTTATGTTTTGGAGATGGCTGCTTTCCTTAAACCTCATGAACCAGCCTCCGCTGGTTTCAAACCTTTCTTCTCCAGCTTCCTCTCTTCTCTCAGCCTTCATAGAATTGAAGACAGTTAGGGCTTTGCTCTGGATTAGACTTTGGCTTAAAGGAATGTTGTGGCTGGTTTGATCTTCCACGTAAACCAGTAAAACTTTCACCATATCAGTGATAAGGCTGTTTCACTTTCTTATCATTTGTGTGTTTACTGGAATAGCCCTTCTAATTTCCTTCAAGAACTTTTCCTTTGCATTCACAACTTGGCTAACTAGTGCTAGCAGCCTAGTTTGGGACCTATCTCAGCTTTCAACATGCTTTCCGTACTAAGCTTAATCATTTCTAGCTTTTTTGTTTTTTTTTATTTGTTTGTTTATTTTTTGACAGAGTTACACTCTGTCCCCCAGGCTAGAGTGAAGTGGCATGATCTTGGCTCACTGCAACCTCCACCCCCCGACTCCCTGCTCCCCGGTTCAAGTGATTTTCCTGCCGCAGCCTCCCAAGTAGCTGGGATCATAGGCGCCCACCACCACCTCTGGCTAATTTTTATATTTTTAGTAGAAGTGGGTTATGCCATGTTGGCCAGGCTGGTCTCCTGACCTCAAGTGATCCCCTGCCTCAGCCTCCCAAAGTGCTAGGATTACAGGCATGAGCCACTGCACCTGGCCCATTTCTAGCTTTTGACTTAAAGTGAGAGATAATATGACTCTTCCTTTCACTTGAACACTTAGAGGCCATTGTGGGATTATTAATTGATCTAATTTTAATATTGCTGTGTCCCAGAGAATGGAGAGGCCCAAGAAGAGGGAGAGAGATGGGAGAATGGCCAGTAAGTGGAGCAGTCAGAACACACACAGCATTTATCGATTAAGTTCACTGTTTTATATGGGTGAGGTTCACGGTGCCCCGAAATAATTGCAATAGTAACATCAAAGATCACTGATCACAGATCACCATAACAGACAGTTTGAAATATTGCAAGAATCACCAAAATGTAGGCAAGGCGCGGTGGCTCATGCCTGTAATCCCAGCCCTTTGGGAGGCCGAGGCAGGTGGATCACCTGAGGTCAGGAGTTCGAGACCAGCCTGGCCAACATGGTGAAACCCCGTCTCTACTAAAAATACAAAAATTAGCCAGATGTAGTGGTGGGCACCTGTAGTCCCAGCTACTTGGGAGGCTGAGGCAAGAGAGTTGCTTGAGCCTGGGAGGTGGAGGTTGTAGTGAGCTGAGATGGTGCCACTGCACTCTAGCCTGGGTGACAGAGCAAGACTCCATCTCAAAAAAAAAAAAAAAGAAGAATTACCAAACTGTGACACAGACACAGAGACACAAAGTAAGCATATGCTGTTGAAAAAATGGTGCTAACAGACTTGCTTGACACAGGGTTGCCACAAACCTTCCTTCTGTAAAAAATGCAGTATTTGCAGTGCACAAAGCCCAGTAAACTGAGGTGTGCATATGCTTCCTAATTCTTTCACTACACTTTATTGTTAGCTATGCTCTTTTTTTGTTTTTTTGTGTTTTTTTTTTTTATTTTTGTTCCTGCTTTTTGAGACGGTTGTCTCACTGTGTCACCAGGCTGGAGTGCAGTGGTGCGATCTCGGCTCACTACAACTTCCGCCTCCCAGGTTTAAGGGATCTTCCTGCCTCAGCCTCCTGAGTAGCTGGGACTACATGCGTGCACCACCACGCTCAGCTAATTTTTTTGTATTTTTAGTAGAAACAGGGTTTCACCACATTGGCCAGGATGGTCTCGATCTCTTGACCTCATGATCTGCCAGCCTTGGCCTCCCAAAGTGCTGGGATTACAGGAGGCATAAGCCACCATGCCCGGCCTCTTTTTTTTTTTTTAAGATGGAGCCTTGCTCTGTTGCCCAGGCTGGAGTGCAGTGGCATGATCTCGCTCACTGCAACCTCCGCCTCCCTGGTTCAAGCAATTCTCCTGCCTCAGCCTCCCGTGTAGCTGGGATTACAGGCACCTGCCACCATGCCCAGAAAATTTCTGTATTTTAGTATAGGTAGGGTTTCACCATCTTGGCCAGGCTGGCTTCCAGCTCCTGCCCTCAAATGATCCACCCACCTGGGCCTCCCAAAGTGCTGGGATTATAGGCATGAGCCACTGCAGCTGGTCTATTAGCTATGCTCTTGAGGTGATTTACATTTGTTGTGTCTGTGGGGTAGAAATACTGTACAGTGGTGTTGGCAGCTCTTCCTGATTTTGCTTTCAGTGACCTCAGGTTGGTAGCTTGAAATTAGTTGTGGCAGGAGTATTCACACCACAGAAATGGGCTATTGCTACTAATCAGAGCTGATAGTTACTAATCCCAACCCTCCCAGAGCCAGTGGTGAAACACTGACCAGCACTCCACTGGAGATAGGATCATGCCCCAGGGAGCCTGAGCGGGGAGATAAGGCCCTGCCCTGGAAGTCATCTGAGCTGTGCCCTGGCCCTAGCAAACAGCAGCCCCCCAACTGACCCACTGGCCTACCCACAGATGAGGAGCTCTATGCTGGTGTGTACATCGATTTTATGGGCACTGATGCAGCCATCTTCCGCACACTTGGAAAGCAGACAGCCATGCGCACGGATCAGTACAACTCCCGGTGGCTGAACGGTAAGCGCAGCCCCAGGAGCCCTTCCGTGGCCATGTGTCTGGGATGCGGCAAGGAGGTCGTAAAGAAGCACATGTGGGGGAAGTGGGGACATGTTTAGCCTATGACTACCTGGGGCAGGGGTAGTTTCTTATCTGGAGAGGAGTTGGGGGTGTTCTTGCACCTGGCTGGGGATTCTGTTGGAGAACATCAGGGGCACCATCAGAGTAGGGGCTCACCCAGCTGACCCCTGCCACCTGCAGACCCGTCGTTCATCCATGCTGAGCTCATTCCTGACAGTGCGGAGCGCAATGATGATAAGCTTTACTTCTTCTTCCGTGAGCGGTCGGCAGAGGCGCCGCAGAGCCCCGCGGTGTACGCCCGCATCGGGCGCATTTGCCTGGTATGCATTGGCAGAGCCACCAGGCTGCCCCTTCCACCAGTTCTGGCTTCATCAGCCCTGCTCCAGCCAGGGCTTGGGGTCAAGAGCTGATCTGACCCGGCCTCTTGCCCCACCCCCCAGAACGATGACGGTGGTCACTGTTGCCTGGTCAACAAGTGGAGCACATTCCTGAAGGCGCGGCTCGTCTGCTCTGTCCCGGGCGAGGATGGCATTGAGACTCACTTTGATGAGCTCCGTGAGTGCCCAGCAGGCAGGCAGGGTGCTCTGGCTACAGCAAGAGGGATAGAGGCGGGATGGGCGATCAGGGTGCCTTTGGTGGGCCCCCTCCCCTGTGCAGGAGTGGGTGGGGCCCAGGGGCTCCCGCCCATGGCACCCTCCAACACCTTCTCCCTCTGTCCCCAGAGGACGTGTTTGTCCAGCAGACCCAGGACGTGAGGAACCCTGTCATTTACGCTGTCTTTACCTCCTCTGGGTGAGGCTGGGGTCAGGGCCAGCAGTGGCAGGGAGTGGCCCCGTTGGGGGATTGTAACTCGTGGAGAACCCCAGCCCGGTGGCGAGCTGTGGGGAGGGGGCAGTTTGGGGAGGGGCCCTAGGTGGAGGGTCTGTCCTGCTCAGCAGCGCCTGCCATGCCCACAGCTCCGTGTTCCGAGGCTCTGCCGTGTGTGTCTACTCCATGGCTGATATTCGCATGGTCTTCAACGGGCCCTTTGCCCACAAAGAGGGGCCCAACTACCAGTGGATGCCCTTCTCAGGGAAGATGCCCTACCCACGGCCGGGCACGGTAAGGACCCCACTCATCCTGCCTCTCCCCTTTCTCTTCTTCTAAGAGGCCTCTGGGTCAGGCTCTTTGCAACATGGGCCCCACCATCATGGCCCTCCCAGCCAGCGGAGGCGGTGAGCTGTAATGCACACACAGACGGGCCTTCACACACAGTGTCAAGCTGTGGAGGAGCCCAGATGGGATTCTGGGACAAAGATGGTGGGTTGGGCGTGGTCGGCTGCTCCTCAGAGGGTCCTCTGTGGGGCTGTTTGGGAGCTGAAGGTTGGGGGGAAGCGTCTTCCCTGCAGGTGCTGGAGGCAGGCTGGAGGTTGGCTCAGCTGAGGAACAGGAGGCAAAGAGCTGGGGAGGGGCAGGGCCAGGCCTCAGGCAGGGTCTCAGAGGTCACAGAGGCATGTCACTTTATCTTGATGTGACACCGGCTGATGTGGGAGCCTAAGCAGGAGAGCAGCGGATCTGGTCCAATGCAGTTCTGACTCCATGTAGTCAGGACTGGGCTGGAGAAGCTGGTCTCAGTGGGGGACAGGGGAAGCTTCCCTCCAGAGGTAACCTGGAGTCAGAAGGATGGGCCAGAGGTAAGCTGGCCATGACGGGGGGCAGGCTGAGCCCAGGTTCAGGGGACAGCTTCAGGAAGGAGGAGAGTGAGCCTGGTGTGTGACAAGGACGTCGGGGCCTGCAGTCCAGCTGTGCAGGAGGGAGACGGGTGAGACCCTAGGAACAACCAGAGAGGAAGGAGATGACAGGGGTGGGGAGGGGGACATGGAAGGGAGTGGTCCGCTTGGCCAAATGCTGCCACGAGGTCATGGCACCTGAGGCCAGGGAGGTGGCTGTGGCATTTGGCCACCTGGGACCTTGGCCAGAGCAGGACCTGTAGAGGTCAGGTGCAGGGCAGAAACTTGGAGAGCGGGTTTGGGGAGAGGAGCAGGTTGAGGTAGTGGGGACAGACAGTGCAGCGGCCTCTTCTGAAGCTAATGGCTCCAGCCTGCCCTGCCCAGGCAGCCTGGGACTGACACTCGCCACCTGTCCACAGTGCCCTGGTGGAACCTTCACGCCATCTATGAAGTCCACCAAGGATTATCCTGATGAGGTGATCAACTTCATGCGCAGCCACCCACTCATGTACCAGGCCGTGTACCCTCTGCAGCGGCGGCCCCTGGTAGTCCGCACAGGTGCTCCCTACCGCCTTACCACTATTGCCGTGGACCAGGTGGATGCAGCCGACGGGCGCTATGAGGTGCTTTTCCTGGGCACAGGTACCCACTGCTGCTCCCGGCCTCTCCCACGCTGGGCCCACCGGGTGCGGGGTGCAGATCCTTGGGGCTGGGGCTTGCCCTGCTAGGGCTTGCTGCAAGCTCATCAGAGTCACTTCTTCATCCTCATCCTTTGGTGCCTTCTCCCTATTGATGGGATAACAGAGGCTAGGGGTGAGAAAACCCCATTCCCACTTCCATCCCCAGGGGCCCAGGAGAACAGGGACACTGGGCATCTGGGGACTTATGTATGTATGGCAGGAAAGGGGTGGAGACAGATGGTAGGCACCTCCAGGATACAGAGGCCATACACATGCTCGTGTGTGCACACACATGCCACAGTGCACCCCCTACAGTTCCAGCAGCCCAAACACAGGAGAATGCATGCCCCAGTGTCCTGTTCTCAGCAGGGCCCAAAATCAGGGTCTGGGTTGGTGGGGGCAGACCATGGCCATGACCCCCTATGTCCTGGGCCAGTCCCCTTTGACCTGGGGAAACTCTTCCACCTTGGCACAAAGCTCCAGCTCCAATGCCCTAGGGGGGTTTGGGCCCTGGTGGGGGAAGGGGCTGAGGCTGGTACCCCTTCCCCAGCATCCCCAGCCCCACTGAGGCCCTGCCCGGCCCGTTCCAGACCGCGGGACAGTGCAGAAGGTCATTGTGCTGCCCAAGGATGACCAGGAGTTGGAGGAGCTCATGCTGGAGGAGGTGGAGGTCTTCAAGGTGGGTGTGACACCACCCAGTCCTGACCTCCCCACCTTTACCCTCCCCCCAGTCCCAGCCTCTGACCTGAGACCTCTAGGTCAGGGCAGGGAGGGGGTCCCTGGCATCCCAAGCTGATCTTTATCTTTTTCTAGGATCCAGCACCCGTCAAGACCATGACCATCTCTTCTAAGAGGGTAAGCCTTTGGCGAGGTGAGCCAAGGTTGGGGACAGGGCCTGCATCCCCTCAGGGTCATGCCCTTGGCACAGGGATGGGTAAACTGAGGCATGGAACAGGGGAGAGGAGCCCAGCCTAGCTGGCTGTTGGTGGGGCTGGCTATGGGACAGGAACTGACAAGGCCCTACCCTTTGCCCCAGCAACAACTCTACGTGGCGTCAGCCGTGGGTGTCACACACCTGAGCCTGCACCGCTGCCAGGCGTATGGGGCTGCCTGTGCTGACTGCTGCCTTGCCCGGGACCCTTACTGTGCCTGGGATGGCCAGGCCTGCTCCCGCTATACAGCATCCTCCAAGAGGTGTGGACCCCTAGACACCTAGAATTTTAGCAACCAGTCCCAGGGCCCTATCCTAGGGGATTGGGGGTGCATGTGATATTACCCGGGGTGCATGTGATATTACCCTAGGGGAGTCTTATGGGTAAGACATCACTGCCCTGGGGAAAAAGGGCCCTGCCCTGGAGTCAGGGAGATACAGGGACCTGGGGGGGCAAGCTTCCTGGGAGCACTCCTTCAGGGGCTATCCTCATCCAGGCGGAGCCGCCGGCAGGACGTCCGGCACGGAAACCCCATCAGGCAGTGCCGTGGGTTCAACTCCAATGGTGAGTATGCTGGGCCTCACTGTGGGGTGCTGCTCACACTGCAGAAGTCCACGCAGCCCACGAAGCTGCTCACAGGGCCCCCACTGTAAGGGTGCTCTGATGGCTAATGGAGGGTGGGGGCTAATGGAGATGGGATGTCCCTAGTTGCCCCATCAACACAGAGCACTACATTGGTGAGTGGGTGCCCCTCGGTGCCTGCCCCGAAGCAGTCAGCAGGCTGCCCGGAGGTGATGCTGCTTTTGCTCAACCCCTCTCACTCTAAAGCCAACAAGAATGCCGTGGAGTCTGTGCAGTATGGCGTGGCCGGCAGCGCAGCCTTCCTTGAGTGCCAGCCCCGCTCGCCCCAAGCCACTGTTAAGTGGCTGTTCCAGCGAGATCCTGGTGACCGGCGCCGAGAGGTGAGTTCCTGCGCCCGGTGCTGCACCGTGGATGTGAGTCCTTGCACAGTGGTGAAATGTAGTAGAGGAGTGATCTGGAGCAACTCTCATGCTGTGAAACCCCTTCCAAGCTCCCTTCCCTACATGCAAATCCTTTGAGTGAAAACAGTTACATGGAAACTCCCTGGGATTGGCCTCATTCTATGGAAAGTGTTTCTGGGTATGCCTGTTCACATGAAAATTCCATATGCATACCACATTGGGGGTGTACCTTCTACAAAAACATCATGTGAGTGAGCTCCAGTATGTGGAAATTCTATGGGGCCCTCATTTTATGAAAATGCCCTACAGGTGTCCCTGTTTATGTGGAAATTCTATGTGGTTATCCCAATTGGATATTCTCGTTAAATGGAAATTCTGGCTGGACGTGGTGGCTCACACCTGTAACCCCAACACTTTGGGAAGCCAAGACAGGCAAATTGCTTGAGGTCAGGGGTTCGAGACCAGCCTGGGCAACATGGTGAAACCCTCTCTCTACCAAAAATACAAAAATTAGCTGGGCATAGTCATGCATGTGGTCCCAGCTACTTGGGAGGCTAAGGTGGGAGGATGGCTTGAGCCTGGGAGGCAGAGGTTGCAGTAAACCGAGATCATTCAACTGCATTCTAGCCTAGGCGACAGAGCCAGACCTTGTCTCAAAAAAAAAAAAAAAAAAAAAAAAGGAATTCTGTGTGTGCTTCAAATTTTCCTCATTGTACAGAACCTCCTTATGGTCATCACTCCTGAAATGGAAATCTGTACAGATGCCTTATTCAAATATCTCTCATTATGTAGAAACTTCATGTGGTTTTTCTGGCATATGGAAATCCCACATGGGTGCCTCTACACGGAATGGCCACAAAGGTGGTCTGATCTGGTTGCTGGCTAGGGCCATAGGGTGGTCACAGAGCCTCTGAACCCCCTCTCCTTGCCCCTGCAGATTCGTGCAGAGGACCGCTTCCTGCGCACAGAGCAGGGCTTGTTGCTCCGTGCACTGCAGCTCAGCGATCGTGGCCTCTACTCCTGCACAGCCACTGAGAACAACTTTAAGCACGTCGTCACACGAGTGCAGCTGCATGTACTGGGCCGGGACGCCGTCCATGCTGCCCTCTTCCCACCACTGTCCATGAGCGCCCCGCCACCCCCAGGCGCAGGCCCCCCAACGCCTCCTTACCAGGAGTTAGCCCAGCTGCTGGCCCAGCCAGAAGTGGGCCTCATCCACCAGTACTGCCAGGGTTACTGGCGCCATGTGCCCCCCAGCCCCAGGGAGGCTCCAGGGGCACCCCGGTCTCCTGAGCCCCAGGACCAGAAAAAGCCCCGGAACCGCCGGCACCACCCTCCGGACACATGAGGCCAGCTGCCTGTGCCTGCCATGGGCCAGCCTAGCCCTTGTCCCTTTTAATATAAAAGATATATATATATATATATATATATAAAATATCTATATTCTATACACACCCTGCCCCTGCAAAGACAGTATTTATTGGTGGGTTGAATATAGCCTGCCTCAGTGGCAGCATCCTCCAAAACTTAGACCCATGCTGGTCAGAGACGGCAGAAAACAGAGCCTGCCTAACCAGGCCCAGCCAGTTGGTGGGGCCAGGCCAGGACCACACAGTCCCCAGACTCAGCTGGAAGTCTACCTGCTGGACAGCCTCCGCCAAGATCTACAGGACAAAGGGAGGGAGCAAGCCCTACTCGGATGGGGCACGGACTGTCCACCTTTTCTGATGTGTGTTGTCAGCCTGTGCTGTGGCATAGACATGGATGCGAGGACCACTTTGGAGACTGGGGTGGCCTCAAGAGCACACAGAGAAGGGAAGAAGGGGCCATCACAGGATGCCAGCCCCTGCCTGGGTTGGGGGCACTCAGCCACGACCAGCCCCTTCCTGGGTATTTATTCTCTATTTATTGGGGATAGGAGAAGAGGCATCCTGCCTGGGTGGGACAGCCTCTTCAGCCCCTTCTCCCCTCCCCGCCTGGCCAGGGCAGGGCCACCCCACTCTACCTCCTTAGCTTTCCCTGTGCCACTTTGACTCAGAGGCTGGGAGCATAGCAGAGGGGCCAGGCCCAGGCAGAGCTGACGGGAGGCCCCAGCTCTGAGGGGAGGGGGTCCGTGGTAGAGGCCTGGGGCCGGTAGAGGCTCCCCAGGGCTCCCTTATGTCCACCACTTCAGGGGATGGGTGTGGATGTAATTAGCTCTGGGGGGCAGTTGGGTAGATGGGTGGGGGCTCCTGGTGGCCTTCTGCTGCCCAGGCCACAGCCGCCTTTGGGTTCCATCTTGCTAATAAACACTGGCTCTGGGACTAGACTTTGGCTTCTCTCCTTGGTCAGGGGATTTAGAGCCACACGTGGTGGGCCTGGGGAGCCAGGTGGGGGGCTGGGAAGGGAGTAGATTGGCTCCATTTAAAGAAACCCAACATGTAGAAACCACATTTAGTTTGACAAACCTGGGCTGCTGCACCACCCCAAACACTTGGGTAGTGCGAAGGGCTGTAGAGACCCCTCAGGGCCCACTCACTCCTCAGGGTCAGGGAGGGTGGGTGGAGCCTGAAGGCTGAAAGTGGCAGAAATGCAACGGCCTCACTCCTGGACAGATCCCCATCATCCAACAGGGTGGGTGTAGAAGCTGCCAGCCTGTGGTAGGAGCCAGCATTCACTTCCCACGCATACTATTTAGAGACAGCCGTTAGTGCTCAGTGTCTGGTGCCCCGGCACCCCCTTGTGGTCTCTTGAGTCTGTGGCAGAGTTGAGTGCTGAAAGGCAGCCAGGTTCCAGGGAAGAGTCCAGCCAGGAGGCTCAGGGTGCCTGGAGGAGCCTTTGAGAGCCCAAGATTTGGGTTTTCCTATGGAAGTTGAGGGTGGGAAGTCTCTAGAACCTGGGAGCTCAACCTGAACAATTTCTGCCCGGCAGTGAGCCCTGCACCTGAACAGAGCACCAGACCCCCTAAGCTGAGGCAGGCAGGCCCTGGAGATAATCTTAGGCAGGCCTCAGAGCACCCACAGCAGACAGAGCAGGAGCAGGATAGGTGAGCCCCATTCCTCCATACCCCAGGGAACACTACACCTGCTCTGGGATGCAATTTCTCCACCTGGCAACAGGCCTGCAAAACATTCTCTGGAAGAGCCTGGCCACTTCTGCAGATTAGAGACTTTGTTGCACCCAAATTCAAGTGTACATATAGGCACAGGCGCCTGCAAGCATGCATGCACACACACAGTCATACACAGGCAGAGATGGACATGCACAGGCACACATATGCTCAGGTACAAACAGGCATGTTTACACCCCTGCGTATAAGCAAGTGCACACATGCAAACCTACACAAACTGCAAAACACACAAGCCTATGTGTGCATGAAGAGAATACACAAAGCATATTCACACATGCATACACATGTGTATACATGTGCACACATACATAAGCATGCGCACAGGCACGTGATTCCTATAAGAGCACATGCACTCACAAAGGCATAAACATGCAGGCACACATGTACACACAGGTATTCATGCACAAATGTGTCAAGTTATTGCTCGCTTGGTGCCAGCAAAAGACACACCCATGGCCGGGCGAGGTGGCTCACACCTGAATCCCAGCACTTTGGGAGGCCGAGGTGGGTGGATCACAAGGTCAGGAGATCGAGACCATCCTGACCAACATGGTGAAACCCCGTCTCTACTAAAAATACACAAAAAATTAGCTGGGTATGGTGGCACATGCCCGTAATCCCAGCTACTTGGGAGGCTGAGGTGGGAGAAGCTTAAACCAGGGAGTTGAAGGTTGCAGTGAGCCAAGATCGTGTCACAGCACTCAAGCCTGGCAACAGAGTGAAACTCTGTCTCAAAAAAAAAAAAAAAAAAAAAAAAAAAAGGCCAGGCACGGTGGCTCATGCCTGTAATCCCAGCACTTTGGGAGGCCGAGGCGGGCAGATCACGAGGTCAGGAGACTGAGACCATCCTGGCTAACACGGTGAAACCCTGTCTTTACTAAAATACAAAAAAAGTAGCCCGACGTAGTGGCGGGCACCTGTTGTCCCAGCTACTCAGGAGGCTGAGGCAGGAGAATGGCGTGAACCTGGGAGGTGGAGCTTGCAGTGAGCTGAGATTGCGCCACTGCACTCCAGCCTGAGCAACAGAGCGAGACTCCATCTCAGAAAAAAAAAAAAAAAAGACACATACACCGAGGCACACAGAGCAGATATGCATGCCCACCACAGTCCGCTGGAAGCAGAGGACCTCCTTGGGGCAGCTCCAGCCTGTGATATGGGATGAATGCAATGCCCACTGTTTCCCTCTCTCTGGATTCCCTGCAGGTCATAAAATCCCAGTCCAGAGTCACCAGCCCTTCTTAACCACTTCCTACTGTGTGACCCTTTCAGCCTTTACTTCCTCATCAGTAAAATGAGGCTGATGATATGGGCATCCATACTCCAGGGCCAGTGTGAGCTTACAACAAGATAAGGAGTGGTGCTGAGCCTGGTGCCGGGCAGGCAGCAGGCATGTTTCTCCCAATTATGCCCTCTCACTGCCAGCCCCACCTCCATTGTCCTCACCCCCAGGGCTCAAGGTTCTGCCTTCCCCTTTCTCAGCCCTGACCCTACTGAACATGTCTCCCCACTCCCAGGCAGTGCCAGGGCCTCTCCTGGAGGGTTGCGGGGACAGAAGGACAGCCGGAGTGCAGAGTCAGCGGTTGAGGGATTGGGGCTATGCCAGCCCGATTAGAAGGGTTGGGGGGGCTGAGCTGGATTCACCTGTCCTTGTCTCTGATTGGCTCTTGGACACCCCTAGCCCCCAAATCCCACTAAGCAGCCCCACCAGGGATTGCACAGGTCCGTAGAGAGCCAGTTGATTGCAGGTCCTCCTGGGGCCAGAAGGGTGCCTGGGAGGCCAGGTTCTGGGGATCCCCTCCATCCAGAAGAACCACCTGCTCACTCTGTCCCTTCGCCTGCTGCTGGGACCATGGGGGCTGGGGCCAGTGCTGAGGAGAAGCACTCCAGGGAGCTGGAAAAGAAGCTGAAAGAGGACGCTGAGAAGGATGCTCGAACCGTGAAGCTGCTGCTTCTGGGTAGGGGTGTGGGCCCAGGTGGGGCCACTGCCACCAGGTCATTGGTCTGGAGGCAGGCAGGCAGCCCTTCTGTGAAGCAAGGATTCCCTGGGAAGCAGTATGAGCCTGTGACAGAGTAGGGCACAGGGTGGGAGCCCTGGCCAAGCAAGGCCAGGCCTGACAGGTGGTGTCCTAGTCCCCCAGGGCTGGACATCCCACAAAGCCCCTCTCCAGACGGCTCTGCCTCAGGTGACCCACCCTCCCCAGAAGTGCGTGCCAACCACACTCTTGCACGGGTGTGTGATGCCGACTTTTCCGTGGCTGGGTTCCCGCAAGCTTCATGCAGCCTTTGGTTTGATACGCCTGCTAGGCAATGCTCAGAAGCCAGGAGCCTCACTGGGAGCCCGTTATTGGGCTGCTACTTTGGGAAGGGGATGGCCATAGTCCTCCTGGGAGTGGGGAGCCTCTAGGACCACCCAGATCCACAACGAATGGCCCTCAGGTGCCAGAGGGCTGTGGCTGATAGACCTACAAAGCAGCCAGAGGGGCTGGCGGGTACTGAGGCCCAGTGGGAGTAGATAAAGCCGCGTCCACTGGACCATGGGCACTGAGGAGAGATGGGGCTGATCCAGGCCTGCCTCAAGGTCACTGCCTGACCTCTCAAGGGGAAAAAGCAGCTTCAAGAGGGGCTCCACCCAAGCTCCCCAGGGTCTGGTCAACCAGCTGGAGGTGGGTGAGGGACCAAGCCAGTCCCACTTTCCCCCAAGGCAGAGAGGCTAAGCCGGAAATCTCATTAACTGTGCCCAACGCCCTCGCAGGGGCAAGCTCAGAAAGGATGTCAACTCTGCCCTCCCTCCTACCCAAAAGAGCTAATTCCCTCTGAGCCTCCTGGAGACACCTGCACCCCTTCAGGTGAAATGCAAGGGGTTTACCCGCCTCAAATAACCCAGTGCTTGCGGTACCAGAGGCTCCCACGAGGTGGCGATGACGCTCCGGGATTTCTTCATTGCAGTCTCACAGCATAATAAAGGCTGCCTGTGCCGGGGTCTTGGGGACTCCCCTGTCCCAGAACAGTTGAGGTCGTTGAGTCCCCTCGTTGGCTTCCTTTCTTCACTTTCCTGGCATTTGCAAACCTTGTGACTTCAGGATGTCAGGACTTAATTTGGATGGGGGGGTAGGTGTGGCTACGGGGTCGGGGCTGGCGCTCAGGCCTCTTCGCTGCGGGTCCACCCTGCCAACTCGGGAGGTCCCCGTCCTCCTGGCCTCCTTGCTGGAGGGGGCAGGCTGGTCAGCGCAGCTCTGAGGCGCCGCGTCTCTTTCAGGTGCCGGTGAGTCCGGGAAGAGCACCATCGTCAAGCAGATGAAGTGAGTGCCCCTGCCTGTCCCGAGGCCCCTGGGTCTGGGTCCTTCCCCACTTCCCCACGAGGCGCTGATTCTGCTCTCCTCGGCCTCAGGATTATCCACCAGGACGGGTACTCGCTGGAAGAGTGCCTCGAGTTTATCGCCATCATCTACGGCAACACGTTGCAGTCCATCCTGGCCATCGTACGCGCCATGACCACACTCAACATCCAGTACGGAGACTCTGCACGCCAGGTGTGCCAGGAGGCGGGCTGAGCGGGCCTCTGGGGACTCGAGGCTCGCGGCTGGGCCCGAGTCCCTGGCCGCCACCAGCCACTCTCACCCTGCCCCCAGGACGACGCCCGGAAGCTGATGCACATGGCAGACACTATCGAGGAGGGCACGATGCCCAAGGAGATGTCGGACATCATCCAGCGGCTGTGGAAGGACTCCGGTATCCAGGCCTGTTTTGAGCGCGCCTCGGAGTACCAGCTCAACGACTCGGCGGGCTAGTGAGCGCGCGGGCAGCGCGGGGCGCGGGGCGCGGGGCGCAGGGGGCCCTCCACGCCTCCCCACCCACCTACGGCCGGGTCTCGCGCAGCTACCTCTCCGACCTGGAGCGCCTGGTAACCCCGGGCTACGTGCCCACCGAGCAGGACGTGCTGCGCTCGCGAGTCAAGACCACTGGCATCATCGAGACGCAGTTCTCCTTCAAGGATCTCAACTTCCGGTACGACCCATACGCTAGCCCAGGAGGTCACTGCCCCAGGCCCCGTCCTGCCCCGGGGACCCCATCCCTGCGATAGACCCTGCCCCTTCCCTGATACCCCGCCAGCAGAAAGGGTGGTAGTCCCGGCCGAGAGCTCCCCGACCAGCACAGGGCGAAGGGATGTTGCCTGTGGGGCCCGGGGCGCAGGTTCAGGCCCCCGCGGCCCCGCAGGATGTTCGATGTGGGCGGGCAGCGCTCGGAGCGCAAGAAGTGGATCCACTGCTTCGAGGGCGTGACCTGCATCATCTTCATCGCGGCGCTGAGCGCCTACGACATGGTGCTAGTGGAGGACGACGAAGTGGTGCGTGCCAGGCAGGGCCTGTGTTCCAGGGGGGCGAGGAGGAGCTGCTGGTCCCTGGAGGCGGAGACCGCGCGCTGGGCTGGGGGAGGGCACGGGAGGGGATGCCTGTCCCGGGCGGCCTGAGGAGGCCCGGAGGCGTTCAGCAGGCCCATCTGGGGCAGTGCGGGGAGCCCTCTGAGAGCCAGCTGAGCGGGAAGCCCCGCGTGCCCGGGAGCCCAGAGAGCAGGTGCTGCGGGTCGGACGCTACCCCGGGTGCCCAACAGCTGCTGCCCTCCTCAGAACCGCATGCACGAGAGCCTGCACCTGTTCAACAGCATCTGCAACCACCGCTACTTCGCCACGACGTCCATCGTGCTCTTCCTTAACAAGAAGGACGTCTTCTTCGAGAAGATCAAGAAGGCGCACCTCAGCATCTGTTTCCCGGACTACGATGGTGAGAAGTCCGCAAGGCCGCCAGGCGGCGCCCCCGCCCCACGATCGCGGCGCGCACCCCCCGCACGGGGAAGGAAGGGCTGAGCAGAGTGAGAGCTCCCGCCCCCGCAGGACCCAACACCTACGAGGACGCCGGCAACTACATCAAGGTGCAGTTCCTCGAGCTCAACATGCGGCGCGACGTGAAGGAGATCTATTCCCACATGACGTGCGCCACCGACACGCAGAACGTCAAATTTGTCTTCGACGCTGTCACCGACATCATCATCAAGGAGAACCTCAAAGACTGTGGCCTCTTCTGAGGTAGGTCGCTGCCCTCTCCAGGCTCTTGCCTCAATACCCCAGCCCCGTCCAGCTCCCCACCCCACACCACGGCCCTGGAGCCTCACCCCCAAATCCTGGAGCCTACTGCCTCCAGGCCCCACCCCAGCTCCTCAGGCTCCACCCCACCGACAGAGGCCCCGCCCCACCCCACAAGTCCCACCCATTGAATTTCTTTTGGCCCCGCCCCAAGACCTCAGGTGTCACAGCTTCCAGGGCCGCCCCACCACACACAATGCCTAAACCCATTTATTTTGGGTCTCAGGGATGCTGACTGGGTTTCCTTTTCACAGGTGCCTGAATTCATGCGTGTCAGTCACCCTGAGACCTGGTAGCCCTAGCTGCCTTGCAGCCCCAAACCCCAGGACCCTATCAGCCCCCTGGGACTCCCTGGCCCCAACCTGCCACCTCACCAAAGCTCTGAGCCCTGCTAGCCTTGAGGCGCGGACCCTCCCCCATACCTCCCACAGTATCCCAGCGCCTCATGCCCCCAACCCCAAGCCCTGCCCTTCACCGCCCGGCTGCACTGGCCTCTAGGACTCACAGCAGCCAGCCCCAGCTAGGAACGGGCAGGACTTGGGGCAGCTGAAGCTCACGGTGACTCAGCAGTGCCCAACTGACCAATCTCCCGCAGCTCTCCTGCCCCTGGGGGCCCACGACTCACCTGGTGGGCCTGGGCTCAGCAAACAGCCCTCCCTCCCAGTATTTCATCAAGGACAGGGAATATCCCTCCCACACACAGGCCAGCTGCTCACCCTGCCACCTCCATGTGACAAGTTTGACACCTGTCTACCCAGAGCCAGTGACTGTCCCTCCCAGCAGCCTCCAAAGGGTCCAAAGTCCAAGCTAGCTCTGGCCTGTGTGGCCCCCACATAAATAAATTAGTGGGGAGGGGGCAGACCTGGGGGCCCTTGGGTGCCAGAGTGAGACACAGCAGGACCCTTCCCCAAATACTAGGCTCAGAGCAACCTCCAGCCTTCTCCAGCAGGATCTGCTCCCTGTGTCCTTGGACAGCAGATCCACACACCACTTCCCCACCCACACACAGTACCCTGGGCTGGTTGGACAACAGGATGGTGTGTTAAGGGGTTAAGGGAGGGTACTGTTGACACCAGCTATGGCCAATAGCTGGGCTGTCCTGAGGGGTGGCTGGGGACAGAGTCCAGCTCCCTTGGATCAGCCCAGAGGATTCAGGATAGGACAAAGGCCCTGGCTGTGCCCAAAAGGGTCTACCTCAGGTGGGGTTACAAGCAAACCTGGGTGACCCTCTTGTCCCTACCAGCAGCTTCTCTTGCCCCTTCCATTCAGGGTTCCCTGGCAGGGGAAGCTGAGAGCCATGGCTGAACTATCAGGGACAAAGGCCCATGTCCCCACATCCCTGCTCCCTCCTTCCTCATCCAGCACCAAATCTTTGCTTATGTCCACAGGCCAGGGCCTGTGCTGCAGTCGGGGACAAGGAGCTTCCGTCTGGCAAGGCCGGGGCACAATTTGCACTCCCCTCAGCTAGACGCACAGACTCAGCAATAAACCTTTGCATCAGGCTCCAGCTGTCCTTTCTTGGTGGAGGACTTAATTATCACAAGTCATGGGCATTTATTAAGTGCCCAGTGCTGGGTTGGGCATGAAGTGGGAAGATGGCCCCTCCCAGGAAGAAGTACCTGGCCTGACAAGGTGGGGCACTCTTGGGGGTATGGGACCAACTCATGGCTTTTCACGGGAGTTGAGGAGAGAGGAGCTGTGGAAAATATTCACTGGGACAGTCTTGGATCAAGAGGGAGTTTTGAGGTGGAGGCTCATTCTGGCAGGGACCGTAGTGTCTACCAGCCCCAGAAACATGGGCTTATGGCCACAGGAGTTCAGTGGAGCAAGAGCAGGGGAGGAGAGACGTGGACAGGTGCCCAAAGCCAGTCGGAGGGCCTGGGCTTTCTCAGAAGGTGATGGAGAGTCTTGGAAGCCCTCGAGGCAGGAACATAATTGCAGGGCTGGGATTAGGGTGAGGGAAGTGAGGCACACTCACCTTGGGTGCAACATTTAAGGCGATGCCAAAAAATTTAGTAACCAAGGTAAATAATATTAGGATAATATTTTTAAAAATCAAATGAATGCAAAACCCCACAATGAATGAAATATCAAAATCCAACAGAGGATCAAACAGAGGCATGCTAAGATATATTGGGGCTTGAAGCAAAGGGAAAACTATTTGTTGCTATATGTTTGTAGGGATTTTTTGCCAGTTTTAAAAATACATGTATCATAAAGTTTACTATCTCAGCCACTTGCCGGTGTATAGTTTGGTGGTGTTAAGTACATTCATAATGTTGTACAACCACCGCAACTGTTCATCTCCAGAACTCCTTTCCTCTTGTAAAACTGTAACTCTGTACCCATGAAAAAATAACCCCCCATTCCTGCCTTCCCCCGGCTCCTGGCATCCACCATTCTACTTTCCATCTCTATGAATGTGACTGCTCTAAGTGCCTCAGATGTGTGGGTCCATGAAGTCTTTGTCTTTTTGCAACTGGCTTATTTCACTTAGCATCATGTCTTCAAGGTTTATTCATGTGTAGCATATGGCAGAATCTCCTTCCTTTTTAAGGTTGAATAATATTCCATTGTATATATTCCACACTTTGTTTATTTATTCATCTATTGATGAATGGTTACATCTGCCTTTTGGCTATTGTGAATAATGCTGCTATGAACATGGGTGTACAAATCTCTCTCCCAGCCTCTGTTTTTTATTATTTTGGGTGTATACCCAGAAATGGAACTGGCAAATCATATGGTGAATCTTTTTTTTTTTTTTTTTTTTTTGAGACAGAGTCTCTCTCTGTCGCCAGCCTGGAGTGCAGCGGCACAATTTCGGCTCCCTGCAACCTCCGCCTCCCAGGTTCAAGCAATTATCCTGCCTCAGTCTCCTGAGTAGCTGGGACTACAGGCACACGCCACCATGCCCAACTAATTTTTGTGTTTTTAGTAGAGACGGGGTTTCACCATGTTGTCCAGGATGGTCTCGATCTATCTCTTGATCTCAGGTGATCTGCCCACCTCGGCCTCCCAGAGTGCTGGGATTACAGGCGTGAGCCACTGCAACCGGCCTCATATGGTGAATCTATTTTTATTTTATTTATTTATTTATTTATTTATTTTGAGACGAAGTTTTGCTCTTGTTGCCCAGGCTGGAGTGGCAATGGCATGATCTCGGCTCACTGCAACCTCCTCCTTCCATGTTCAAGTGATTCTGCCTCAGCCTCCCAAGCAGCTAGGATTACAGGCATGTGCCACCACACCTGGCTAATTTTGTATTTTTAGTAGAGATGGGGTTTCACCATGTTGGTCAGGCTGGTCTCGAACTCCCAACCTCAGGTGATCCGCCTGCCTTGGTCTCCCAAAGTGCTGGGATTACAGGCGTGAGCCACTGCACCTGACCCCTTTTTTTGAAATGAAGTCTCACTCGGTCGCCCAGGCTGGAGTGCAGTGGCACGATCTCAGCTCACTGCAATCTCTGCCTCCCGGGTTCAAGTGATTCTCCTGCCTCAGTCTCCCAAGAAGCTGGGAGTATAGGCACCCACCACCATGCCTGGCTAATTTTTGTATTTAGTAGAGATGGGGTTTCACCATGTTGGCCAGGCTGGTCTTGAATTCCTGACCTCAAGTGATCTGCCCACCTCGGCCTCCCGAAGTGCTGGGATTACAGGTGTGAACCACTGCGCTCAGCCTACTTTTAATATTTTGAGGAACAGTTTTCCACAGCAGCTGTACCATTTTACATTCCCACCAACAGTGCACAGGTGGTCCCCCTTCCTCTACATATTTGTGAACTCTTGTTATTTTCTGGGTTTTGTTTTGTTTGAGATGGGGTCTCGCTCTGTTGCCCAGGCTGGAGTGCAGTGGCACAATCTCGGCTCTGCAACCTCTGCCTCCTGGGTTCAAGCAATTCTCCTGTCTCAGCCTCCCGAATAGCTAGGACTACAGCTGCATGCCAGCATGCCCGGCTAATTTTTTTTTTTTTTTTTTTGAGACGGAGTTTCATTCTTGTTGCCCAGGCTGGAGTGCAATGGTGTGATCTCAGCTCACTGCAACCTCCACCTCCTGGGTTCAAGCCATTCCCCTGCCTCAGCCTCCCAAGTAGCTGGGATTACAGGAATGCACCACCACATCTGGCTAATTTTGTATTTTTGGTAGAGACGGGGTTTCTCCATGTTGGTCAGGCTGGTCTCAAACTCCCGACCTCAAGTGATCCGCCCGCCTCGGTCTCCCAAAGTGCTGGGATTACAGGCATGAGCCACCGCACCTGACCTATTTTTCTTTTTTAATAGTAGTATCTCTTGGTAGTTTTGATTTGCATTTTCCTACTGCTTAGTGATGTTGAGAATCTTTTCCTGTGCTTATTGGCCATCTGTATATCTTCTTTGGAGAAATGCCTGTCCAAGTCCTTTGCCCATTTTTGAATTGAGTTATTTTAATGTTGTTGTTGAGTCTTAGAAGTTCTCTATATATTCTGGAGAATAATTCCTTATCAGAGATAGGATTTGCAAATTTTTTTCCCACTCCGTGGGTTGCCTTTTAAACTCATTTTATGTATTTTTAATGGTTAATTTTTTTCCAGAACATTAAATAGTTGAAAAAACTTGTAAAAGTAGGTATGTTAAAACTCACATTATTTTAAGCTTGAATATTTTATTTATAACTTAAACAGAATTTTTTTTTTTTGAGATGGAGTTTCACTCTTGTTGGCCAGGCTGGAGTGCAATGGCGTGATCTTGGCGCACAGCAACTTCTGCCTCCTGGGTTCAAGCGATTCTCCTGCCTCAGCCTCCTGAGTAGCTGGGATTACAGGCATGCACCACCACGCCCGGCTAATTTTGTAGTTTTAGTAGAGACCGGTTTTTTTCATGTTAGTCAGGCTAGTCTTGAACTCCCGACCTCAGGTGATCTGCCCGCCTCACCTCCCAAAGTGCTGAGATTGCAGGTGTGAGCCACTGTGCCCGGCCAGAATTTCTTATAATTCTATTTTCCTGGGTTTAATGGAGACAAAAATAACCAATACCATTTTCAAAATCTGCTTCTTGAAAAAATAATTATTAAAAGTTTTCATTAAGGCTGGACGTGGTGGCTCATGGCTGTAATCCCAGCACTTTGGGAGGCAGAGGGGGAAGAATCACCTGAGGTCTCGAGACCAGCCTGGCCAACATGGTGAAACACCATCTCTACTGAAAACACAAAAATTAGCTGGGCGTGGTGGCACATGCCTGTAGTCCCAGCTACTAGGGAGGCTGAGGCAGGAGAATTGCTGGAGCCAGGAGGCAGAGGTTGCAGTGAGATTGTGCCACTGCACTCCAGCCTGGGCGACAGAGGGAGACTGTCTAAAATATATATATATATATTTGGCCAGGTGCGGTGGCTCACGCCTGTAATCCCAGCACTTTGGGAGGCCAAGGCGGGCGGATCACGAGGTCAGGAGATCAAGACCATCCTGGCTAACACAGTGAAACCCCGTCTCTACTAAAAATACAAAAAATTAGCCAGGCGTGGTGGCGGGTGCCTGTGGTCCCAGCTACTTGGGAGGCTGAGGCAGGAGAATGGCGTGAACCCGGGAGGCGGAGCTTGCAGTGAGCCAAGATCGTGCCACTGCACTCCAGCCTGGGCGACAGAACAAGACTCCGTCTCAAAAAAAAAAAAAAAAGAAAAGAAAAAAGAAAAAAAGAAAAGAAAAAAGAAAGAAAAAAAAAGAAAAAATATATATATATTTTTTTCATTAAAACATGTATATAGGGGCACATATTTTTCCTGGAACCAGTGTGAGTGTGGAGGAGGAGAGGAGTGTGGCTCGGGTCCCCATGAGGCATAGGTTATGTCTCCGTTATCTGACAAAACCAAGGGCTACAAGGCAAGGGGCTCAGTGACAGGGGTTGGGGTCTGAGCGGTTGACCAAGCACAGGCAACGCCCCCACTAAGCCAGTATTGTGGAGGGGTGTTGGATGGGCTGAATTTGCAGGACCTGTAGTGCTTGGGGGAGATGTCCAGGAGGCCGACTGATACTCAGTGCTGGGCAGAAAGCTAAGTGTAGGCATCATCCTCAATGTCCAGGTGGTGGGGAGCTGTGAGCCTGTCGGAGGCTGGAAAGGGGAGCATGAGGGCACCCAGGCCTGAGCACAGGAAGAACACTGGTTGGGGTTGGGAGTCCAGTGCACATGTGGGCAGTGATATTGGTGCTGCTCAGAAGCCTGGGCATGGGGGCGATCTAGCCAGTGGTGCAAGACCCCTGCTGGGTGCTGTTGGCCTGGCTGAGCCAGGGCTGTTCATCTCTACTAAGGACCTGCTCCCCAAACAGTTTGCTAGAGTGAGGTGGGATGCGGGCAGTGACAGAAGGAGGTAGTGGGCATGGGATAGGAGGCCCTGAGGAGCTGGAAGTGTTAGGCTTGAGAGGGAGGAAGCTGTCAGGAGAGGTGACTTAGTGGGGTCTTCTGCACAGCCACCTTGTCTTGGCAGAAAGGTAAGGCGCTCCCCGGCATTCCTGGGCAAGGGACAGAAGAGCCCCAGCAACATGCAGGGGCTGGACCCTGCCCTCCAGGGGGTCCCGCCCCACATATGCTTCTGACCCTGGGGTCTGGGATTCAGGGTCGGTACTCCTGGATCCTGTGAGTTGGGGACGCTGCCTGGCCTCAAACTGCCCTGTCCATGGCCAGCAAGTGTGGAGGGGCCCTGAGTCTCCCAGCCTGAAACCTGCTTAGCTCTGCTCACCATACCAGTGTAATTACACGCTAAGGAGCAGGATCAATGGGTGCCTGATGCCTGATTCACAGTCCAGGGCAGAGGATCAGAGAGCACTGGCCCAGAGTCAGCACAGTGGCCACACCCCAGTCTTGTAGGTGGTGCATTTACTGTGGTCACCTCTAGCCACCACCATCCCTGCCTGGCCTGCAACCTCAAGGTGCCCCTGAGGGCCCCCACAGCCTTCAGCTCTGGCTCTGGCGGGACTAACCTGGCCCGGCCACCGACCAGAGATTAGACAAGACTGGTGGATGGTTAATGCCACTGACGTCAGGGCCTGGCCGGGTGGCCACTAGGGGTTTGGGCCCTCCCCTCAGGCAGTAGCATAGTCCATGTGACCAGGGTTCATTAAGCTGCTTCAGTGGCCAGAGAAGCTGGGGGCCAGATCTCAGGAGAGAGACAGCAGGCATGTCATGGCTGTGGGGGCCAGGCCTTAGCCACGAGGTCACCAGCTCTGGGGGCCCAGGCCGGGGAAGGGCTGGATAAGAGGGTTGCCTATGGGTCCCCTCCATACTTCTACACTGTGTTGTGATACTAAAGCCCTGTTCATGCCCAAAGAGGAGCCTCCCAGGCACCAAACAGCAGGGCATAGTCAGCAGCTAGGGTGTGGTAATAGACCCTGAGGTGTGGGGGTGAGAACCACCTTCTCCTGAGGATTTCAAACCCCTGATCATGAGCCCAGAAGGAGCGTGCTGCCCTGCACGCAACCCTCCGCCCACCAGGGCTAGCCCTACGTCCAGGCTCCTTTCCCTCTGGCCGAGCTCCTTTCTCCATCCACAGTGCCCTTCCCCTCCTGACCCTTGCTTGTGCCTTTCTTACCCTTCGCAGAGCAAGTCTGTGGGCTGCTTTGCCATCAGGCTCTCCTTGATTTGCGCCCTCCAACCTCGCAGGCATTTTCCCATCTAGACCACCTGGAGACAGCGCTTGGAGACACTAGGGCTGGGGCTGTGTGGGTGGGGTGACAAGAGCAGCAAGAGCAGTAAGTGTCGGACTAGCTGGCTCTTCACAGTGACTCAGGCAGGGTTCTCAGAGGTGCTCTATGAGGGTGATGAAGGACAAGTAGGAGTCTGCCAAGGAGGTGGAACAGGGTAGGGAACCTTCAGCCCTGGGAAGCACGAGGGCAGAGGCACAGGAGCATGAAAGCTAGCAAGTTCTGTGAACAGCAGGAACGTGTGCAGCGTGGCCAGCCAAGCCCGGGGGAGGTGAAGAGGCTTGCTGGGAGCAGGTGGGCGGATATGAGGGAGGCCAGCCAGGTGTGGGGGCAGGAGCTGCAGGGGGTCTGAGGAGTCAGGGGACACAGATCCTGGGCTCTGGAAGGGCTAGGTTGGAGGCGAAGATGGGGCATTGCTGTTGGAGATGGTCTTGGGGCACTGTGTGGATAGCATGTTAGCAGAGGTGGTGGCATGGTGAGAAGAGGCAGCCTAGCTAGAGGCTGAGAGTTCATGACTAGAAAGGAAGAAGGAGAGCCAAGGGCTATTGGGGCCCTGGAAGGAGGATCTGAGCGGTCCTGGAGCCCTGAGCTCTGCTGCATGGGTCTGGCAGTCTTTCAGGCCTGGGTTTACGTTTTCAGAGATGGGGCAGTGGAGGCGGAGGCTGGGCTGAAGCTTGGGATAAAGCTTCCCCCATTCTCCATCCCAAGGGGCCGCCTGCAACTCTGTGGTTGCTTGGATGGACATTCCCTCTAGCCTCTGGAAGAAGGCGACCGGCAGCTCTCAGAGCCACATCCTAGCTGTCCAGCTGTCCGGTCACCACAGGCTGGGCTGGGAGATTCGGCAGGTGGTGGGAAAGGCCTCCGAGCTGTGTTTGCCCTGGCTGGGGCCCAGGCCTAGCAACAACAAACAGTCAGCCCCTCCCCCAGCCTGGCCACAACTGGTCTGACCCAGGGACCCCACATCATACCCTCCTCTGGGCCTCCCACAGCAGCCCAGCCCAGTCAGCCCCTGCTTCCTCCAGTCTAGATTGAGGACCCCAACACCCATATCCCAGGTGACCTTGAGCCAGCCCTGGCCCCTCAAGAACTGCCAGTGGGAGCCACCAGCCCTTTGCAGATAGCTCCTGTGAGCATCCAGGGTGTCTGCAAGTGGGAGGTTGAGGGGTGGGAGGCAGGCCTGAGACCCTCGTCAGCACCTCTTCTATATGGCTGTCCCATGGCAGAACCATGCCCATTTGGAGGGTGGGAGTCAAAGTGAGCTCTGATCTAAGGATGATATCAGCCCCAGACCAGGAGTGAAAGGCAGCCCTTTCCCATTTTCCAGCCACCAGCAAGGCAGAAGTTCGAGTGGCTTGAGGTTTTCAGGGGTTGCCACCATCCCAATGCCTTTCTCTCTAGCCCTGCCAGCCAGAGCTGAGTCCCCTGCCCGGTCTCACAGCTTCCCCTCCACTCATTCCCCTCAGGAGAAAAGACAGCCATTTCCATGTCACAGAGGGAAACCAAGGTACGCCAGGGCTTGGCTGTGGTGGTTCTGTGAGTCAGCAGGAGAAAATCCTGGAGTCCTGACTCCCAGCCCAGGGCAGGGGAGGGTCGGGTATGTCCTCTCAGGGCATTCCCCCCGCACTGGGAAGTGGGGCAGGCATGACACAGAGAAGACCAGCTTGAATAGGAACAGCAGAGGCCATGAGATTAATCGGATCAGAGCCAGTGACTGAGAAGCAAGGGGCACAGCTGTTCTGAGAACCCCCCCACTTCACCCCGAAGGTCAGCATCTCCCCCAGCTTCCTACTGGTGGAACCTGGGACCTTAACACCCACCACCCGTCTCTGAGCACCAAGGGCCTGTGTGGAAAGCAGGCAGGGGTGGGATAAGGAGCCCCCAGCCAAGAACGGGGCCATCCTAAAACCCCTGTCTGTCCCCAGGACACCAAGTCCCAGCCCCCTTCTTGTGGACAGGCTGACAGCTGTCTCCTACACCTTCTAAATAAGGACGGGGGTCATGGTCGGGGGGCCCCAGGTGAGGCTCAAGCAAGCCAAGCCTTACTCCTTGCCTGACCTCACTGCCCCTGCCCTCTGTGTTCCAGCCTCAGCCTCCTCTGAATATCTGGGGTGGAGACAGAATTGATATAAGAAGCCCTCCCACCCTCGCCCCCACCCCACCCCTGGTTGGGAAGGGGGAGGCAGGTAGAAGAGGTATTTTGTTGCCTGAGTGTCGCCTGAAAGTCCCCCATTCAAGCATCTCTCACTGAGGCTATGCATTGCCAGTCCTCTTGGCGGAAGCTCCCCTTCTGGCTTTGGGGGGTGTGGGCAAAGCATTTCAGGGGTTAATGTGACACCCACAGACCTCAGAGAGAATCTGCTTTGGACTGAAGCATTCCCCCCACAAGACTCAACGGAGTCCCTCTGGCAGCTCTGCTCTCCCACCTAGGGGCTCCCTAACGCTCAGGCCGCCCCTTTGCTCCCGGCCTGCCCCGGCCCCCGCCATTCCCCCGACCAGCCCCTCCTCCCGCGGGCCGCCAGGGATTGGCGGGCGGGGGGCGGGCCGGGGGCGGGGCCGGGCGCCCTTCATCCCGCGTCGCTGTTGTCGCTGTTGCAGCCGAGTTCAGCCGGGAGCAGAGCGAACCGCACCGGCCCGAGCGGAGCGCCGCACGTTCCCAACCGCGAGGCCAGGTACCGCTTCGGGAGTTCATCCCACCCGCACAGGGGAATCGGGTGGGCCGAGCCCTACTGTCCACCCTCCTGTCCGTAGCCGGGCTCTGGGCAGCTCTCCTCTACCGTCCTGACCCGGGCAGGCGCCCCAGCCTCCGGCGAGCCAAAGCCCCGCGCGCTCCAGGCGCTGGTCTTGGGGACCTGCCAGTCGGGACTCAGCGCCGAGCTTAAGCAGGGCCCTGGGGGTACCGGGAGGGACACGTCGTCGCCTTAGGGCCTCTCGGCGGGGCTGCGAGGTACAGCAGGAGGTCGGCGGCACCCGGGGCTGGGACCACAGGACGCCTTGTTGGGGGCTCGGGCGGCACACCACAGGCTTCCTGAGGCAGGGCCCATGGGGCAGGCTGGAGAGGGCCCGAGGGGAGGACCCAAGAGGGGCCTGGAGCAGTCCCTGGAGCGCTGCCCCGACGGGCGCCTGACAGGCAGAGCAGCCCGGCTGGCACGATGGGAATCCGGGTATATTTATCTCGGCTGCTCCGGACAAGGGCTTGAGGGCAGATCGGGCCGGGCCGCCTGAGGGGCCGCGGGGTACATGCTGGTCCCAGAGCCGGTGCCATTTGCAGAGGAGCCAGCGGGCACAGCGGGCGCAGGGCGCGAGTGGCTCCCTGACCTGAGGCCGGGGCGCCGTGCGAGCTCCTCCCCACCTGGCGCTGGGTAGGGTGTAAGTTAGAGCCCGCGCAGCGCACGGCGGAGAGAAGGAACCAAGACTTGGTTTGCAAGAGCCCGCCCCCGCCCGGTTGGCCCCTTCGATTGGCCACAGCAAATGCGTGCGTTTGTTTACACCCAGGCAGGGGGAGGCCAGGGGAGGGACCTGCGGGGACCCGCCCTTTTCCCCCCACGGGGACCTGAGTCCTGAGTCCAGGTATGGGCTCTCAAACAGGTCTGAGAAAGGCTAAGTCAAAGGCTCTTGAGCCCTGAGGAACACCATGGAGGACTTCCCCACTCATGCCCATCCTTCCTTCAGCCTGCCAACCCTGTCCTTTCTTCCATGACCGACTCTGGCCACAGAGCTGCCCCTGGAAAAGGCCCTTGGACCTTTCACCCCTTCCTGTTCTGTTCTGTAAAAGGTCTGGGATGGGGCTCATTTCCTTCTGGAAAGGAAGCACATCCCTCGGGGCTCTCAGTCTGGGGGATAGAAAGCTAAAGAGACCCAAAGATGGTTCCATTTTGAATGGGGGAAATTCGGCACAGCCACGGTACCCTTCCTGCAAGAAGCATCACTGACGGGAGGGATCAGGACTGGAAGAGGCCAAGCCTGGCACGTCTCTGAGAGGGCTGGAATGACTGAAACCAGAAATGGGAATCTGATTTCTTGACATTGGGAGCAGGGGGCTGAATCTCTGGGGAGGGTAGGAGTCTGTATCTCAGAATTTTGTTCTGCCTGGGCCCATGGGACCCATGTCTTCGCTGGCTTCTCAAGCCACTCCTTGTTGTGTGCTGGTTTTTTTGGCCCATGTCACAAATGGTCCCCACACCAGTCCAGGGCTCCAGGTTGCCAGATCATGACAACTGGTTGCTCCTGTCCTTGTGCCACTGCCCTAGCAAGTAGCCTTGAAGCCCTGGACAGTTGGAGAAACTGAGGCACAACAAGACTGGCTGGGTGGTTCATGGTCTCTGGGTTGAGTCAGAGAAGGATTTTAAGCTGAACTGGACACACCCTGGAAGTCTGGGCTGGGTGTGAGGACAAGCATCCAGTTTGAGAGGGAAACATATTTGGAGGGGAGTGGTGTGGGGTGGGCCACCAGGGAGGTGCAGTTTTGGTGTCTCTGTGAACAGAAAGCTGAGGTGGAATGTGCAGTCTATGCTATAGTAGAATTGGGACCCAGTGGGAGGATGTTTTAGTGTAGACATGGCCAGGGGCCAGGCCTCACTTGGAGCAGGTAAGAGGGCTTGCCGAGGGCCTCAAATGCATTCCATTCGTTTATTTTTTTTATTTTTTTCATTTTTTGAGGTGGGGTCTCACTCTGTTGCCCAAGCTGGAGTGCAGTGGCACAATCTCGCCTCACTGCAACCGCCGCCTCCCAGGCCCAAGCAATTCTCCCACCTCAGCCTTCTGAGTAGCCAGGACCGCAAGTGTGCAACATCAAGCCTGGGTAATTTTTTTTGTATTTTTGGTAGAGACAGGGTTTCATCATGTTGTCCAGACTGGTCTCGGACTCCTGACCTCAAGCAGTCTGCCTGCCTTGGCCTCCCAAAGTGCTGGAATTACAAGTCTAAGCCACCGCGCCCGGCCATTCCATTCATTTAACATTTGCTGAGCACCTACTGTGTGCCCGGGGTACACTCTTGTCTAGTGGGTGAAGGGTAGGCCTTTGACTCTGGGTGGTAGGACAGACATAGGAGAACAGGGTGGGGCTCTAGAGGACCAGGCGGGGCTTCTGGGGGCCAAAGGGAAGGACCAGCTGCTGGGCAGGAGGGGCTTTCCGGCCAGTGGCCTGGGGTGGCTTGGTTTTGAATTTCCGCTCTGCGGGCCACGTCCTGTACACAGCCTCTCAGCCAGCACGTCTGCACACGTGCATGGCTGCTGGGAATGGGGGTCACTCCGACTGACCATCATCTCCACATGTATTTTCCATTGCTCAGGTAGACAAGTCCTGGGTGCTGGACCAGGGATATCTGAGCTTTCCAGTTGGGCCTGGCCTTGTGGCCCTAGTGGGCTCAGCCCCAGCCTCTGGGTGTCATAGCACCTGGTTGGTAGGGGCATAACCTGCTCTGTGGGGACCTGGAGGTGCAGCAGCCTTTTTGTGGGGTCCTCCAGGGTTCTGCCTGGCCATCTTGGCAGTGCCCATTGGGCCTACTGCCCCCTCAGCTGGGCCCCCTGGCTCCCTCTCCCCTTCTCGCTCTTTCTGGGGCTCTCTTTTTCTTCAGCTTTCTCTCTTTTTTTTTTTTTTTTTTTGAGATAGGGTCTCGCTGTGTTACCCAGGCTGGAGTGCAGCGGCGTGATCTTGGTTCACTGTAGCCTCTGCCTCCCAGGTTCAAGCAGTTCTCCTGCCTCAGCCTCCCGAGTAGCTGGGATTACAGGCACCTGCCACCATGCCTGGATAATTTTTGTATTTTTAGTAGAGATGGGGTTTCACCATGTTGGCCAGGCTGGTCTCAAACTCCTGGGCTCAGGTGATCTGCCCGCCTCGGCCTCCCAAAGTGCTGGGATTACAGGCGTGAGCCACCATGCCCGGCCTTACAGCTGTCTCTTGCTGTCTTGTTGTCTGTCTCTTCCTCCATTTGGCTGTCTCTGACTGGGTGCTCACTCTGTTTCTCACCTCCCTGGTTGTTTCTGTCGCTGTCTGTCTCCTGTCTAAATGTCTGTCCGCTATCTGCATGTGGTTTTTGTCTGTGTGTTTTTCTGTCTGTGTCCCTCTGTGTGCATCTGCATTTCCCTGTCACCCTGGGCCGCTGCATCTCTGTCTGTCTGTCTCTGTGTGTGGATCAGTATGCATGGACGCATGGAGCTAATGACTGTGTTTTCTCTCCCTGCTCTGTCCCTGTCTATCTCTCTTCCCTCCCTCTGCCTTTTCTTCCTGATGTTGGATGTCTCCCCTCCTCCAGGCCGACCTTGACTTTAGCCCCCCATCGGACTCTCTGATGAGTCCTGAACTGCCCGAGGCCTGTGCTTCAGCTTGCTTTGGGGCCAGAAGTCCGGCTGTCTAAATATTTGGCCGCCTCCAGGGGATTCCGGGTCAGCAGGGAGGAGAATGGGCTGGCTGGCGCAGGGTCTCCCCTGCCCCTGGGGGGCCACAGTCACGTGATGTCCTGTCCTTTGCCTCAGCTGGGCCTCCGGCTGCACGTCCTTCTCAGCAGGCTGGCAATGGGTGAGGTGGGGGCTGCTGTTGCTCTAGCCCACTCGTGAACCAAGAGCTTCTGACTGCAACCTCTATGGGTGGCAGCCTGAGCAAGGAGGGTCCAGGGCTGGGTGGGAAGGGAGGCTGAGGTGCCTAAGGTTAGGCCCAGCTACAAGCATCTGTTAGAAAACGTACCTGGCCATGGCCGGGCGCAGTGGCTCAAGCCTGTAATCCCAGCACTTTGGGAGGCCAAGGTGGGTGGATCACGAGGTCAGGAGATCGAGACCATCCTGGCTAACATGGTGAAACCCCGTCTCTACTAAAAAATACAAAAAATTAGCTGGGCGTGGTGGCGGGCGCCTGTAGTCCCAGCTACTCGGGAAGCTGAGGCAGGAGAAAGGTGTGAACCCAGGAGGCGGAGGTTGCAGTGAGCCGAGATCACGCCACTGCACTCCAGCCTGGGTGACAGAGCAAGACTCCGTCTCAAAAAAAAAAAACAAGAAAAAAAAAGAAAATGTACCCGGCCACAGGAAAGTCTACCTTCCGGCCCCAGCTGGGTCTCTCAGATCCTCCTAGACACCTCCGGATGCCCAGAACACAGAGCCACAGACCCTAGATCCCAAGGCCAGGGAGCTGGGGGCTGAGGATTAACATGGCCGGTAGTTCAGTTCTCTGGGCCATCTGCCTTCCCCTGGATATGCCCCCGCCTGCATGTCACTTCTTCAGTATTAGCCCAGTGTTGGCCACACACTGGCCACTTGCACTGTTGTGTTGTTGATGAGGAGGACATGAAAACATGGGTCTAGAGGAGGGTAAGAGGTGTCTTTTCCCTGTTCTAACACCCTCCTCCCACCTGCTTTGTCCCTAGACCCCTGACCCCAGCAATCAGCTACCACCAATTCCTATGGCTGTGCCTTGAGAACATGCAGTCCAAATGTCTCCATTGGATCTGGTTTCCCCCCTTACTAACACCTTCTCCTAGTAGGGGGCATCTTCCCTCTGAAGCCTGGAGGAGCAGGTGGACAGAGGGGTAGCTGTCCAGATGGGTACCAGACTTAGGAGGGGGGCACCCTGTCTCAGCCAAGGAGGGGAGTGGTAAAAATGAGCTGAGCTGGAACTGGGGGCAGCCCTCACCCCTGAGCCCCCAGGGATAATCACGATGGACCCTCAAGCCAGGCCAGCTGTCTCTCTCCTGAGATCTTGGCGGAGGTCAGGTAGCCTGGGCCTCAGCAATAAGCTCCAGAGGGTCTGTGCCTCCACTGGTGCAAGTCGTCACCAAGGTAAAAAGAGTGCGAAGGCCTCCCTGTCACCAGCTCACTACTGCCGACCCAGACCCACTTATGTTCCTGAGCATGGGGAAGGAAAGCAAGGCTCAGAGTCCTGGGGACTCCAAGGACCTTGATCCCTGGGCAGAGAGCTGTGCTTCCTGTAGCTGCTTGCATCAGCCGCCCTGAAGTGGCCTGGGTTCCTGGGGCTCAAAATCTTTAATTAGCCAAACTCAACACCTGCCGAGGTGTGCCTGATGAATTCTCACCAGGTGATGTTCGCGTGGGCGGGCGTTACCTGCTGCGCCATCCCTGTGGCTCCTGGCCCCTCCTGGCCCTTATCTCCCAGGAAAACAAACAGGTCCCAGGGCAATGGCCTGGGCCATTGATTTACTGCCCGGGTTCACACTACATCCATGACAGATGCCATTCTGATGACCTGCCCAAGGCCACCGTGATCTCCCCACCCTAGCTCCTGGCCACTCTCTGGGCACCCATGGACTGTTCTGGGGATGAAGGCTTTGGGGAGGCTCCTCACTCATCCCCAGCTTTGACCAAGCCTCACGGGACCCCTAGAGGACAGGGATACACTGAGGTCCTGAGCTGGGGAGTACCCTGCCCCTGGCCACACAGTGAGGCAGGGCCAAGCCCAGCCCTAGAGGGTCTACTCTGGGCTTTCACCACAGGGGATCAGGCTCTGCTGGCAGCCTTTCTTATGCAGGAGCCCTTCCCTGAGTTTACCCCGATTCCGATTCCCGGATACAAAGGAGCCTGGGAGGCCACAGGCCTGAGGGGTAGGAGCTGTCAAAAATGGGCTGGCAGCCTCAGGGAATGGCTGGGGGCTCCATGCCAGGCCAGTGCTAATCCTCACCCTGGCCCCCAGCCCCCAGCCCTCCTCCCTGCCCTGGACCAAAGTCCAGACTCCTAGACCTGGCCTTTACAGCTGTATCAGGTTTGTCTGTTGCCACAGAACCTTCCTTCAACGCTTACAGCTTGCCTCGTACTGCACCTCAGGGCCTCTGCCTATGCTGTGCTCTCTGCCTGGTACACTCTTTCCTGTTTGACACCCCAGGGTGCCTACTGGAATTTTAGTACTGGCTTCGCACCTCCTCCAGGAAGTCTTCCTTGATGCCCCCATCCTTTTTTTTTTTTTTTTTTTTTTTTTTTCTTTTTTTTTGAGATGGAGTTTGGCTCTTGTTGCCCAGGCTGGAGTGCAATGGCGCAATCTCAGCTCACTGCAACCTCCACCTCCTGGGTTCAAGCAATTCTCCTGCCTCAGCCTCCTGCGTAGCTGGGATTACAGGCATGCGCCACCAGCCCGGCTAATTTTGTATTTTTAGTAGAGATGGGGTTTTTCCATGTTGGTCAGGCTAGTCTCAAACTCCTGACCTCAGGTGATCCTGCTCTCCTCGGCCTCCCAAAGTGCTGGTATTACAGGCGTGAGCCACTGCGCCCGGCACCCCCATCCTCTTTTTTGAGACCCAGCATTATGTGGCTCACACTCAGTTGCAGCAGGAGCTATAGAGTAGTGATGAGGGTGCTATCTGGGGGGATTTGTCTCTTCCAGGCTGGAGGTCACTTAAGGAGAGATATTCTAAATCCTTTCTGGGATCTCAGGCCTGCCCAAGACCCAGCAATGACTGATCATGATTGAGTAATAGCTACCAGGCCCCAAAGGTCTAGGCCCAGCTACTGCAGGGGGGATGGGGAATCTGGAGCTCAGACCTCAGACACCTCCCACGGCCCATGCCACAGACTGTGGTCTCCCTGGAGGCAGTGCCTGGCTGCTACAGAAGGATATTAGGGCAGAGAAGGGTGTTTTGTCCAGACTGCCAGCTCAGCACACTCTGAGGGCCTGTCCCAGCCTGCCCAGGGCAGGGGGCCGAGAGAGGGCACCCCCAGCTGAGTGCAGGGGGGACTCTGGAGTAGCTCTGGACGCCAGCACTGGCACCTCTATACCCAGGTGGGACACTTGGAGGGATGCTGATGGCAAGGCTTAGGGCAGGGGCATGAGGACATGTGGACCTAGGCAACCCTGGGGTCAGGGGAGAAGGCTCAATAAGAGATGCTAACATTGTTATAGTCCCGAGTAGGTGGGTCTGGGAGGAGAGGAGGTAAGATGCTTGCATCAGAAGGAGAGGCAGGTTTGAGGGATGCAAGAGTGCCATGTGTGGGGTCTCCAGGATCCAGGTGCCAGAATCTGAACTCTGGCCTGGGGCTGCCTGGGGCAGTGCAGGGAGGGAGTCCTCTGACCAGAGAGGCCAGAGGCTGCTGTGACCTCTGCTGCCTCCAGGGGCACCAGGCCTGAGGCCTGAGCCCAGCCTCTCTTGTTCACCCCTAGCCCTGAGTGCTACGTTTGAGTTCCCCAGTGCTCCAGATTCAAGGGCAGACCTGAGACCATCAGGGGCCGGAGTGGGGATGGGGGGTTCAGGGCAGAATTCAGGGTTCTCCATCAGAGAGGGCACCACGGATTCAGGACCAGGTTCTGGCTGTCCTGCCTGGCAGGGCTGCCCCCCTCACTGGTCTCCACTCTGGCCTCAGCTCTCCTCCTGGCCAGGCTGGCCTTCAGGGTGTCCTTACAGAACCTGGGGGCACTATGCCCAGCCACCTCTGGTTATGAGGTAGGCAATTCCTGGACCCAGTGATGGGAGAGAGGGGCCAGTGAGTTGTCTGGGCAGCGGGCAGGGGTGGTGGAGGAAGGAGAGCTGGTTCCTTTGAGGCCCAGCAGGGCCAAGCCCTGAGAGCAGAGAAGGGAGACTGATCTGGTGACCCAGGCTCCTCTACAGCCGGCCAAGGGCCTGAGCTCCTGGCCTGGGGCCCTAGGAAATGGGGGTCTGTTCAAAGGGTCCACTCCTGGACAGCGGGCCCCTGAGGGTTGGGGGTTCCCTGCCTGGCAGTGGAGGAGAGGCTTGGAAAAAAACATGGCCCTGAGGCCAGGACTGTGTGGAGGGTGAGGTGTGTGTGGCACAGAGAACTGGCCCTGGAGCACCCGTTTCCTGGAAGGCCCCCTGAGGGCCCTTTGCTGCAGCCAGGCGGGAAGGGCCCAGGTGTCCAGCCACCCAGCACCGCCTCAGGCATCCTGGCTCTGGGGAGGGGGGACAGCCTCTGCGCCTGCCGTTCCCAGCGCCAGCTCTCAGCCCACAGAGGGCTCTTTGTTCTGGCTGCCAGCAGTGCCCGCCGGGCGGCTGGGAACAGGGCCCACAGCCCTCACCCTCTCCCGAGGCCTCCAGCCGTCGGGCAGTGCCATTCTAGGTTGGGCAGGAGGCCCCTGGACACAGGGCCAGTGCAGGAAACCATCTCCCACTATTGATGTCAAGGAGGAGAAGTCTGTCCTGGGTACATACCCAGAGTGAAGTCTGGGGGCCTGGGACTGAGCATCTGGGGATGCTGGTGCCACTGGGCTCTGAACTCGGGTCATCCAGATGACCGTCACTTCACAGATGGTGAAACCGAGACCCTAAGGGCTTGCCTGGACGGGTGTGCATGTAAGAAGTGCATTATGTACTGGCTAGGGTGTCCCATCAGAACGTCCTAGGAACTCAGGTGTCTGAGCTGGATTCCCCCAACAGCAGATCCCAGGGAGGCAGTAGGCAGAGCTGCATGTGTGGATATGCCCCGAGTGACCATCTGGGAGGTGTGCTATGGCTGCAGGCCTCAGGTAGGAGGCTAGGCCGTAGGCCCAAGTAACGGGGCTAACCAGAGGGACCGGCTGCTCTGCAGACATCTGACTGTTGGTGTGAGACCAGTGCTCCTGGTGGTGTGCCCTGAGCCATGGAGGCGCCTTTGCAGACAGAGATGGTGGAGCTGGTGCCCAATGGCAAACACTCAGAGGGGCTGCTCCCGGTCATCACCCCCATGGCAGGCAACCAGAGGTGAGTACCAGAGGGACCCAGTGGTGGCTGAAGACAGGGCAGGGCAGGGATACAGAGCAAAGGGCTGGAGCTGAGCCACCCACCCTGACCTGTGCCTACAGGGTCGAGGACCCTGCACGGAGCTGTATGGAGGGCAAGAGCTTCCTACAGAAAAGTCCCAGCAAGGAGCCACACTTCACTGACGTGAGCAGGGCAGCAACGGGTTTTAGGGGACACTGTGGGGAGCTTGGATGCAGTAATGAGGTGGTCTCTGGCAGCAGTGGGAGGCTGAGGGACAGTCAGGGGAAGGCTGCGATGCCCCTGTCCCTTGCTGACTCCTCCCACCCTCCCCGTCCCATTCTGGTGCCTGCAGTTCGAGGGGAAGACATCATTCGGGATGTCAGTGTTCAACCTCAGCAATGCCATCATGGGCAGCGGCATCCTGGGACTCGCCTATGCCATGGCCAATACGGGCATTATCCTTTTCCTGTGAGTGCCCTCAGAGAAACTTCTAAAGATAGGGGCCCTAAGCAAGCCACCAATCATGACCTCCCAGGACCCGCCAGTTCCCTGTCCCAGCATCCAGGCTGCAGTGGGTGGGCACTTCTTACACTAACAAACCGCGGCTGAAAAAAACATCCACAGCCAAACAAATATACCTCACTGCCCAGTAAACCGACTGAGGTCACAACACAGGCCGGTCTTACAGGCCAGAGACTGTCCTTTTGGCACCTTACACGTGATGGCCAAGCCCCACGGCCAGGCCTTGTGTGGGCACACGTGTCCTTTGGCTGGGGGCTCTGCCCTGAAGCCAGAATGGAAAACATGTTTGTTTCAAGGACTCAAGAGGAGGACGTGCTCAGAGGGCAGTCACAGGGACACTCTTGACCCAGAGGGCCCCTTCTGGGGTGTGTCGCACCCTGGATCAAAGGGGGTGGTGTTCATCACCCCTGGGGCCTGCTGAGCTGGCATCCATACCTGTTGGGAGTCCAGACACCCAGGTCACAGACCCTCCACCCCCAGGCCTCCCAGAGCCCCTCACCCTCTGCCAGCCACGGTAGCCCCCCAGTGGCCTCTTTTTCTTCCATCTTCCCATGTGTCCCCAGGTTCCTGTTGACAGCTGTCGCCTTGCTCTCCAGCTACTCCATCCACCTGCTACTCAAGTCCTCAGGGGTCGTGGGTGAGCCTCACACCAGCCTGGAATGGGCGGGAGCTGGTGGGTAAACTGGGACAAGCTCCTGACTTCTTGACCCTGCTCCTGCAGGCATCCGTGCCTATGAGCAGCTGGGCTACCGTGCCTTTGGGACCCCAGGAAAGCTGGCAGCAGCCCTGGCCATCACGCTCCAGAACATCGGAGGTAAGAGCAGTGGGCAGGGGCAGGCAGTAGGGAGGTGGACAGCCCTGAAAGCTGGCTGGTTGGGCTGACCTCAGCGCCTGCCTGCCCGCCCCTCTCCCCACAGCCATGTCCAGCTACCTGTACATCATCAAGTCTGAGCTGCCACTTGTCATACAGACCTTCCTGAACCTGGAGGAGAAAACCTCGTGAGCCCTGGCGTGGGGAGGGGAGGGGAGGGGTGCGGTGCAGTGAGGAGGGGTGGGGTGGGGTGGGGCTGGGTGAGGGTGGGGGGGCCCAGGCTGGGCTGGTGGGAGAGACAAGACAAAGCAGACAAGAAGCTGGTGGAGTGGGGAGAGTTGCCCGCAGAGCCAGCATTCAGTTCACACTCACTTGGGAAGCACCTTGGAGACCCCCCTCCAGAAGGGGCTTGTGGGGCTAGGGGCAGGGTGCAGCTGAGGAAGCTGGGCCTCTCCTCACCCCGGACCCAGCCTGTGAGCGTGGGAGGCTCAGGCTTAGCTCTAAGCGCCTGCTATTCCTGACCATGGGGTTGCCCCCCCCAACCAAGATATTAAGCCCAGGTGTCCCAGTTGCCTATCACTTTAGCCAGCATTGACTGGGCATCAAACGTGTTTTGTGGGACAGAGGGGACACAGCCAGGCCCTGCTCTTGACAGCCCAGCCCGAGCAAGCAGAGGGGCTGGGAGGCTGAGAGTAGCTCCGGCAAGAGGGAGAGCCAGGATTCTGCCGCTGGGGCCCTGGGCCTTTCCCAAGGAGTTGGCCTCAGGGCTTGCCTTTGAGGATGGTCCTGGCCCTTATCCCCTTGTTTCTCTGTGCCCCGTATCCATTCCTGGTGGGTAGAGGAGGGGGCCGGATGAGGCAAGGCCCAGATGCCAGAAGGAACCGCAAGGAGCACAGGTTATTGCAAGTGCCAGAAACCCCCGTGGAAAATACCACCTCCCTCTAGAACCAGGTCCCTCTTCCTCCTCCCACCCACCTCCATCCAAAGGCTGGGCCCAGACCTGTGTATCCTGAGAAAAGCAACAGCAGTGCCTACAATAGAGAGGGTCCTGAGCATGAGCTGTGTGCCAGGCTGGAACCTTAGTTCTCATGTCACCCTGAAGGACAGTACTGAAGGCACGCCCTTTGTTTTGTTTTGTTTTGTTTTGTTTTGTTTGTGAGACGGAGTCTCGCTCAGTCGCCCAGGCTGGAGTACAGTGGCACAATCTTGGCTCACTGCAACCTCTGCCTCCCGGGTTCTTGTGATTCTCCTGCCTCAGTCTCCTGAGTAGCTGAGATTATAGGCGTGTGCCACCATGCCCGGCTAATTTTTTTGTATTTTTAGTAGAGATGGGGTTTCACCATGTTGGTCAGGCTGGTCTCGAACTCCTGACCTGATGATCCACCCACCTCAGCCTCCCAAAGTGCTGGGATTACAGGCGTGAACCACCGCGCCCAGCTGGGCATGCCCATTTTGCAGATGGGGAAAGTGAGACTCAGAGCTGTGGACAAACATTCTTCAGATGTCACTCAGTGGCACCATTGGTAACTCCAGCAGAGGGAGGCAGGGGCCCCATCCCAGGCTGAATGGATTCTGACCCTGGCTCCCGACTCATGTCCCTGCAGGGACTGGTACATGAACGGGAACTACCTGGTAATCCTTGTCTCTGTCACCATCATTCTGCCCCTGGCACTGATGCGGCAGCTTGGTGAGTGTGGAAGGGTCAGAGCCTTGGAGGGGATGTTGGAGGCATACACCATGGGAGGGGCCCCAGGTCTCAGAGTGCTCCCTCCACTTTGCAGGCTACCTGGGCTACTCCAGCGGCTTCTCTCTTAGCTGCATGGTGTTCTTCCTAATTGCAGTGAGTCACCCTCCATGTTGGCTGAGAAAGCGGGCAGCGGGTCTCCTGGGGGAGTTCCCTGTCATCAGGAGGGGGCAGGTGTCTCTGGGAAGCCTGGGCCAGAAGGCAGCTCCACCAGTCCTGATCTAGATGTGGCTTCATGGTGACTTCCCAGGCAGTCCAGCCTGGGAGTCTCTGACACCCTCATCCCTCCCCACTCCAGGTCATCTACAAAAAGTTCCACGTGCCCTGCCCACTGCCCCCCAACTTCAACAACACCACAGGCAACTTCAGCCACGTGGAGATCGTGAAGGAGAAGGTGCAGCTGCAGGTCGAGCCTGAGGCTTCAGCCTTCTGCACTCCCAGCTACTTCACGCTCAACTCACAGGTTCTGACAGGTCAGGGCAAGGCGGGGGCCCAATGAGAGTGGCAGACTGCCTTGACACAGCCCCGTGTTTCCCCAGACAGCATACACCATCCCCATCATGGCCTTCGCCTTCGTCTGCCACCCCGAGGTGCTGCCCATCTATACTGAGCTCAAGGAGTAGGTGTCTGTGGCTGGGAGTGGGGGTGGGGATGCCCTGAGCTGGTTTGGGGAGAATGGATGTGGTCCTGAATGTGGAGAGGGGAGTGACAGGAGCCAAGTCACTTTATCTGAGATGTCCTTGGCAGCCATGAGAGGTGATTATGAGCAAGAAGGAGACTCCCTCAGATGCTGAATGGTGAAAGTATGGTGCCAGAGAGAGCTTGGGGCACATGGGGGTCTCCCAATGTTACCCAGCTTGTCACCAACACCCACCCCCCCACTTCCCCACAGCCCCTCCAAGAAGAAGATGCAGCACATCTCCAACCTGTCCATCGCTGTCATGTACATCATGTACTTCCTGGCTGCCCTCTTCGGCTACCTCACCTTCTACAGTACGGTGGCACCGGTGGGCAGAGGCCTAGGCTAGGCTGGGGGGAAGGGGCTGGTTGTGGCCATGGTGCCCTCCATACCGAGGCGTGTGGTGCCTGGCTGTGCCTTGCCGCTGTGGAGGTGAGTCTGCATGCCAATCCCCACAGTGTTGGGGTCCCCTAGGCAGCTCAGATCCCACCTCCTTCCTGGGGCCACCTACTGACCACCCTCCCTGCCTGCCACAGACGGGGTGGAGTCGGAGCTGCTGCACACCTACAGCAAGGTGGACCCGTTTGACGTCCTGATCCTGTGTGTGCGCGTGGCCGTGCTGACAGCAGTCACGCTCACAGTGCCCATCGTTCTGTTCCCGGTGAGCTGGTGGGCAGGTGGCTAGACTAGTGGCGGGAGGGGCTGATGGGGCCAACAGGCTGATGATTCTTCTCACCTGCCCCCCAGGTGCGCCGCGCCATCCAGCAGATGCTGTTTCCAAACCAGGAGTTCAGCTGGCTGCGGCATGTGCTTATTGCCGTTGGCCTGCTCACTTGTATCAACCTGCTGGTCATCTTTGCCCCCAACATCCTGGGCATCTTTGGGGTCATCGGTGAGGGTCTGGCCCTGCTGTGGAAGCAGGGTATTGCCCCAGAGGATTTCAACTCTGCAAATCCTGGCAGATTCCTGAGCTTACACCCTACATTAAGTGCAGTGGCCATGTGCACAGTTTGGCCTTCCATCTGAGCTTTTGTCCATAGGCTATTCTAATCCCTTTTCAGGGCTCAGAGCCACTGAGTCAGTCCCCCTTGCTGGAGGACAGGGGTGGATCCCAGGGATCAGAGGCCGCCTCAAAGGATCTCACTGGGTCTTGTCCACATTTCACATGTCAGGAAACTAAAGTTCAGAGTGATTAAAGGAGCAGCAGGGCCACACAGCTGGTGAATAGGAGCCTTGGGCTTGATTCAGCCCCAGGATCACTGGACTCCAAGTTTGATGCTCCATCCACTGCCTCATTCCAGATGGGGCTCTCAGCTGGTAGAGCAGACAATTCTGAAATGTCTTTGGGGTGATCCAACTCAGAGGACTAACAAACTCTGCCAGGACTGACAAACAGACCTGGGGGCTGAGTGTCATGGATATCACGGACAGCACTCTTCGTTCTCTATGTCCGAAATCCAACTCGAAATGAATTAAGCAGAAAGGAATCCACTGGCTCAAATAACGGAGAAGCCTTCAAGTATAGCTGCAGCCTGGAGCCCAATACCCTTAAGCCCTCATCTCTCTCCATCTCTTGATTTGCCTTTCCTCATTGCTAGCTTCATTGGCTGACATTCTTCTGACACCAACATCACCAGCCTTCTATCCTCATGGATGGAGAACAAGGGGGAGAGGCTGGTGGGCTAGAATCAGGCAGAGCTCTCCAGTGGTCTCAACATGAAACTCCCTCAACAAGGAGTGTTTGATCTCATTGAAGAGTCCACCCCCGAACCTTAGTCAGTAGGAGGATATGAGCCAGCAGTGGCCATGTCTTGTTCTTTGCAGGTGCCACATCTGCCCCATTCCTCATCTTCATCTTCCCTGCCATCTTCTACTTCCGAATCATGCCCACGGAGAAGGAGCCTGCAAGATCCACCCCCAAAATCCTGGTGCGAGGGGCCTGGAGGCCGGTGGGCTGGTATGGGGCTAAGGGAACTGCCCTGACCTCGGACCTGACCCTGACTTCTGATTCCACAGGCCCTGTGTTTTGCTATGCTTGGCTTCTTGCTGATGACCATGAGCTTGAGCTTCATCATCATTGACTGGGCCTCAGGGACCAGCCGGCATGGAGGAAACCACTAGGGTGACCCTCATCCTGTTCTGTCTACTCACCCTAGCAGCCCTGCCCAGACTCTTCAGCCCCTGCTCCCATCCAGTGGCCAGTCGGGGGAGGAGAAAGACGCGATTAACACTGTGGCATTCAGCCAGGCCCCATGTCCTCTCTGTGGAAGGTTTTTGTTCAAGAGCCAGGACCAAGGCCCTTGGGCCACTACCCTGCTAGGCTCTGGAGCTGTAGAGGCTTCCTGAACTGGGAGCAGGGTAGGGCTGTCGCCTTAGATCCCGCCCAAGCCCCTCATTCCCTCCTTGCACAGATGCATACACTGGGGCCCAGCAGCTGCCTCCTGAGGTGACACAGCCTGTAGGAACATACACAGCTGGGATCAGCCTGCAGCCATCCCCCGACCCTGCTGCTAGGCCACGGTCTGCGCCCTGGGGCCTCATCTCCCCCAGCCCACTTGTTTTCCCCCCTTTTATTCCCTAGGCCCTTTTCAGACTCCTGGGCCCTTGGATACTCTTCTCCCATCTCCCTTCACAGGATGACACCCTCCCATACCCCATAGCTGGGGCCAGCAGGTTCTGCTGAGGGTGGGGCTGGTGTAGGGACCCCCAAGAGACCCCTGTCCTGTCCCTTCACCAGTCCTGGGGAGGCTGGGACTCCCCCTGCCACAAGCCTGGGCCACAGCTCACATTCCACTGCTGGGAGAAGAAACAGGCCGAGGCCCAGAGTGGCCTGCCCCCGGGAGCCAAAGACCCCAGTGGCCACACTGGGATAGGGTGGGGAGGCTGGCAGCCCTCTTTTATAAATATTATACATAAGACCAGCTGTGTTTTCTATTCTTGGTCTCCATGGTCCCTGGATTCCTGGAAAGTGAGGTACGGGCCAGAACATGGATGGTGATGGAGGGCCCCCGTCTCCTTGTCTGGGATGAGGGTGGGGACAGGGCAAGTCCCCCACCCACCCCACCCCCTGCCTCCCAAACTAACCAGTGGCACACTCAGACCCAGCTCTGGGCCTGGGCCAGGCTCAGCACAGACCTGCTTTCTCACGGGTTGAGGTGGGGAGGAATTAATGAGGCCCCAGGAAGTGGGACAGAGAGAGGCCTCCGGAAGGAGGCAACGTGAGGTGCATCCCCAGCAGCTTCAGGGAGGGTCTGAGCTGGGGGCAGCTGAGCCCTGAGGGAGCCCCAGGAAGGGCCCCCTGCCCTCCCCTAGCTCCCAGGCTGCCATGTCAACTCTCTGTCAATGCCCTGAGTCTGGGGACAAAAGTCCAGGAATCCTGTGCCCTGTTGGGCTGATCTTTTTATCAACAGTAAAATCCACTACGAATAAAGTGGGTTAGTAGTCCCTGTGTGTGGGGCCCCAAATGGCAAAGAGAGGTGGGAGTCCAAGGTACGGCAGGGGCTGCAAGGAAGCAGGACAGCCCCAGGTGTCCTGGCCCCGGTGAGACTGGGAAGCTGCCCACTGCCTTGGGCAGGCCTGAACCAGCTGGGATCCAGTGGGATGGAGCTGCCCAGGCCTTGGCACCAAACCCTCATTAGGAGAGACCCTGCACCAGGCTAGGCCGCCGGGGAAAGGGCTGCAGGAAAGATCCAGTTTGAATTTGCAAGGCAGCTGCCAGCTCGGGAAAACCCTGAAGAAAGAACTTCCTCAAGCCGGTGGCTGCTAGGCCCACGGCAGTGCCAGCTCAGCCGAGGGGAGCTTCCTGAGTCCTGTTCCCATCAGGCCCAGGCGCCTGACTCCAGGCTGGGGACTCACCCAGGAGCCCTGTGGCCCCAGGAAAGAGCTGGTCACTGGCCTAGAGGTAGATGCAGCGCAGTGTGTTCTGATGAGAGGGGCTGCCCTCTAGAGGTCTCGATGGGGCCATAACCTTGCCTGGAACCCTTGGCTCCTGGGCAGTGGGGGTCAATGAAGGGCAAGTCCATCCTGCAGGCAGACCTGGGGGTTTTCTCTTATACTCCCTCCATCCAAAGAAGGCTGCAGGTCAGAGCAGCAGCAGGACACCAGGTCTGGCTTCAGGCCCCTCAGACCAAGGGGATGTGCTAACAGTAGCACCCCCCATGCATACACATACACACAAATGGGGTGGGGAAGGACCCTGGGCCCTGGCCCCAAGAGGCCAGCTCTGCTTGCCCAGTCAGGCCTCCTCCAGCCTGACCATGGGCAGCAGGCTCCGGCAGGGAGGAGGCAGGTAATGTGACCACTACACTAGATTCAAGAGCCAAGTGTCCACATGACTGTTTGAAAATGAGTATCCCTTGTCCCTGGCTGTTAAATTCCAGACACTTGGCCTCCATGATCTGCAGGCCCTCAGGCATCATTAATCATTTGAGTATGTGTTGAAAATTTTTCCAGTTTTTTTCCTTTGTTACCTTTTAAAAAATTGTTCTGGGGCCGGGCATGGTGGCTCACACCTGTAATCCCAGCACTTTGGGAAGCCGAGGTGGGCAGACTACTTGAACTCAAGATTTCAAGACCAACCTGGGCAACATGGTGAAACCTCGTCTCTAAAAAAAGAAAAAAAAATTGAAAAATTAGCAGGGTGTGGTGGCTCATGCCTGTAGTCCCAGCTATTCAGGAGGCTGAGGCAGGAGGATCACTTGGGCCTGGGTGACTGAGGCTGCAGTGAGTTGTAATTGTGCTACTGCACTCCAGCCTGGGCAACAGAGCAAGACTCTGTCTCAAAAAATAAATAAACAAACAAATAGATAAATAAATAGTTCTAGGCCGGGTGTGGTGGCTCACACCTGTAATCCCGGCACTTTCGGAGGCTGAGGCAGGCGGATCACCTGAGGTCAGGAGTTCGAGACCAGCCTGACCAACATGGAGAAACCCCGTCTCTACTAAAAATACAAAAAATTAGCCAGGCATGGTGGCGCATGCCTGTAATCCCAGCTACTTGGGAGGCTGAGGCAGGAGAATCGCTTGAACCCGGGAGGTGGAGGTTGAGGTGAGCCAAGATCAAGCCATTGCACTCCAGCCTGGGCAACAAGAGCCAAACTCCATCTCAAAGAATAATAATAATAATAAATAAATAAATAGTTCTGGAAAAATTGTTCTGTTTGGAATATTGATAAGTTAGAGCAGCCTGAAGGTCCAGCACAAAGGTCTTCTATATTTCTTTTCACTGTTTTTCTTATGACTGCTTATTATAGAAAAATAAGAGCAGGAAGGGGGGCAAAAGCATGGGTCTCAGTCTCCCTGCCCAGCAGCTGCCCTTGCCCACACCCTTCTCACCTGTGTGCACAAGCACACATTTGCCTCTTGACTCATTCATTCATTCATTCAACAAGTATTTATTGACAGTTCCTACACGCCAGGCACTCATCTAGCACCTGCAAATAAAGCAGTGAACAAAGTGAAGACCCTGGCCTTCCTTGAACTTACTGTCCAGGATGGGGATTAGATCCAAAAAAGCAGCATTAAACCTAACCACTAAATTCTATCATGTGGTTAGAAGATGCTCAGTACTACAGGGAGTAAAAGCAACAAGATAAGAAAAATGGGAGGTGGGGGACGGGGGTCAGAGTGGGCCTGAGAAAGGAACTTTTTTTTTTTTGAGACAGAGTCTAGCTCTGTGGTCCAGGCTGGAGTGCAAATGGCATGATCACAGCTCACTGCCGCCTTGAATTTCTAGACTCAAGGGACCCTCCTGCCTCAGCCTCCTGAGTAGCTGGGGACTATAAGCACATGTCACCACTGCCTGCTTATTTGTATCCTATTTTTTTGTAGAGACAGGGTCTCATCATGTTTCCCAGGCTGGTTTCAAAGTCCTGGTCTCAAGCAATTCTCCCATTTTGGCCTCCCAAAATGCTGGGATTACAGGTGTGAGCCACCGTGTCAGGCATAAGTCTAAGTTTTAAATAGATTATTCCGGCTGCTGCATTAAGACTAGGCTCTGGGTGGGGAATGGGGGGCAAGGGTGACACTGACACAAGGGCTCCTGTAGTTATTCCAAATAATCATGTTGCATGTCTTAGCCCAGGTGATGGTAGAGGCAGGATGAGGCACTAGGCTTGTCCTAAAGGTAGAGGTGGCAGGCTTCCCGGATGGTTCCAGTAGGGGAGGAGAGGCAGAAGTAAGTCAAGGGTGACTCCAAGGTTGTCTAGTGATAGAGGTGCCACTGCAGGAGGCTGGAGGAGGAGCAGGCTTGGGAGAGAGATAAGTTTTGTCCATGAAGAGTTTAAAACATTGACTGGACATCGGCAGGGCATGGTGGCTCACGCCTGTAATCCCAGTACTTTGCGAGGCCGAGGCGCGTGAATCACAAGGTCAGGAGTTCGAGACCAGCCTGGCCAACATAGTGAAACCCCATCTCTACTAAAAACTACAAAAATTAGCCAGGTGTGGCACGTGCCTGCAGTCCCAGCTACTCGGGAAGCTGAGGCAGGAGAATCGCTTGAAGCCGGGAGGCGGAGGTTGCAGTGAGCCGAGACCACACCATTGCACTCCAGCCTGGGTGACAGAGTGAGACTCCGTCTAAAAAAAAAAAAAAAAAAAACATTGACTGGACATCAAAGTGCAGGTGCCGAGTCAACTGCTGGGTGTATGCGTTGAGTTCAGTAGAGTGGCCAGTGATGAAGCTTTGGATCTGGGAAGCAAAGCAAGTGGTGTTTAAAGCCATGGGATGGGAAGAAGCTAAGTTCAGACAGAGGAGGGCGGCAGTAAGCACTGAGCCCTGGAAGATGAGGCAGAACCAGCAAAGGAGCTGGGCGGGAGTAGCCAGGAGGTGAGAGGAAAACTGGGAGAGCATGGGCACCTGGAGCCAGGTAAGTGTCAGATGCTGCCAAGGAGTTGAGGGTAGAGGATGGACCACTGAATTCGGACACCTGTGGATCCCTAAGGACCCTGACCAGGGCACTTTTGTGAGGGAGGGACAGGCCTGCCTGGAGTGGGCAGAGGAGAAAGTGAGGTAGAACTGGAAAGAGCCAGTGTAAACAACTTGTGTGAAGTGAGAGGGGCAGAGCCAACAGTGGCTTTTAAGAAAGACTGGAAAGTTGGCCGGGCACGGTGGCTCACGCCTGTAATTCCAGCACTTTGGGAGGCCGAGGCGGGTGGATCATGAGGTCAGGAGTTTGAGATCAGCCTGGCCAACATGGTGAAACCCCGTCTCTACTAAAAATACAAAAATTAGCCAGGTGTGATGGCGCACACCTGTAATCCCAGCTACTCGGGAGGCTGAAGCAGAATTGCTTAAACCTGAGAGGCAGAGGCTGCAGTGAACCGAGATCACACCACTGCAATCCAGCCTGGGCAACAGAGTGAGACTCCGTCTGTGGGTGGGAGGAAGAAAGACTGGAAAGAAGAAGGTATTGAGGTGAGAGAATGGAAGCAGCTGGTAGGAGGGTAGGTTTGAGCTCAGTGAAAGACTTCCAGGATGGGGGTGCTGGAAACTGAGCTGGAAAACAGTAGACAGAGATTGGATAGTGGGGGTCTGGACATCAGGGAGTGTGCAGCTTGGCCACTGACCTGCCTGGTCAAGTGCTGGTGGCTAGGGACACAGCGGGTCCAAGACGCAGGCAAGGATGGCAAGGAGCCGTGGAGAGACCCAGGGGACAATTCAGATGTCTGCCTAGGCCAGGTGTGGTGGCTCATGCCTGTAGTCCCAGCACTTTGGGATTCACTTAAGGTCAGGAGTTCAAGACCAGCCTGGCAACATGGCAAAACCCTGTCTCTACTAAAAATACAAAAATTAGCCGGTCATGGTGGCACACACCTGTAGTCCCAGCTACTCTGGAGGCTGAGGCACCTCCAGAGAATCGCTTCAACCCGGGAGGCGGAGGTTGCAGTGAGCCGAGTTCGCCATTGCATTCCAGCCTGGGCTACAGAGCAAGACCCTGTCTCCAAAAAAAAAAGAAAAGAAAAAAGATGTCTGCCTGGACCCTAGTTTAAAGTCACCCAGCAACTGACTTTCCAACAACGCGGAGCAGTAATAATTGACTGAAGGTTGCTTAGAAAGAAGAGCAGCCCTGGAAAAATCTGAAAGCATAAAACTACTTTCCAACCACACAAGTCTACAAACCGCCTGGCTACACACACAGGATTAGCCAGCGACCTAATCCGCCAAGCTATGCAAAAGGAGGCCTCTGCTGACCCCTGGCGGTCACCAGCCGGAGTCTGGCTGCGCGGTGACCCACCACACGTTGCCCAGCCGTGTGGCTGGGATGGTCGGTACCCATGGCCGTGCGGTCGAGCCTTGATGCTCCAGGACAGTCCTGGAAGGCTTCCTGGCAGATCCGTGGGAAGAAAGCCGACAGAAGGGCGGGAGGCGGGAGGGGAAAGGTCCCCCGGGATGGGTAGGGCCTCAACGCTGGGCATCGGCGCAGGTGTGTACTGCAGGGAGCCAGCCAGACCCCCCACGGACTGCCTGACCTTGGGGGAAGCCCGGAGTAGAGGAAGAGGCCGGACCCCCAGACCCGCCATTGACTATGTCCGCCATTGACTATGTGTTCTGAGAGAAATTTTTTTTTTTTTTTTTGAGACTGAGTCTCACTCTTTCGCCCAGGCCGGAGTGCAGTGGCGCGATCTCGGCTCACTGCAAGCTCCGCCTCCCGGGTTCACGCCATTCTCCTGCCTCAGCCTCCCGAGTAGCTGGGACTACAGGCGCCCGCTACCGCGCCCGGCTAATTTTTTGTATTTTTAATAGAGACGGGGTTTCACCGTGTTAGCCAGGATGGTCTCGATCTCCTGACCTCGTGATCCGCCCGCCTTGGCCTCCCAGAGTGCTGGGATGACAGGCGTGAGCCTCTGAGAGCAAATTTTACCCAGTTCCTCTCTATCCTCCCGATGACTCTGAAATCAAACTCAGCAAGTCATCCGAGCCCCCACGGCGCAGCGGCCCTAGGCTGGCATGGGCGATGCGGAGCTACTCCGCCCTCAGGAAGCAGGCGAGGTGCCCAGCGGGAGAATCACCCACATCACCGTCTAATCTCTGCTGTGAAGTGGAAGCGCGAGAAGGAGGGAGCGTCTCATGACGGAGGGTGTGAAGACGCTAGGCTGGACGAAGCAGAAAGGCGGGTGTCACTGGGGACGTTCTGAGGGTAAGCCGATGGCGGCTATCGCGGAGGAGACCCTGGCGAGGTGGGGCCCCGCGCGGGGCAAGGGGGATGGGGTGCCACAGAGGGCTAGTTGCAAGAGGACGCGTGACGGCTGCAGCTCTGCGGAGACCGGGCCTCGACGGCCAAGGAGTGGCAGGTCGGCGGAGGCGGGGGCCAGGCCCGGAGGCAGAGCGAGACAGGAGAGCAGGCAAGGCGGGGGCCACCGTGAGTGGGGGCCGCGAGGCGGGGGCTGGGGCGCGGGGAGGTGCTAGGTCGGCCTCGGCTCCCGCGCCGCACCCCAGGCCCGCCAGGAGGCGCCGCTGCCCCGCGAAGCCGTTCCGGCCTCTCCCGGCCACCGAAATCCCGCGCTCCGGCCTAGAGAGGCCCCGGAAGAGGCGGTGCAGCGCACCCCGAGGCCGCTTCCGGCTTCGGCTCTGCAGGAGAGGCCAGAATCGGGGGAGGACGCCTTGGGCGGGGCGTGGGTGAGAGAACCTGGGGGAGGTGAAGAACTAGGAGGTTGCACTGGGAGTGGACAAGGGGGAAAATAAGAATTAGGGAGGGGCTGCGGTGGGCAGGGCCAAGGGCAGGTAGCACCCTGCAAGGTTGCACCCTGCGCAGCTCTCGGTCCACTGCTGAGCCTCCTGGCTTTTTACCTCGCAAAATGCCGTCCTGGTGAGGTCCCTGGGGAGCCCACCGCTGGCCAAGACCCAGGACAGGGCAAGGAAGGCTTCCTAGAGGTAGAGAGGTGCACAAAGGCGGGAAAGCAGATACGGGGACATTGGGAGCCCCTTTAGACCGATCTTTAGGTGTCTGAGCCACGCCCATTTGGAGGGAAGGCTGAATGGGGACCAGCCCGCCCAAACCTGCTGGAGGAAACAAAAACTCACTCCCGTTATAATTGCTCCCCGCCCCCTCACCAGCTCTCTTCTCCCCGGAGACGGGACAGCCCTGTCTCCACAGGCTTCACTCCATTTCCCTCGAATGGTGCCCACCTCCTATCCTCCCATCTCTCTTATCCTCAGGTTCTACTACTCATAGCAACCAGAAGGAACTTTAAAAATCAGATCATGTTGGCCGGGCACGGTGCACGGTAGCTCACGCCTGTAATCCTAGCACTCTGGGAGGCCGAGGTGGGCGGATCACCTGAGGCCAGGAGTTTGAGACCAGCCTGGCCAACATGGCAAAACCCCGTCTCTACCAAAAATACAAAAAAATTAGCTGGGCGTGGGGGCGCGCCTTGTAATCCCAGCTACTCAGAGGCTGAGGCAGGGGAATCGCTTGAGCCTGGGAGACAGGCTGCAGTGAGCCAAGATCGCGCCACTGCACTCAAGCCTGGGTGACAGAGCAAGACTCCGTCTCCAAAAAAAAAAAAAAAAAAAATTCAGATGATGTCATTCTGCCTTCAACACCCTCCAGTTGTTTCCTTCATACTTGGAATGCAATTTAAACTTTCTTGCCCCATGGCCGGGATGATCTGGCCCCTGCTGACCCCTGCCCCCTGGTACTAGCCCACAGCCTGTCCTGTTGGCATGGCATGCCATGCTGGCCCTCACATTAGGGCCTTTGCACTGGCTGATAGCTTTTCAAAAGCTTTTTCTCCAACAGCCTGAAGTCACTCCTGACAAGGCCCACTTCCCTAACTCTGTCTGCTTGGCCTTGATCGCAGTATTTGCTCCATACGGTACAGGCAGAGCGATGCTTGTGCGTCCAGAACTCAGTGACCAGCTTCCCTCCCGCAACAGGTCCCTCCTCCCCTATTACTCCCTTGCTCCTAGTCACAATCTACAGGAAGCCCCTGAGCCCAGCTGGCAAGGTGCACCTTGCTTGGCTGTTTGCTGTTGCATCACCTTCATTAGGGCTGTTTTTGCTCCTTCATTAAATTAAATTCCAGGAAGCAGTGCTAATGACAGCCCTAACGAGTCACGGGAGAGGCTACCAGCCCCAGCCTTTGGAAAGCATGGCAAGGAGGACTAGGCAATAACATGAACAAAGCAGTAGCTCCTGGGAATAGAATTGATTATCATTTCCCAGGCCCCCCAAGGACCCTGGGCTTCCCAGGGGAGGTGGCCTTTGGAGACTGCCTATGCAACAGGCACAGTGGCAGGTTGTACCATGAACTCTTCAAGGACAAAGAAAAGGAGGGAGGTTAAGTTTAGGCCTTGGCCCCAAAGCCCTGAGAGCTCCTGAGTTCCCTGCAGGGCTTGGGTAGCTCCTCCCCAGTCATACAGGAACACCCTGAATGCCAGAACCAGTTGGGTTTGTAGGGCTAGGTGTGGATCACTGGCTTGGAGATGTTGGTGCCCCTACCTCAGCATCCCCTGGAGACTTTGGAACCCCCTGTGTGGCTTGTTCCTCCATGATGCCTCATGGCAGTCCCCTCTCACACCAGTCTTCTCTTGCTCTCGCTATTCTGGCCCGGCTGGACTCCTCTCTGGTTTGGGAGCATCCAGCTCCTTCCCAACCCAGGGCCCTTGCACTTGCTGCTGCCTCTGTCGTCACTCTCTTCTGGCTTGTTACAAGACTGGTCCTTCCACATGATTCAAAGATCCCCTCCTCAGACTATCTTCTCCTGCACATACCTCCCAGTGGCTCTAGTGTCACCCTGTTGATTTCCTCTGAAATGGTGAAGTTCATTTCCCTGTTTGTTTGGTGTGTGTTCCTCAAGGACAGGGCCCAGCTGCCTCTTTTACCATAGGGTTCTCAGCACATTGGCAGGCAATATGTTCAGGGAACAGTGGTTGAACAGATGACCCCTTCCTCTGGATCCTCCCGCACTGCCCCCCAGCCGCCACCCCTGTGTCAGGTTGGGCCCCCTTGCCTAATCCAGAAGCTTATGGGGAAGGGGTGCTGGGGCCTGAATTCTCCAGGTCAAAGCCAATGATCTGTGAAGAGGGTGGATGACCAGAAAGGGGGACTTTGGGATCCAGGACCCCCAGGCTTTTGAGTTTTCCTCCTGGACGAAGAGAGGCCTGGGAAGAGGGGTCTGCAAGGGAGCAGGGAGGGAGGGCAGGATGGCTGACTCCAGTTTCAGAACTTCCACTGGGCTAAGAAGCAGGAAGGGGAAAGCGCAGGAGTTGAACCAGGAAGTAGAACCTGCCCCAGGGCAGTAAGGCGGGAGCAAGCTGTAGCCACGAGGTCTACAAGCAGTAGCTGCAAGGCTGTGATTGAGTTGGTCACAGGTCCTTGGCCAGGGACTCCCTGTCATCTGGGAGCCGTGGAGGTAGGGTGGTCAGGATCCTGAACTCTGGGCATCCCTGTGGGGTCCTACCTAGTCCTGGACTCTGGGCAGGGACAGGCACACCCACCCCGAAACTGCCTTTGGGGAAGTGCTAGCAGCTTCCCCTTCCTAGAGCCTGCAGGCAAGCATGTCACAGCCCACTGAGAGGGTCTTCATTCCTCAACCTGCTCAGGGCTACTGCTCGATAGGAACTCAGGCCAAGCTGGACCTGCTGTGCTGCCTGTGGTGAGCCCCAAGACTATTCTGGCAGTAGGGGTGAACCAGCAGCTGCCACTTCTCCATTCCAGCTGAGGGGCCACCCTCAACTCTGCTGATGTCATTCCATTGTCCTTTATGGTCTAGTCCAAGCGGTGCTGGGCCTGGTGGGCATGGGGTCAAGTCATGCCTCCTCTGGTGCTCGTGAGGCCCTGGCTAGGCAGCTGCCCTCTGCCCCCAAAATGAACTCTCCTGAAAGGACTCCTGGATTCCTGAGTATGAAGAAACTGAGATGCCCACGATGTACCTCACTGATGACTGTGACTGGCTCCTGGCCCACTCTGGACCTCAGCTGACTCAGCTGCAAAGCAAGGGGTTTGTTTCTTCAGCTCTCAGCCTTAATTTTCTCGCTAGCCCTTCCCCAGACCCCTGCCTCTCAGACCTACCACCCTACCTTTGCATGTACTCTTCCATCTTCTTGCAATATTCTTCCGCACTGTTCTTCTCCCTCTAGCACTCCCTGCATCACCTCCTCAAAGAAAGCTTCCTGACCTTCCCAGGCACTATTGGTTTCTCTTTTCTCTGCGTATACAACTACATGAATATTTCCAGAGGGGCAGCAGCTCCCAGCTCCAGGATGAAGAGATTGATTGATGGATTGATTGATTGATTTTGAGACAGAGTCTACCTCTGTTGCCGGGCTGGAGGGCAATGGTGCGATCTCAGCTCACTGCAACCTCTGCCTCTTGGGTTCAAGCGATTGTCCTGCCTCAGCCTCGCAAGTAGCCGGGATTACAGGCATGCGCTGCCACGCCCAGCTAATTTTTGTATTTTTAGTAGAGATGGGGTTTCACCATGTTGGCCAGGATAGTCGATCTCTTGACCTCATGATCTGCCCACCTCAGCCTTCCAAAGTGCTGGGATTACAGGCTCGAGCCACCGCACCCGGCCTTATTCATTTAAGTTGATACATATTTACCTGCCACCCTGCAAGGGGCCTGGAATTAGGGATATGAGTGGGAGAGACCCACGACCAGAATAGTGGGATCTGGCTGGGGAAGGGGAAGCCCGAGGACAATGGGACTCAGAGAAGCCCAGCTCACAGCCAGGGAATGAAAGGTGGGGAGGAGGGATTAATTTAACAGGGTAGGGGGATGGGAGGGAAGATCGAGGGATGGAGAGAGCAAGGCAAGCCAGATGGTTGGAGTGCCAGTGTGTTGCAAGTGGAGGGACATGAGGTGGACCCTTGAGTGGGGACAATCATAAAGCCTTACAGAAATCGCTACTATTGGGCCAGGCACAGTGGTTCATGCCTGTAATCCCAGCACTTTGGGAGGCCAAGACGGGAGGATTGCCTGAGCCCAGGAGTTTGAGACCAGCCTGGACAACATGGTGAGACTTCATCTCTATTAAAAAAAAAAAAAGGGCCGTGCACGGTGGCTCACACCTGCAATCCAGCACTTTGGGAGGCCGAGGCAGGCAGATCATCTGAGGTCAGGAGTTTGAGACCAGCCTGGCCAACATGGCAAAACCCCATCTCTACTAAAAATACAAAAATTAGCCGGGTGTGGTGGCAGGCGCCTGTAATCCCAGCTACTTGGGGAGCTGAGGCACAAGAATCACTTGAACCCAGGAGGCGGAGGTTGCAGTGAGCCAAGATCATGCCACTGCGCTCCAGCTTGGGTGATAGAGTCAGACTCAGTCTCAAAAAAAAAGAAATCACTACTATAACACCTCACCCTTATTGAGGGCTTTCTATGTGCCATGCACATTCTGCATGTTTTACATGTTTCCTCCTGGAGTCCTGACCTCTGCCTGTGCTTTGGGTATGTATAACCGTTAGGCCCATTTTACTGATAAGAAAACCGAGGTACAGGGAGTTTCTGGTACTTGTCCAAAGTAACAAGTAGCTGGCAAGTTTGCAAACTGCTCCTCAGAGTCTTTGCTTCCAACTGCCAGCCTACAGCCTCCAACTGCTGCAGAGTCCAAACCAGTGTGTGTGGGGGCTTCATCTATTCTCAGGGCATTGGGGAACCACAGAAAGTTTCCGAGCAAGGGGGTGATGTGATTTCTTTCAGTAGGATGCCCTTGGCTGCCATGTGGAGGATAAATTGTAGGGAAACAGGAGAGCCAAGGAAGACGTTAGAATCCTAGGCTGGGAGATAGTGGGGACAGAGAACAAATACAGATTGGAGGGGAAATTGAGGTAGGGAAGAGGCTGATGGCATATAGGGGTAGGGGAGGGGGTCATTGCTGTGGCTGGTGGGGGGATCATGAAGTGGTGGAGAGCCTGGGAACAGGGGCCAGTGGGATGGGATGTACCCAGTTCTGGACAGTGTGGATTTGAGGTGCCTGGGTGTCTCGGGGAGGCTTCAGAGCAGTGGTGGACATGGGGCTGGCAATCAAAGAAGTCAGGCTGGAGAGGACCTTGTGGGGTTCTGAGCCCCCAGAGTGGGAGGTGTATGAGTGGAGTGGCAAGCAGAGGCCTGGCCATAGCCCTGGGGACCCCATGGAGATGGAGAAGGAGCAGCTAGCAGGGTGGAAGCAAGGGTTGCTGGACTCCCTGGGAAGAGCATAGGACTGGAAAGGAGCAGCTGACTGGCGGGAAGGGTGCCATAACCACAGGACCTGGCCTGGGGCTGGGGAAGGCCATGCCTTCCAGTAGCCCCATCTTGCCCTGCCTCCATAGATTGGGGTCTGTGTTGCGCCCACCTACTGAGAGCTGGGCCTCCAAGGGGCTGACAGGTTCTCCCTGTTGCCTGGCAACTGTGAGAGCTGTTGGCTGTTGCTAGGAGCAGGCTAGAGAGGCCAGAGGAGCGAGGATCAGCTCTCAAGCCTGGGGCAGGGTGACAGGTAGAGGGAAGGGGAGGGTCCCACCTTGGAAGCCAGTTTGTAGTCTGTGCGTGGACAGATTGTATTCTTGGCCATGTGTACCCATTTTTGTAGAGTGTGTTCTGTGGATCTGAGGCATGTTGGAGACTGACCTATGTGTGGGTGTCTACAGCATATCTGTGGCCCTGGTGGACATTATGTGTCCTCAACATGTTGCATGCCCATGGCAGGGCCTGCTTGAGCTTCAGAGCAGTGGTGGACATGGGACATCATATCCTATGTCTCAGGACAGGAGGGGGGCCTGAGGGAGTCATTGGAGGACTTCCAGGCCAATGACCCCTCAACAAGAGAGACATTCAGATAGGGATATGCAGACACTCCAGGGAGAACAGCCAGCCTGGGGATTGGGAGCTGGAACAAAATGTGTAACAAGGTTCTTTTTTTTTTTTTTTTTTTTTGAGACGGAGTCCTGCTCTGTTGCCCAGGGTAGAGTGCAGTGGTGTGATCTCAGCTCACTGCAATCTCCAGTTCCCAGGTTCAAGTGATTCTCCTGTTTCAGCCTCCTGAGTAACCAGGATTACAGGCACGTGCCACCACGCCCAGCTGATTTTTTTTTTTTTTTTTTTTTTGAGACGGAGTCTTGCTCTGTCACCCAGGGTGGAGTGCAGAGACAGAATCTCAGCTCACTGCAAGCTCCGCCTCCTGGGTTCACACCATTCTCCTGCCTCAGCCTCCTGAGTAGCTGGTACTACAGGCGCCCGCCACCACGCCGGCTAATTTTTTGTATTTTTAGTACAAAATACACCGTGTTAGCCAGGATGGTCTCCATCTCCTGACCTCGTGATCTGCCGCCTCGGCCTCCCAGTACTGGGATTACAGGCGTGAGCCACCGTGCCCGGTCTTTTTTTTTTTTTTTGAAATGGAGTTTCACTCTTGCCCAGGCTAGAGTGCAATGGCATGATCTCAGCTCACTGCAACCTCCGCCTCCTGGGTTCAAGTGATTCTCCTGCCTCAGTCTCCCAAGTAGCTGGGATTACATGTGCCCACCACCACACCCCGCTAATTTTTTGTATTTTAGTAGAGACAGGGTTTCTCCATGTTGGTCAGGCTGGTCTCGAACTCCTGACCTCAAGAGATCTGCCTGCTTCAGCCTCCCAGAGTTGCTGGGATTATAGGCATGAGCAACCATGCCCAGCCAAAATGTGTACCAAGGTTCTAAGGAAGGGGTTTATGCTAAACACCGGGCTGTTGGTGGCAAGCACCCTGTCTTGCTTCAGGGGCCTTCCCTTTGGGCTGGGGCCTCCTAGCCTCATGGCACTGGGGTCACACAAAATGCCTTCGTGGTTAATTTTTGGCAGACCCTTCAAATGTCCAATCGAGGGTGGGGCTCTGGGCTGCTCCTGGAGCACAGGATCAGAAAGACTTGAAATGTTCAGCTAGAAACACTGCTGCTTCCACCCCACCTTTGCCTGGCCATAGGGTTGCAGCCATTGCCCAGTGGGGACAGGCCACAGGAGGGTGGGATGTGGGATCATGGCCACCTCCAGACGTGGACAGGCCATGGAAGAGACAGGTCATAAGATCATGGCCACTTTTGTTTCTAGAAGTCCAGTGGCAACTTCTTCCTCTTTCTTCCCTCCCAACCCCCTCACCCTGCCTGCCCGCCCTCCTCTCTTCCTCCCTCTCCACCCTCTCATCCTCTCTCCCTTTCTCCCTTGGGTCCTGATTGCCTGGTCCCAGATTGGAGTCCAGGATGGCTGCCTGCCGAAGAATGCCTCCCGGTAGATTGGGGAAGGATGGATATGAGAAGCCACCCAGCTAAAGGAGACAGCCTAGGCAAAGGTGTAAAGATGGAAACCAATTTTTTTTTTTTTTTTTGAGACGGAGTCTTGCTCTGTCGCCCAAGCTGGAGTGCAATGAATGGCGCGATCTCGGCTCACTGCAACCTCCGCCACCCGGGTTGAAGCAGTTCTCCCGCCTCAGCCTCCTGAGCAGGTGGGATTACAGGCGCCCACGACCACGCCCGGGTAATTTTTGTATTTTTAGTAGAGATGGGGTTTCACCATGTTGGCCAGGCTGGTCTAGAACTCCTGACCTCAAGTGATCTGCCCGCCTCGGCCTCCTAAAGTGCTGGGATTACTGGCGTGAGCCACTGCGCCCGGCCTTTTTTTTTCCTTTTTCGACTAGCTGCAACCCAGAGGGAGAAGGCGGTAAACCCGCCTTAAGACTGAGAAAACCGCAGTCCAGAAAGGCTCCCGAGTTCGTAGATCCCAAAACAAGTTTACTGGACTCATTAACTTTAACAAATGACAAAGACACGCCTCCTCCACCTAACTCGCCCAACTCGCAGAAGCTCAGAGGGCTGGTTCCTGCTCTGCCCTCGAGGGCACCGGATCCCCACCCTCGGGTTAACAGATCCGCCCTCCCGGCTGTCCAGCAACAGAGCTCCCGGCGCTCCGCACCCAATCACAGCCCGGTCCCGCCTGCAGCCCGCCCAGTGCCGGGTCCCGGGGTTTGGAACCACCCCTATTGCCTTTTCTCCGCGTGGCCCCGCCTGCAGCCCAGGCCCGAGCCTGGGCTGCGCCTAACTTCCCCCTTCGCTCCGCCCTCGAGCCAATCAACAGCCTCTAATCTCCTCTGGCCCCGCCTGCAAGCCCGCCCCGGCCCAGTCACAGGCTTGGTTCGCCCAGGCCCCACCCCCGGCCCGCCCCGCCGTCGGTGCGCGGCGGTAGGGAAGGCGCCTCCCGCAGTCGCTCGGAACTGCCGACCCGAGTGCTTCCCGCAGAGGGCTGGTGGTGGGAGCGGAGTGGGTCGGGCGGGGCCGAGCCGGGCCGTGGGCCGTGTGGGGGCCGGGCGGCGGCCGGGCCGGCGGACGGCGGGATGGGCTGCACCGTGAGCGCCGAGGACAAGGCGGCGGCCGAGCGCTCTAAGATGATCGACAAGAACCTGCGGGAGGACGGAGAGAAGGCGGCGCGGGAGGTGAAGTTGCTGCTGTTGGGTGAGGCCGCGTCCCGCACTGGGATCCTTGATTCCCAGCTCGAATCCCCAGACAAGGACTTTGACCTCCCAGACTAGGGCTTCAAACTCCCAGACCCGGGCTGTCTGGGACCCCACACCTGGGCCAGGACCAGGGTTGAAAACTCTAGATTGGACTAGACCTTTGATCCTGCCCAGACTCTAGACCAGACCCCTGTCTCATCCCAGACCCCAGACCTCCAAATCCAGTCAACAGTGCCCCAACACCCGCGGTCCAGTGCCCTGCTTGGCCATCCCCCCTTGCTAACTAGCTTCACAGAACTTCAGAGCCCCGCCATCCTTCCCTACACTTTGCCCAAACCCCCAGGATGCCCGCCACTTGTTCCCCAACCCTCAGGCTCCGCTTGTTTTCCTCACCTGCGCCTTTTATTCCTATTGGGCATGAGCATCCCGCGGGGCCCCTGCCAGGCCCCCCACCCACTCCCTCCTTCTCCTTCTGTGCCCCATCCCTAGTCTGGAATCTGTATCCTCCACCTGTGCACTCTGACCCAAGGAACCTCTCGAGTGGGAAACTGCTCTTGAGCCCCATCTCCAGCTGGAACCCCTTCAGCGAGCCCTGCTCCCTGCTTCCTGCCCTCCAGATCCTTCTCTGCAGGCATCACTCCCGAAACCCTCTGCTGATCCTCCCCTAAGTCCTCTTACACTCTGGCCTTCCCCAGATCCCTCCACCCTTCCTGCACCAAGTGGGCTGGGCTAGGAGGCGGGAGCCCTGGGTTGGAGAGGGCCTAGGCTGCCTTATGCAGAACCCCCACGGGGCTGGATTGAGGCTCCACTGGTCACGCTGGGGGAGGGGGCCAGGCCTCAGGCTTCCCAAGGAGGCTCTATGTTTTCCAGTTTCGAAGGCCAGTCTGGGAAGTAGGAGAGAGAGTGGAGGAGTTAGGGTTGTGGCCGCCTCCAAGGCCAGAAAAGATGGTGGCTGCTAGAGGAGTGGGGGGAAGTGGAAGTGGTGAGACAGCCGACATATTGCTGCCCCTGCGGGTGAGCCCAGGAGATCTGCTAGTAGGTGCTGGGCTGCCCACACCCCTTCTGGGCTGCAAGGCCTGGGATGTAGCCTCTGAGAGTTGGGGGGCTTGTTGGATCTTGGGACCCTGTGAAGGGGGATGGTGGACTAGCTGAATGAGGAGTTGAGGGGCCAGCTGGGGGTGGGCCAGGGTGCCTCTGAGCATCCCAGCTGGCCTTTTGCAAAGACGGTGGGCCTACTGGCTGTCCCCATCCAGCTTCCCACTGGAAGTAGGTGTGGTGCCCAGTGGCAGTCTAATTTTGATTTGGGGGTTTTAGAGTTGGGGGGAGGGAGGCCCTTGCAACAGCGCAGCACCGTTGTAGGCTGAGAAGTGCATGGGGGGGTGTGGCCCCTCGACTTCAGAACTGTCATAGGGCTCCCAGGCTGTGAAAAGCAGGGCTTTTCGTGCTGGACCTGTGGCCGAGGAACAGCATGTATGTCCATTATGGGCCATCTGTTGACTGTCCCTGCGGACCCGGCCTCCGGGGCACAGCCTTGGAGGTTTCAAAATGGCATCCGCTTCGCTGCTGCCTCAGGGAGGAAGAGAAGGGGCGGGAAGGGGCGGCGGCCCAGCCTCCTGGGCTGCTTTGCGTTGGGCGCTTGCCTCTTCCTGTCTCTGCTGTGAGTGCGGCAGCGGCAGTGAGTGGGTGTCGACGCGGCGGAATGCCCGTCGCTGCTGCTGCTGCTGCCCGACGGGCCTGGGGAGGGCACTTCCGGTACCGCTGCCTCCCAGTGCCCAGCCAGGAGTCTCTAGACAGCCTCTCCCCAGGCGATTGCAGTTACTGTGGTGGCCGAGGAAATGCAAGACTGGACCATAGAGCTGGGGGAACGCAGGGCTTCTGGCTAGTTTTGTGTCCCGACACCAGAAGGGTCCCCCATCCCACCAGGCCTGCTCCTTGGAGCCCAGCTCACCTTTTGGGCTAAGGCAAGTGAGACCTGGTAACTCCTCCCACACTGGGCTGGCAGCAGCCAGGGGTGCAGGGTCTGGCTTAGCACTTTCTAGCCTGGGAAGTTCACCCTGGGGTCCTGGCCTTCTGGCCTTTGCTTACTCTGTGAAATGGGCTTCCTGGGTTTTGGCCAAAGGAGTGCCCCAGGTCAGGATGGGGAGGGAGAACAAGAGCCTCCTGGTGGTTCTTGTTGGGGATGTAGGTTGGGAGTAAAGACCCTGCAGTGTGCTGCAAAGGGCTCTGACCAAGCTCTGCTTGATATTGATGACCCAGTCTGCCATGGCTGCCTGGGGAGGGATCCTGGCTTGAGCCATGCCTTTCCCATCCAGGTGCAAGGTGGTGATGGGAGCCCAGCTGTGGTAAGTTCAGAGTTCTGGGCGCCTGTCCCATGTAGCGGGAGACTTTGTCCAGGCAACGGGACTCAGGTTGGGCAACTGCCAGCCTTCCCTCCCAGCCAGAACCACGCCTGCTGCCCCGCCCGCACACCGCCTCCCTCCCATCTTGGGTAGCCCTGCCAGCAGGCAGGCACAGTCCTTGTCACCAGGGCAGAGGCTGATGTGGTACACACAGGCAAGAGAGTATTTCCTGGCAACTTTGTAGGGGGAGCAGATACCAGTCCTATTCTAGGGATGCTCCCCACTCCTACCCAGCTCAACGTGACTGATCAGCTAGGCCCAGGTGGAATCTGGGACCCTGGTCTGGGCTCTTAAGGGAAAGGAAGCCAGAGTGTATGTGAGGGGGGAGAGTCTCTGATTTGGGATGGGCCTGTGTGGACAGCTTCACAAAAAAAGGAGACAGTGTCCACCATTGGCTCCATAAAGGCTTCAGAATGTAAACAGAGCAGTTCTCTCTTGCCCCTGGAACTTTGTGTGTGTTGTTCCCTACTTGATTGTTCTTTAAAACTTTACTCTGGGATCACCTCCCAGGATCCTTCCTGGACATCCTCCCTCGACCAAGGCTGGTGAAACATCTGGCTCCCAGCGCTGTTGCTTCCCCCCTCAGATGCCTGGAGACTGCAGGGCAGGGCTAAGTCCTCTTCATTTCTGTGCCCAGCATGGAGCCTGGCATCTACTGGGTGCTTCTCATCTGTTTGTTGAATGAAGGAAGTATCCTCTGAACCTGATTTTGGGTAGATGGTGGAGTAAACTGAGCGGCAGTTTGCATACTGTGGGCAGGTGGCAAGGGCCCACAGGCCCACCACAGGATTGGTGACCAGCATTGAGGGGACACTGAGAAAAGTTCTTCAGGCTGTTTCTTCCCAGCCCCGCCACAGGCTATGCTGGCACCTGAGAGAGTTCTTATCCCACCCTGTGCGGAACTCCTGCTGAGCAGAGTGGCTTTGTATTCTTCCTTCCAACTCAGGCTGTTGGTGCACTGCTAGAGGGCTGCTGTCTCTGACACTGCAGTAGCCACAGTCGAGCTTGAGCTGGCTGGTCCAGCAGGGGCTGCTCCGCAGCCCTGGGGCTCAGACCAGAGCAATGCTGTGAGAGTCCTGGTACTGGCCAGTGCAGAGACTGCACATAGCAAGGGCTCAATGAAGTTTACCAAAAGAAAAGAAAGGGGGTTTTGTGGCCTCTGTCCTGTCTGTGTCTCTTGCAAAGGGCTGGCATACTATAGATGCCTAATGAGGGTATATGGACAGAATGAAGTGATTGAACATGTCCATGAACAGGGCAGAGCTCCTGGGAGAGGAGTAAGTATAATCCTGGGGCAGCCACTGGAGCCTGGTCTAGCTAGAGACAGATAGGAAGGGTTAGCTTGGGATTCTGGCTGGCTGGGTAGTGAGTTAGACTCTAATGGTGCCTGTGAAGGGGGGCTTCCTGGAGGAGGGGGTCTGCTGGGCAGCTGTGAAGGATGAATACCATTTGCCAGGGCCAGGCACTGGGGGTCAGAGGGACCAACTCGACAAGAACACTGCAGCAGGAAGACTTGGCCTGTATTCCCAAGAGCTTGGGTGGGTGTTTCCTGGCCTGGTGGGGAAAGGGCCACCCTCCCTGGACCAGCCCATGGGGTCATCCAGACCTGAGTTCGAATCCCAGTTCCACCTATGGCACTGGCTGAGAGACTCAGCATCAGGTGAAGCCCTGGCAGGAGTCCTGCTCTCCACTCATAACCTGGGGGCAGAGTGCCTCCCTGCAGCCACAGGTTATGGGGACAGTCTACCAAAGCTTGGAGGTATGAAAAATGGGTGAGGGAGGCCAGGCGCGGTGGCTCACACCTATAATCCCAGCACTTTGGGAGGTTGAGGCAGGCAGATCACCTGAGGTCAGGAGTTCAAGACCAGCCTGGCCAACATGGTGAAACCCCGTCTCTACTAAAAATACAAAAAAATTAGCCAGGTATGGTGGTATGTGCCTGTAATCCCAGCTATTCGGGAGGCTGAGGCACGAGAATCGCTTGAACCTGGGAAGTGAAGGTTACAGTGGACCGAGATGGTGCCACTGCACTCCAGCCTGGGGGACAGAGCAAGACTCTGTCTCAAAAAAAAAAAAAAAAAAGAAAAAAAAAGAAAATGGATGAGGGACCCACTGCTGAGAGTTTGGTGGGAAGGAGTCTCCCATCCTAGAGGCTGCCTGGCCTGGGTTTGGAGCCCTAGGGAACCCCCTCCCCTGCCCTCAGGCAGCTGTTCACAGCAAGTGGGGAGCCCAAGGCGTGCAGATAGTTGGTGCCAGCAGGAGTGACAGACTGCCCTGGGGACCTTAGGCCCAACCTCTGGGGGTCTAGGTTTGGAGATGTGGTAGGGCCCTGGGTGCCAGGTGGGCCAGTACCCACCCAGGCTGGCCTCCAGCCCCTACACTCTACCCCAGCCCTCTCCTTCACTGCTGGAGCTCATTAGCACTTGAATGGGGGGCGGGGCGGCTTGGGCCTCTGAGTCTCTTCTTCCCACCCCTCCCCCAGGCTTGTCGGGGCTTTGTCTGCAGGAGCAGGCAGGGATAGAGCTCCCACACTAAGGAGTGAACAGGGGTCCAAGCTATAGCTGACCCCCTCTGCCTGCATCCTGCCCAGTTCTGCTAGGCTCAGCCCCTGCCTCTCACGCCAGTGTCAGTGCAGCCAACATGAGGTCATACCTCTAGGGTAGGAGTGAGACTAGGTCCTTTAAGGGATACCTCTGAGCTGAGAGACTAGGTGAATCAGGGCAGCTGGAGCTCAGCTGGGGGCATCCCAGGCGGGTTGGGGAGAGGAACCCCAGACAGAGGGCAGAGCAGGTGTGAGGACAGAGAGAATGAGCCGCGCTGCTGTGGCAGGAGGTGGAAGTCAAACCAGTTGCGGGACACAGGCTTCCATGTCAGAAGCCCTGAGGCAGCATCACACCACCCACTATGTGTCAGAGCCTAGGCTGCTGGATGGGGCCTGGGGATGGTCCGGGACCCCTTTGGCCCTGGGCAGCTTGTCAGCGGTTGGCCCTGGGTGGCCTGAGAGGTAGGGTCACTGAGTGCCATCACTGATGTCCCAGGCCCTTGAACATCAGTTTGCCTGGCAAGTGGCAGCAGGTAGTGCTGAGGGTGGGGTGTGGTCAGGTCCCAGCAAGGTCCCTAGGCCTCCAGCACTGCAGGGGGTGGGGCAGTAGGTGCACTTGGGGCTACTTGGGCCACAGGCAGACACACAGGTCCTGTATACTCTGCCGTTGATCTTAGTTCTTGGTCCCTGGCTGTGACTCTCTCAGTCTGTCTCTAAAAGCCACCCATTCACTTGGCGGGAACAGGATGGAGGAAGCTTTGTCCACCCAAGCTCTTAGCCACTGAGGAACCAGGGACTCCCCCCACCCCACCCACAGCAGAGGAGGAGACTGTCACCCCAGAGCCTGAGTGCTGCCTCCCCTACATCCCGTTGTGCTGTGGGGGGAGGCAGGACCGGGCAGATGGGGGCAAGGTACAGGCCAGGGAGTAGTCTCATCTTCCCAGCATCTCAGGCCAGGAATCCCAGCCTAGGAGTTGAGCGAGGAGGGGAAGGGGTCAGCAGGTTCTGGCCAGGCCACTGCTGATACACCCTGCCTAAGAGTGCTCTGCAAGGTGCTTTGGGGAAGGCAAAGGATTGGGCCCTTTGATGGTGTCCCTGGTACCTGATGCTCTCAGGCAGCCCTTCCCTCAGCTACAGGTGCAGGGTGGAACCCCGTCTGCCCAGCCCCACCCAGCCCTTCTAGCTTGAAGCTCTCGTTCTTACTAAACCCCAACCCCACCCTCACCCTGATGTTACTTCTTGGGGCTGTGGCTGCTCTTGGTGGCTGGGGAGGAAGAATCTTTCTGGAATAACCAAACATTTGCTGGGCTGGTTCTTCTGTGCCGGCCTCTGTGCACATTTACAAGGCTTGAAAGGCAGCACCACACCAGTCTGAGCAAAGGCCTAAAGGTGGGGTCATCTCAGCCTTGTTGGGGAGAAGATATCCTTATGGCTTGGAGGAATCTGGGGGCTCCAAGGCTGCTGACAGCCTCAGGATATGCAAAGGAGGTGATGGCAGCACCTACTGTGTGTGCCCCCGGCGGGAGGAGGAGGTAATGAAGTCTGCACGACATGGCAGGGCAGGGCTGGGCCTCTCGGGGAAGTGGTGTCCACACCAGAGGAAAAGGAGGAAGCAGCTGGGGGAGGAGGAGCCCAAAAGAGGAAGAGGCCAGAGGGCTGCCTGGTGCTAGGGTGGGGGTGAGAGCCCAAGGGCCCCCCAGGGCTTTGCCAACTGGAAGGGTCTAGGAGGTGAACACCTGCCCAGGCTTATCTTTGCACTCCTGTGGGCCATTCTAGTGGCGGTCACTGAGTTGGAGCCAGTCCAGGTAGCTCTGTACCTTGTCCCACCCCAGCAACCATCGGGCCCAAGATCCCAGAGAAGGTGGTGCCTTCGAGAAGGATTCCAGGCCCCTTCTTTGGCCACAGGAAGTTGTGGCTGGGAGAAGGACGCTGGCGGGAGGGCTAGCAGGAAGGCAGAGGGCTGCTCTTAGATTCCCGAGCGGCCATTGCTCTCCAAAGCCGGAAGGCCAGCCACAGGCTGAGATGAATGCCTGGAAATGCAGCAACAGCCCCGAGATGAGCTCACTCTGGGTTTCCCCTGCTGGGGGGCGGACAAAGGATCCCTGGCCTCAGCCTAAGGATTCTCCCCTACCAGCACCCACTCACTGGGTCTAGGGCTGCATTCACTGGGCCTGTTTCCCCTCAGGTGATAACCACAGCTGTCTCTGATTGAGCCTTGACTGTTGTGTGGAGCTGAATTCTTCATTATCTTGTCATATTTAATCCTGTGAGGCTGGGACTGATATTACACCCATTTCACTGATGGACAAACTGAAGCTCAGGGACTTTATGCACTTAAACAGGGAACAGAGATGTCAGGACATGACCCATGTAGTGATTAAGCGCCTGCCTCCAACTGCCATGGCCCTTTGGGAGTCTGTGCTGGCTGGAAGTAACGGATCAGGCAGGACAGCAGGCAGACGGTGTGGGTGCGTGTGTGTTCTGCCTGTGCCTATGGGCCCTGGCTTTCGGGCCTCAATTCTTCTTTTAGGAGGCGGAAAGGGAGCTGTCTGTCCTGGAAGGTGGGACCCAAGACTCTGTGTATGAAGCTTTCTACAGCCATGTGGTCATGGGGGACCCCCTCCACTCCTTTTTTTTTTTTTTTTTTTTTGAGATGGAGTCTCACTCTGTCACCCAGGCTGGAGTGCAGTGGCATGATCTCGGCTCACTGCAACCTCCGCCTCCTGGGTTCAAGCGATTCTCCTGCCTCAGCCTCCTGAGTAGCTGTGACTACAGGTACGTGCCACCACGCCCAACTAATTTTTGTATTTTTAATAGAGACGGGGTTTCACCATGTTGGTCAGGCTGGTCTCGAACTCCTGACCTCAAGTGATTCGCCTGCCTCGGCCTCCCAGAGTGCTGGGATTACAGGTGTGAGCCACTGCGCCCGGCTGCAGCTGCACCTTTTGACTTCCCACTTTTTCTCCTAGTCCGTATCCTCTCACAGTGATGCTCAAGTTATAGCTGGCAATTTAGGACTTCATTCTTTCCCTAATATTATGCTTGTTCTCCCATAAGCCCCAGTCTTAGACTGAGACCAAGCCTGGGGAAGGCTCAGAAGCTATTGAAGTCCATGGTGAGGGCCTCTGAGACTGGGAATTGTCCAGAGGAGTGAAATGAAAGCATGTTCCTTAGGGCTGCACTGTGAGCACAGGCTCAGTGCTGGGTGCACGTACGGTACTGTGTGGTGGTAGAATGTGGCCATGGTGTTGGCTGATGACTGCATGATAGTTGTTGAGGCTGGTTCCTCTTGCTCCTTGGCCTCCGAATCTCAGTGCTGTGGCCTAGTGGGGCCTTGCCCTCTCTTGTAGGGGTTCCTAGGGGTTCTGCTGTGTTGCCAGGCCAGGCCGTAAGGGACTGAGGGGGCTGAGGAAGGCTTAGGAGAGCCAGAGCAGAAGCGTCCAAGCCTCTCTGGGCCATGAAGCCATGCACAGAGCAGAGACCCGTGCATCCTCATGGCCACCCAAGACTGTGGGTCCCAGAGGGTCCAGTTCCTCACCATGAGACCTCAGACTGTCCTCTTCCCTCTCTGTATCCAGCACTAGAATCTGTGATGCTGTGATTTTTTTTTTTTTTTTCTGAGACTGAGTTTCGCTCTTGTTGCCCAGGCTAGAGTGCAGTGATGCAATCTCGGCTCACCACAACCTCCGCCTCCCAGGTTTAAGTGATTCTCCTGCCTCAGCCTCCAGAGTAGCTGGGATTACAGGCATGTGCCACCATGCCCGGCTAATTTTGTATTTTTAGTAGAGACAGGGTTTCTCCATGTTGGTCAGGCTGGTCTCGAACTCCTGACCTCAGGTGATCCGCCCACCTCAGCCTCCCAAAGTGCTGGGAATACAGGCGTGAGCCACCCCGCCCCGCCAGTGCCGTGATTCTTAGCATGGTCTCCTGGCCTGTGGACACAAGGACAGCTGCTGGCTTGGGTTGGGCCCTGAGGCAGTTTGGGGTGACTTTGAAGAGGCTACTCAGGGCAGGCCTTGGGTTTGGCACCCTCCCTCAAGGGGTACATTTCATAGATGAGGCCTAGGCTCCCGTTATCTTTCCCAGAGTCCACCGCCATGAATCAGAAGGGAAAAGAGGTCATTCAGGTGCCTTGGGAACAGCGGAGGGATGCCTGAAATGAAGAGGCCTCCAGGGAGACGGTGCCAAATGGCCCAGCTCCGCGTGATCCGCGTCTTGTCCAGCACCTCCTGGCTCCTGCACAGGCGGTACCTGGGGCCTGAGGCGCCAGCGATGAACAGGTCTGGGGCCTCCTTTATATCAGGCCAGCCTTCCTCACCCGGTGCCTGAGTTTCCCTCTGTGCAGTGGAAAGGGCCCCACTGAGGGAGACACACCTTGCCCCAGAAAGACTTTCCCATGTGTGGGCAGGACCTGAGGCCTCAGTTTCCCTAACACAGAGATCTCTGACTTGGCAGTAGGAAGCCAGGCCCTGCTTGGTAGTGCTCCCCTTTGGGCACTGTGAACCCCTGGAAGCCGCTGGAGGCAGCCGAGTGCCAGAGACTGGCGGGAGGGAGGTGTGGAGTCTGTTGGTCTGTTCAGGCATCCGTTATAGGGCCATGCCACACACATGGGTGGGAGTGTTGCCGGTCCCTTTCAAGACCTCGAGTCCCTGCCTCCCAGTGCCGGACCCGTGCTGAGCCTTCTCGGAGGGAATGAGGGGGGCCGGGGAGCAGCACCTGGAGGAAGGAAGAGACGCCAGGGGCGGGGCTCAGAGGGCCTTTGTCTGGCGGGGTCTCTGCCCCTCCCTCCCGTTGCCATGGTTTCTGTGTGTGCCGAGTCTCTGCAGGCTGGGGGCTTCCCAGGGACGGGCTGGTGGGTGGGACACCTTCCCCAGTCGCCCCTGGCTGAGGCTGCTTTTCTGAAACAAAACGCTCCCCAGTGCTGCCCAGCCCCCACTTCCTTCCACAGTGTCTCCGGCTGCCGGGCGCCCCCTGGTGGTGGCGGGGCATGGGTCCCTAGGACTGCAGGGGACGTGGGGGTGCACGGGATCTGAGAACCACAGGCTGAGCTGGAGATGTGGCACCTTCCTGGGATAAGAGAAGGAGGTGGTGTCCGGGCTGCCTTTGTGGTGGGCTCAGGGCTACCCCCACCTGCCCCACCATATCCCACTGGGATAGGCTGGGGAGTTGTGGCAGTGTGGGCGGGCCTGGTGTTGTGGGTTTGAGCTGGGCCGCTGCCCAAGTCTACCCTGTGGTCCCAGCCGCTGCTGCTTCTGAGAATCTCTGCCCTCGGGCCTGCCACGTCAGCTGGCTGCTCTTCCTGGCCCCACGTGTTCCCACGGAGCCCACCAGTATGGGGGTTCTCTCCAGGGAGGTGTGCCTGGCTTTCTGGGTGTGTGCAGCCAGTGAGCAATGTCAGCAGTGAGGCTCCTGGGCAGGAAGGAGGCCCCAGCTGTGTAGGAGTGCCGGGTTATACTGAAGGGAAGTGACGACACAGCGGAAAGCCAACAGAGGAGCCAGTAGCTCTGACTCCTGTCCCAGGTTATGCTGAGTCCCAGCAGGGAACCACCACAGCTCTGAATCAGCCTGTTAGCCGCTGTCCATTGCTCTTCATCTGCTCTTTATCTGAAAATCTTCAGAAGCTTTCCTTCAAATGAGATGACCACAGCAGTCTTCTCTGCAGGTTGCAGGAAATGAGAGGTTTGGGGAAATCTGTACTCTTTCAAAGGGTAGATAAATAGTGATAACTTTTACCTGAATGCTCACATGTGCCCCACACTGTGAGAAGAGCTTTGCATTTAATCCTTACCCATCTCTCAGAAGGAGACAGCGTTGTCCCATTTCACAGATGAGGTGCCAGAGAAAGGGCAGGAAAGGAGCTGAAGCTCTTGAGGATCTCAGGAAGGATCAGAGTGGACATCAGGGCTGTGGCAAGTCTGGACCTCCTTCTGGGAGAGGATCTGAAAATGGGAGGCAGGCTGGCTGGCTGCTTGAGGCTTGACAGCTCTGCCCAGGGGAAACTGAAGCCAGAAAGGATAGTAGCAAGTCCCAGCCTCCCAGCAGATCAAAGCCTATTAAGGAGTTAGAGGGTCCAAGATGAACAGATGCTGTGACTTGAATGCTGGGGCCTGGACTAAGCATCAAGTGACAAGACCTGTGGGCCTGTCTCTCCTGCTGCAGGGGCCCTGCTGGTCTTGTTCACGCAGGTGGAGTGGTACTGTCTCCCTTCTCTCATCGGTTCCCTCCTCTGGGGCTCAGCACTCCCAAAGTGGAAGCAGATGTTCTAGTGCAGAGCAGCTGCCACCACCCAGCACATCACTATGATTACTGCCTACCTGCTGTGGGCCCTAACTGCGCCACAGGGCAAAGGCTGCAGAGGTTTCTTCCTTGGTGGGAAGAGGTGTGACTCAGTGGGAATGCCAAGGCCACCCCAGGGAACCTCTGCAGGCCTCTCTGGTCTTACCCAGCTGGGGACAGAGCACTTGGTGGGGCCCTCTGCGGGCAGGAGGGGCTGATTCATGCCACCTTCTATTGCCTCAGTTCCCCTACCCAGCATCTTTGCAGAAATCTGGACTCAGGCTGGACGCGGTGGCTCACGCCTGTAATCCCAGCACTTTGGGAGGCCAAAGCAGGTGGATCACTTGAGGTCAGGAGTTCGAGACCAGCCTGGCCAACATGGTGAAACCCTGTCTCTACTAAAAATACAAAAATTAGCCGGGCGTGGTGGCACATGCCTGTAGTCCCAGCTACTGGGGAGGCTGAGGCAGGAGAATTGCTTGAACCGGGAGGCAGAGGTTGAACCGGGAGGCAAAGGTTGCAGTGAGCCAAGATCATGCTATTGCACTCCAGCCTGAGCAACAGAGCGAGACTGTGTTTCAAAAAAAAAATCTGGACTCAGCCACCCCTCTGAGAGGCAGGTGCGAGGGGAGCTGGGTGTGTGCAAAACTCACAGATAAGCCTCTTGCCAGCTTATCTGGTAGGGGGCATCCCTCAGGTCCTGATGGAAAGAGGACCCAGCCAGAGATGGGGAGAGTGAAGCTACTACCCCACAGCTGCCAGGGCACTTAGCCTGTGGGCTGCCCGAGAGCTCTTCACCCCACCCATTCCACCCAGATGCCATCCTGGGGCTCCACCCACCTCTGCTCCTGTCCCCCTTCTCTGCTGGAGCTGCTCCTGGGCTGTGCCCCTGCCTCTGTCCCGTTGTTCCCCCTGCTTCCTGCCTGGCTGCCAGCACCACACCCTTGTCCTGCCACTCACTACTTCCCGCCTGAGTCACAGCTGCTGGAAAGACAAAGAGACCAGCCTGAGTCTAGGGATAGGGGCTCCATGACCTTGATTTGCTTACCTGTCAAGTGGAACTCTTTTTTCAGTGACCCCTGCTTGGGATAGAGAATGTTCTCTTAACATTTAAGAGGCCTTAGGAGGGGAAAATGAAACTTGAAGGGGACAGGGAAGTGGGCCCTCCCTGGCTGGGGCAGGGAGCAGATATCCTGGCTCCTAGTGTGACTGGCTCTGTGCTGCCTACCTCATGTCTACCAGGTCTAGCTGCTGCTAGGAAAATCAGATGCAAAGCAAGTTTGCACCCTCGTCCCTGGGCAGGGTCACGAAGCGGCCCACATCACCTACTAAGAGTGGGCAAAAGGCCAGACCCCCTCTTCACTCTCAGTGGCCAGATAGGGAAACTGATGCCTCAAGTGGGCAGGAGTCCCGAAGTCACACAAGATGGGGAAGCTTTCACCCTAGACCTCAGGTCCCCCATGCCCTGGGTAGCTTCCCTGCTGAGTCTGAGCTCGCCTGGCTCGGGACTGCATGGGGACCCATGACTTCGCATCCTTGGCCTCTGCTCCTGCAGTTCCCCCCATCCTGGCTGTGACTGGCTCCTGGTTCTTCCTCCTGCTCTGGAGGAGCCAGTGGGGAAGACAGTCAGGTAGCCACTGCTGCCCTCCCTGCCCCAGTGGGTGCTTTGAGCCCCAGGGGGATGGGCCTTAAGTGTTCAGGCATCGCTGTGAGGCTTTCCTGGGACCTTTCCCCATGTCCTCATTGGCAGGTGGAGGAGTGTTGGTATGCAGATCCTGGCTGCCCCTTTGCCATGCACAGCCCAATGGGGAGGGAGTGGTGCTGGTATATATCCCGGTACACACCCCAGTGAAGATACTGGGCCCGGCCCCTGTAGTGCCCAGGGGCTAAAGCAATAGAGGGGATTGCTGCCCCAGCCACAGCGCCCCAGCCTTCCCAGGGCCTGCACATTTGTATGTCCACAAGATTGTGCAACCATCACTGCTATCTAATTCCAGAACATAATCACCACCCTCAAAAATAAACTTCATACCCAACTAGCTGTCACTCCCCATCTCCCCAGATCCCCTCCCCTCATCCTGGAAAGCAGGCCTGGGACAGTCAGAAGCTCAGTGATTGCAGGCGCCTGATGGCATTTGTGAGGAGGGCTCAGGCCTTTCCCCTCAGGGTGGTCTCTGGCGTAGGGGGCTGAAGGTGGGCAGGGGCCTTGGCAAGGCCTGCCACCATGTCCCAATGCCTGCTGCCGCTTGTTGAGCACTGCAGACATGGCCCAGAGTCTGCCTGGGGAGCTAGGGAGTGAACCCAGTGCCAGGTGGACTGTGTGGCTCCGCTGCAGTACCAGGTACTTAGGACAGCTCTAGGAGGGACTGCACGGTGGGCAAGTGTGCTCCCTGCAGAGGGGACTCTAACCCTGTGACCTCAGCCTCCCTGGACCTCAGTTCCTTCACTGGTTAGATTGGGGTGAGAATGGAACCTACCTCCCAGGATTGCTGTGGAGATGGCAGTTGGTGGGTGTCATTGATGTAGAGCAGCATCTGGCACATGGTGGGCGCTGTTTTCATATAGCTTTGCTGTCGATATTGCCGATGTTATTGTTACTGCTTGTGTTCGTTTGTGTGTTAGCACCTTCATCCTCTGAGGTTGTTTTGACCAGCCCCAAGGGATGCTGTTGAGCTTGGCCAGAGTACCCAAGTTTGACCTCTGCACAGACCTTACTACCCACCCAGCTAAGCTGCACAGAGGAACAAACGTGCCACAGTGATCAGAATTGGGACACTGTGAATGGGGCATGGGGCACGTATTCCCGGCAAAGAGAACAGCATGAGCAGGGCCCTGGAGATAGCTAGAGGTAGTGCCTGGCAGCTGCAGGTGTGACTGGCAGTGATGGAGCAGGAGCACAGGGTCTGGGAAGGACAGCAGGGCCCAGCTGGGGGCCATTCAACCTGGAGCTCAAGACAAGCCAGCAGCAAGGGAGCAAGGTCAAGGTGAGGCCCTGCCTCCACTCCCTCTGGCCCCCAGCCAGGGAGTTGGGTGGCCCCCCTGGTCCTTCTTTACACAGACTCCCTGGGTAATACAGGCTCCTGGGCTGCACTCCTCAAGATCTGGCTCTGTTGTCTGGGATGGGACCTGGGAGTCTGCTTTTTTTTTTTTTTTTTAGACCAAGTTTCGCTCTTGTTGCCCAGGCTGGAGCGCAATGGCACAATCTCGGCTCACTGCAACCTCCACCTCCCAGGTTCAAGCGATTCTTCTGCCTCAGCCTCCCGAGCCGCTGGGATTACAGGCACCTGCCACCACGCCTGGCTAGTTTTTGTTATTTTTAGAAGAGATGGGGTTTCAACATGTTGGCCAGGCTGGTCTCGAACTCCTGACCTCAGGTGATCCACCTGCCTCAGCCTCCCAAAGTGCTGGGATTACAGGCATGAGCCACCACTCCCGGCGGAATCTGCTTTTTTAAACACCTCCCCAAGGCATTGTCCCGCAGGGTCTCAGCCACATTTTGAGAATGGCAGGGTGGACCAGGCATCATGGGTTCCCTCCACCCTCTTGCCCTTCTGAGTCCTGGCTACATGATCTTAGATCAATACTTTATTTTTCTGAGCCTCAATGTCCTCATCTGTAGAATGGGAACAGAAACAGTATCTGCTGTGACTAATACAGGAGAGAATGCAGCAAATCTCAGTACCAGCTAAAGAGAAATATGGGCCAGGGCTGTACCAGGCCAGGGAAAAGCTTGAGTCAGTATGGGCGTGTGTGGGTGTGGGTGTGTGAGATACGCCGCAGGTCTCCCAGATTCATGAGTCAGTACGCGTGTGTGTTACACTGTAGGTCTCCTAGATTCTAGCCTTCTAGCCTCCATCTGCTCAGGGCAGACCTGAGCGCAGTGAGCAGAGGGCGGGGCATTGGGCCATGTCCAGAAAGCTGAAGTGTGACGCTGTGCTCCTGCTTAGGCCCCTGGTTGCTAAGGCTCAGTGTGGGGAGAAGAAGGGCTGCTACCCTGTTGGATGGAGTATGCAGGGCATCTTCCTGCCAGCTCTGCCCAGGGCACCATATTGGCATGCACCAGCTGCACAGGTTGGCGAGCCTATGTATGTGAGAACAGGGTGGCTCCTTCATGGCTGGCCAAGTCTCCAGCCAAGACCCCCCAGGACAGTGGGGAGCCATGGTGGGCAGCAGAGCTTGTGGGAGGCAAAGGCCTGCAGAGAGTCTGCCATGGGGCACAGGTGCTCTAGGTTACCTTGACCACTGTGGCCCTGCCAGCTGCATTCCTGGTAGCTCAACTGCCCACCAGGCCCAGCTGCCTCCATCTCACGGTGCAGCTGGTGGGAAGGTTAGTTCTGCCTCCTGGGCTACAGGTGTCTGGGCATTTGTTCTGTGCCTGTGGAGCCCCTCTGGGCCTGCCCCCTGACCACCTGTGCCCTCTGTTCCAGGTGCTGGGGAGTCAGGGAAGAGCACCATCGTCAAGCAGATGAAGTAAGTGCTGTATTCCAGAGGCAGTGCTCAAACTCCAGCTTCCCCTCTTCACCCTCTGGGCCTGCACTGCCCCCGACTACAGGCCCAGCCAGTCTTAGCCAGGCCCAGAATCTTCTGAGAAGCAGAAGGACCCTCAGGTCCCAGTGGGTCAGGGGCAGTTTTCCCTTCTCTGAAGCAGGTCCCAGTAGCCCCAGGCAGCCGTGGGAACTCCCAGTGCCCAGGGGACACTAACCTTCCTGGTCCCTGGCTATCAGGATCATCCACGAGGATGGCTACTCCGAGGAGGAATGCCGGCAGTACCGGGCGGTTGTCTACAGCAACACCATCCAGTCCATCATGGCCATTGTCAAAGCCATGGGCAACCTGCAGATCGACTTTGCCGACCCCTCCAGAGCGGTATGTGCCCTCCGCCCCACCCTCTCCCACCTCCCAAAAGGTTTCGGGGTGGCTGGTTGTGGTGGCTCATGCCTATAAATCCCAGCACTTTGGGACGCCGAGGCGGGTGGATCACCTGAGGTCAGGACCAGCCTGGCCAACTTGGTGAAACCGCGTCTCTACTAAAAATACAAAAATTAGCCGAGCATGGTGGCACGTGCCTGTAATCCCAGCTACTTGGGAGGCTGAAGCAGGAGAATTGCTTGAACCCGGGAGGCAGAGGATGCAGTGAGCCAAGATCGCCCCATTGCACTCTAGCCTTGGTGACAGAGCTAGACTCCGTCACAGAAAAAAGTAAACAACAACAACAAAAAGGTTTTAGGGCAAGTCTCATCCTAGGGAATCCAAGAATACCCTAGCCTGGGCCCCATTCCAGAGGTCTCCCTGCCTCTGGCAGAGTGGGGGTACATTCCTTCAACTGCCTGACCACCCGCCACTGTGCCCAGGACGACGCCAGGCAGCTATTTGCACTGTCCTGCACCGCCGAGGAGCAAGGCGTGCTCCCTGATGACCTGTCCGGCGTCATCCGGAGGCTCTGGGCTGACCATGGTGTGCAGGCCTGCTTTGGCCGCTCAAGGGAATACCAGCTCAACGACTCAGCTGCCTAGTGAGTGCTCTGAGGGGCTGGGCAGGGCAGGGCAGGGGCTGGGGGAGGACTAAAGGCTGGACCGGAGGGCCTGAGAACCCCCAGAAGGACACTGCTGGTCTTTGCTTATGAAACCGATGACTGTTAACCAAGGCCTTCCTGTTTTTTGGTTTGGGGGGTGGGTGGGTGTCACGTTACTGAAAGGCCAGGAGGAATGACAGGCAGGTGGCTTATACAGTACATCTCTTCCAGGCCAGTTGAGTCTGATCTGTCTTGACAGTCTTCTAAAGAACATTTGCGGCCGGGCGTGGTGGCTCACGCCTGTAATCCCAGCACTTTGGGAGGCTGAGACAGGCGGGTCGTGAGATCAGGAGATCGAGACCATCCTGGCTAACACGGTGAAACCCCGTCTCTACTAAAAATACAAAAAATTAGCCGGGCGTGGTGGAGGGCGCCTGTAGTCCCAGCTACTCAGGAGGCTGAGGCAGGAGAATGGCGTGAACCTGGGAGGTGGAGCTTGCAGTGAGCGGAGATTGCGCCACTGCACTCTAGCTTGGGTGACAGAGCAAGACTCAGAACATTTGCTGCCACCTGTTCTGTGCCAGGCTTCAAGGACACAGTGATGAGTGGAGCAAAGTCCCCATGCAGTGACAATTTAGGGTGTTAGTGAAAAGGTAGAGGTGGAGTTGGCCCAGAGACAGGATTGCTGAGCTCTGAAGGAGAGTCAGCCAGGGGAGGAGTGGATGAGGGGATTCCAGGCAGGGGCATAGCATGTGCAGCATCTCGGGGTGGTGGGGAGCTGGCTGTGCTTGAACATAGGCTGTGGAGGCTGGCTGGAGGGGGCCACAGGGGAGGAAGTTATCTGGGAGGTGACAGGTGTGTGTGTAGGTCAGAGCCCCTGGACCTCAGCTGTGACCCTCGCTGGCCCTAGGCTGAGGAATTACAAGGGGTCCCAGGAATCCCAGAGGCATGACAAGCCTGCACCCTTTCCACAGTTCTGAACTCCTTCCCTGTGGTATCTGTCATGTACTTGGACTGGTGCAGGGTGCTGAGGACCCCACGGGGAACAGGATAGACAGGCTAATAGCCATTGAGGATGGCTGCAGGGGACATCCACAGGCTTTGGATGGTGTCACCAGATAGGCTGCTGTCCCTGTACTCTAGCCTTCCCCTATCTCTGCTTAAGCCAGTCCCCTCTGACTGGAACACCCTTTTGCTCCTATTGTTCATCCAATCCTGAGCCTACCCATAGGGTGGATTTCAGCAAGGGTGGGTGGGAGGAGGAGGAGGGTCTTGCCTGGCTGTGATTCCTGAGCCCTGTCCAAGCCACATGAACAGCCTCCTCCTACCCTTCTTACATGGCCTGAATGCTCTTGTGAATATGTACCCCCTACAGGAGCTGTGGAGTCACAGCCAAATGCTGTGGGGGCCCCCAGGCCTCACCACTGCCCCTCCCTGAGATCTCTGGCCCAGCCACCAGCGAGCTTGGGGTCAGAGCAGCAGGGACCTTGGTGCCCATGATACTCAAAGGAAGCAGGAATAGAGCCACCTCCAGGCCACCTCCTGCTTCTCCATCATCCTCTTTCTCTATTCTCCAGACATTAGGCACCCACTGTGTGCCCAGCACAGTTTTGGGAGTGAATACAGGCCCTGTTCTCCCAGTCAGGTTTAAGCCTTGATAGCTCCCCCTGGGAATGGGTTGCGGATTGGAACACCACAGGAAGCAGGGCTCCTTCAGCCCCTCTTCGCAGCAACCCTCCAAGTGTGCAGCGAGTCAGGGGGTCCCTGGGGCGAACCCACCTGTTGGGGAAAAGGGAGAGGCTGGTGTGGAATGCACCATGGTACCTCCACATTGAGGACTCTGGCAGTAGGGGGCGGGGCATGGTATGCGGGTCACAGCACATGCGTCATCCTTCCCCATGGCCCTTCCTGTTTTTCTGTTTTGTCCCTGCTACTCTGAGATCATTTCCCTCTGGCCTGGTTTGGCCTGGGTGCTGGTGGGAGCCAAGGGCCAGCCCCAGCAGCCTTGCCCCAGGAATGAAAAGTCAGCTCTGGGCAGCAGCCTGGAGGCCTGGGACCAGCCTCCAGGGCATGGCAGGGATATTGAGGCAGGCAGCAGAGGCAGGCCCTGCAGGGGTAGCCTTGATACTAATTAAGGGAACTGGTAATGAGGAGCCCCTGGGACCCCTGCCAAGCAGGTGTCTGTGCCCTCCCCCTGAGGAACCCAGATTTCATTGGGCGCTGGGCAAAGAGCCCACTGGACCTGGCAGGCCCCAACCTGTCCAGCACCACATCGAGGGACCGCACCCGGCTGCTCTGCGGCTAATGCCGTAATTGCGCCCATTAGCATCCTGAATCCTTCACCGAAGGACTAATTTGCCTCCTCCCACCCTCTTTGCCTATAGCTCCAACATCCTGGATCCTGTCCGAGGCAGGTCTGGCTCAGACCCTGGGTGCTGGAGCTTGGCTGGCTAGCTGTCCACAGAGCTGCACCTCCTCCCATTCCCATTCTACAGGTGGGAGGCCGGGGGCTCTGAGTTCAGGTTTCTTCATTTGAGCAATGAGGTAATGCAGGCAGGGGTTAAAGAAACAAGGGCTGTGCCTAGGCCAGGCGCAGTGGCTCACGCCTGTAATCCCAGCACTCTGGGAGGCCGAGGTGGGCGGATCACCTGAGGTTGAGAGGTCAAGACCATCCTGGCCAACATGGTGAAACCCCGTCTCTACTAAAAATACAAAAATTAGCTGGGCGGCAGGCGCCTGTAGTCCCAGCTACTCAGGAGGCTGAGGCAGGAGAATCGCTTGAACCTGGCAGGCAGAGGTTGCAGTGAGCCAAGATCATGCCACTGCACTCCAGCCTGGCAACAGAGTAACACTCTGTCTCAAAAAAAAAAAAAAAAAAAAAAAAAAAAAGCAAGGGCTGTGCTTGAGAAATGGCATGGGAGGGAAGGGGCCTCTTGCAGCTGGCCCAGGGTCCAGCTAAGGAAGCCCCATGCTGGCCCCCACTGACCCTCCCACCCCCCATCCCCAGCTACCTGAACGACCTGGAGCGTATTGCACAGAGTGACTACATCCCCACACAGCAAGATGTGCTACGGACCCGCGTAAAGACCACGGGGATCGTGGAGACACACTTCACCTTCAAGGACCTACACTTCAAGTGAGCGAGCATGTGGACAGGTGGGAGGGGCAGGACCTGCCAGCCTCTGGGGTAGCAGAGGCAGGGGCTGGTCCAGGATCCCCCAGCCCCACTGAGGTTTTACAAGGCTCATGTGTTCTGGGCAAGCACATCCTCACCACCTAGTGAACCAGCAGTCAGGATCCACGCCACCTCTGCCAGCTGCTCACAGCCTCTGCTGCTCCTGCCTGATGTGGCTGCAGCCTGCCTGCTGTCCAAGCTCCTGGCCCAGAACCAGGGGTGAAGTGGGCAAGTGTGGATGATTCCAGAAGGTAGCTGCCCTACTCTGGGCAGGCCTCTGTCCTCAGTCAGCCAACCTGAGAAATGGGGTAGAAAGCCTCCCCCAGGCTCCCTTCCTGGAACTAAGGTGATCTATATCTGCAGGATGTTTGATGTGGGTGGTCAGCGGTCTGAGCGGAAGAAGTGGATCCACTGCTTTGAGGGCGTCACAGCCATCATCTTCTGCGTAGCCTTGAGCGCCTATGACTTGGTGCTAGCTGAGGACGAGGAGATGGTGAGAGGATGAGAGAATGCTGCGGGTGGGGGCAGCGGGCTTGGGGAGTGGTGGCTAGCGTTGACCTTGCTATTCTACCCCCAGAACCGCATGCATGAGAGCATGAAGCTATTCGATAGCATCTGCAACAACAAGTGGTTCACAGACACGTCCATCATCCTCTTCCTCAACAAGAAGGACCTGTTTGAGGAGAAGATCACACACAGTCCCCTGACCATCTGCTTCCCTGAGTACACAGGTGTGGGGACTGTGGGGATAGGGCCTCCAGAGGGTTGCTTCTTGTCCCAAGTAGCCTATGGTGACCAGGTGGCCCTCAGGCGCCCCCCACTGGACAGAAGTGTAACCTTGGAACACTGGCAGGGGCTGGTGCCTCACTTAGGCTTGTATAGTTGTGTGTGCACACATGAAGCCCTTAACACACTCAAGCATGTACCCCTGAACATGTGTACATGGGCATCCTCCTTCACACAGTGGGGTACCCCTTTGCACATCTGGCATGTATGGGCAGCCACAAACATTGTCATATTATGCACATGCATGCACAGGTTGTATGCCTGGCCGTCCACACGCACAGACCCTTGCTGCACACGTAGGATGCGGCCTGCCTGCCACACATGCAGCACAAGTCTTCATTTTCTCTCCCCCAGGGGCCAACAAATATGATGAGGCAGCCAGCTACATCCAGAGTAAGTTTGAGGACCTGAATAAGCGCAAAGACACCAAGGAGATCTACACGCACTTCACGTGCGCCACCGACACCAAGAACGTGCAGTTCGTGTTTGACGCCGTCACCGATGTCATCATCAAGAACAACCTGAAGGACTGCGGCCTCTTCTGAGGGGCAGCGGGGCCTGGCGGGATGGTGAGCCAGAGGGGCTGTGGCAGGGTGCTGGGGAAGAACTAAGCGGGCCTGGAGCCCCAGCAGGGGGTTCTGGGGGTGGGTAGGGGGGTGAACCTGGAGGGGGAGGGGCAATAGGTGACCAGGGGACAAGGGAGGAGAAGGCCCAGGGTGTGAATCAGGAGGTCAAGTGAGTGAGGTGCAGGGCATGGAGGAGGTCATACAAGCAGGCCTGGCCCAGTGGTCCAGACAGAAGGGCCTGGCCTTGCCCTGGGACAGAACCAGAGGCCATCCTGATGTTCCCTGGAGAAATCTCACCTCCTCACCCACCAGGCCATTGGCCCAGCCTGCCGGAAGCTGCATGCCAGCGGAGCCCAGCCCTGCTGCCCACTACCACCAGCTCCATGTGCACCTCCAGCTCTTGCCCTCTGACTTGTCTGAGCGTCCCGGGCTTAGGCTGGCCCCACTGGCCCTGGTGGAGGTGGGGATGACTCTCCCAGTGCCACAGACTCCCCTCCCCCACGTAACCCAGCAACAGAAACTGGCTCCTGGGCGGCAACTGTGTCCCTGGTAACAAATGGGTAGGAAAAATAGAGAAGGGTCATTGTCTAGGGAGGCGGGAGAGAGGCACGCCCTGGCTGCTTCCCGATCCATGCTCTGCTTTCCCCCACCTCCAGGGCCACCGCCGACTTTGTACCCCCCAACCCCTGAGGAAGATGGGGGCAAGAAGATCACGCTCCCCGCCTGTTCCCCCGCCGCTTTTCTCCTCTTTCCTCTCTTTGTTCTCAGCTCCCCCTGTCCCCTCAGCTCCAGACGTAGGGGAGGGGTTGCCACAGGCCTCCCTGTTTGAAGCCTGCCCTTGTCTGAGATGCTGGTAATGGCCATGGTACCCCCTTCTGGGCATCTGTTCTGGTTTTTAACCATTGTCTTGTTCTGTGATGAGGGGAGGGGGGCACATGCTGAGTCTCCCAAGGCTGCGTCTGGAGGGGCCCCTGCTTCTCCAGCCTGGACCCCCAGCTTTGCCCAACACCAGCCCCTGCCCCAGCCCAAGTCCAAATGTTTACAGGGAGCCTCCTGCCCAGTCCCCCAACCCCAGCCGCTCGGAGGCCCCAAAGGAAAAAGCACAAGAAGCGTGAGACGCCACCATTCCTGGAAACCACAGTCCACCTGCTCATTCTCGTAGCTTTTTAAAAAAATGAAAGTAAAGGAAAAAAAAAAAACTGCAAATCTAGAAAACTTTTTAGAGAAAAACTATTTAAAACTGTCAGATCCTGACCAGCAAGCCCCCCCCCAGCCCCCCTTCCAAGTGACTCCGTGCCTTGAGTGTGTCTGCGTGTTTACACCCGTCCCTCTGCTGGCCGCCCCCGTGCGAGCGGCACCCCTGCCCTGCCCTCCACAGAATTGGGTTCCAAGGGCTGTTCCAGACAACTGCCAACGTCACTGAGGGCCCTGCCCCAGCGGCCCTGGCCCCAGGCTCTATTAACCTAAAATGTAGCTCCCTAGCGCTAACCTAGGAACCGCCGCTGCCTGCTGGGGGGCCACGCCCCTCATGCCCTTGTCCCAGGCCCGGGGCCTTCAGCGTTGAACACTTCCTTGCTTTTTTCACATGTTTTATGGAATTGTTCACCTGGTTTGAAATAATAAAATGTAGAAAGAAAAAAAATACCGAGAACTGATGGGTATTCTCTCCCAGGGGCAGAGGCCTGGGCTAAGGTGTGCCAAGGTGATGGTGGTCCTAACCTCAGTCCTCAACCTGAGTCAGGGCCCTGACTCAGCTTTCCGGGCCGTCCTGGAGCCCCACGCTCTGAGCTTCATTTCTCCCACCTGGACTAGGCAGCATACATGTGGGGCCCGTGTGTCCCCGCCCTTCCAGTACTCTGCAGCCTTGGGTCTCGGGCAGCTGGGCAGGCTTCTAAGGGAGCTGTTGTAAGGTGCTCTTCCACACCTGGAGCAGGAGGGGTGGCCGGCCTCTCTAGCGCGGAAGGAGAAAGTGACTTCCGACTTAGGTACCAAGGCCTGAGAGTGTCCGTTGCCAAGGCCACACAGCCAGGTGGGCCGCATGCAGTCCTGGCTTGACTAAAAAGGCCAGTAGGGGCCTTAAGACATATTCAGAAAGTTCCCTGCCCCAGAGGGCCGCCGCCAAACCTGAAGGGTAGTGACAGGTGGCCATACTACCATGTGATGGTTGCCCCAGGCTGGGCCTGGAGAGCTGCAGATCATTGACTCTGAAGATGGAAGGCTCCATGAGGCTGTGGGAAGGGCCCGCGCGTTTCTGGGGAAGGGAATTGCAGATGGCAAGGCTGGTGATGCTTGTGGGGCGGGCCCTGAGTGCCATCGAGGCGCCTGGACCTTCTCCCGGGGGCAGCCGCGGCCTGAACGTGTGGGGGCGGGCTCGCGGAAAGGCTGGCCTCGACTGGGTGGGGCTCCGGCGTTGGCGCATCCGCCTCCGGCCGCCAGGGGGCGCCGCCGCCCGTGCTCTGCCCTGCCTGGCTGGTCACAGAGGCTGACGTCAGCGGGTCCCGCGGAGGCCGCTGGACACAAAGGCAGCTTTGTGAGGCGGCGACGGCTCCGCGGCCGCCCCAGGACAGAGCGGCCTGGGCAGAGGGCGGGCCGGGGTCGGCGCCGCGGAGGCGGGGAGGGAGGGAGGGTTGGAGGGTTGAGCCAGAGACCCGGGACCCCGTCCCCGCACACCTGCCAGTGCCCCGTAGCTTCGGCCGCCGGCACTGGCAGGAGATGAAAGGCTGCTGCCGCCCGGTCGGAAGGACATCGGCGCCCCCCAGGCCCGGTCCCCGCCCCAGTTCCTCGGGCCTTTCCTGCTGCCCCTGCCTGCGAGGGCCGACGACACGGAGAACAGGATCCTGCGCCCAACCCAGGTCCCCGCCTTCTTTCAGAGGCCCAGGCCTGGACCCCGCTGAGCCGCAGATGTGCGAGCAGGAGCGCCAGAGCCCCGATGCCCGCCCAGCAGGAAGCGGGCGGGAGATGGTTCCTTCCTTCTGTCCTGAGGGGGAACCCTGCACAGAGGGACCATTGAGGGCCTGGCATTGTCTGCCTAACTCACCCAGTGCCTCCCTCCCTGGGTGGGCCATGCGGGGCCTTGACAGGATTGCCCTGGTGCCGTCTTGGCAGTGGGTCTGGGTGGGATCCTGGGGGCAGGGCTTCCCTGAGTGCAGACAGCTAGGCCTCCACCTGCCCCGGCCTCCCACCCAGGCTCAGATTTCCAGGGCATAAGGCTCCATTGTCCCAGCACTGGTGGAGGCGGCCTGTCAATTCAGCCTTGTGTTTGGTGGTTGGGAAATTCCCAGCCATGGGGGGCTGCAGGCAGGAAGGGGCTGCCCAGGTGTCCTGCACCCCAACTGAAGGGACTCCATGAGGTTGGTTCCTGGGCATCCCCTGCTGCCTGGAGCTGTCCCAGGCTGGACCTCAACCATTCATCAACCCTCAGGAGCAGTTGGGTGAGGAGCACCAGAAATTCAATGCTCCCTGGCGCTGCATCCCCAGAGCCCTCCCAGCCTAAGAAGCCCCATCTTTCTGTCTCCACGCATGGAGAACTGCAGCTGTGAGGCCCAGGACCCTTAGCAGGACATGCAGAGCTGGGCAGGGACCCAGGCTCATGCTCCCAGCGTGGGGTGAGTTGTCTCCAGCCTGTGGAGACTGCCATGAAGTTGATCTGCCTCCCAGAGGGCCTGGCCCACTTGAAATAATTGCTCCGGCTACTGATGTGGTGGGAACTTTGGTATTTTTAACCCATTTGGGGGGTGGGGGAGCAGCTAGGAAGAGAGAGGCAAGCTTTCAGAGTCAGAGAGGCCTGAGAGAGGAGAGTAGAGGGAAACTCAGTGAGGAGGAGCCAGGCAGGCTGCCTCGGTAGTTCCCCAGGCCTAGACACCCCCCCTGTACCACCCCCTGTCCCAGCAGGTAGGTGCAGACCTAGATGCCAGGTGCAGAAGGGGGAAAGGGCCCTCTCCAGGGTTACAGCAGGGATCACCGAGGCTGCAGGGGCTGCCAAGGCCTGGAAGAAGTCCCATGTTCCAGGGAGCCCCATGGCTTCTGATGTCAGGAAAACTTAGTCCTCTCAGTTCCCCAGAATCATTTCACCCCACCCCACCCAAACTGAGTGGCAAACCAGTTGAGTAGAGAATACAAGCCCTGACTCCAGCTGCCTGGTCAGTGGCATAGCCAGCCAAGTCCTAGCAACCCTAGGAGTCAGGGAGTCAGGGAGGAGGCAAGGACAAGACTACAGTATTGTTTGGCTGAGTTCTGGGTCTGGCCCCACTCCCCAAAACTGACCCCAATCTCTGTGTCTGCTGCCCTAAAAAGAGACCCTGGGGCTGGGTGTGGTGGCTCACGCCTGTAATCCTAGCACTTTGGGAGGCCAAGGTGGGCGGATCACTTGAGATCAGGAGTTCAAGACCAGCCTGGCCAACATGGTGAAACCCCGTCTCTACTAAAATACAAAAATTAGCTGGGCATGATGACGGGTGCCTGTAATCCCAGCTACTCAGGAGGCTGAAACAGGAGAATCACTTGAACCCAGGAGACGGTGGTTGCAGTGAGCCAAGATTGTGCCACTGCACTCTAGCCTAGGTGGCTGAGCGAGACTCCATCTCAAAAAAATAAATAAAAGGAGACCCTGACTGGATGTAGTGGCTCATGCCTTAATCCCAGCACTTTTGGAGGCCAAGGCAGGAGGATCACTTGAGGCCAAAAGTTTGAGACCAGCCTGGGCAACATAGCAAGACCCCGTCTCTTAAAAACAAAAGATCCTAGCGGTCCTCATCTCTACCATGGACTACCAGAGGGAAGGCAGCACCTCTCATCACCCAGGGGGATGGCCTCCAGTCAGCTGGGGTATGTATGCAGCTGTGTGGCAGCAAATATGTCCATGCCTGCAAGCCACTCAGCCCTCAGTCACACGGTGATGGGCACTAATATCCAAGAGGAGCAGAAGTCAAGGCCATGGGTCCTTTTCTCCCCTTGCCAGAGATGCAGCCCCACAGTCCCTGGTGATCTTGGCTGGGAGAAAAATCAGAGTTTGACATCTCATCCCACTGCCTTCTGCTTTCTGACCTTACTGAGGTCAGGGTCATCAAGGCCTGGGGGACTGGGACAGGGTTAAGGGGTGTCCTTTCTCCATCCGTCTTCCAACCCCGTGGAGACTCAGCATGCCTAGGAAGGTGGAAGGGCTTCCTGCGGGCACACCATCTCCCGCCTCCCTGTGCCTGTCCTCTGCTGGGTCCTGGGTTCTCCAGTGATTATAGCCCTTGCTGCTTCCCCCACAGTGGGGAACACAGAGCCCTGCCCAGAGGCTTGAACCTGGCACCACAGGGGTCTGGAATTACACAGAAGACGGGTGACAGCCAAGGTGGATCATGAACGGTGAGAAGTCCAGCAGGTGACAAGGGGAAGGGTCTAAAGGGTGGAGGGCACAGCGCAAGCAAAGTCTTGGCAACAAAAGAGCTAATGCATCCCAGAAATGGGGCAGGTGGAGTACTGGAAGCTACACCAAGCTTCAGAGTGGTCCTGTGGCCTCGGTGTGGTAGCTCAGGCCTATAATTCCAACACTTTGGGAGGCTGAGGCAGGAGGAGGATAACTTGAACCCAGGAGTTCAAGATCAGCCTGGGCAACATAGTGAGACCTCCATTTTTACAAAAAATACAAAAATTAACTGTGTGTTGTGGTGTGTGCCTGGAGTCCCAGCTCCTCGGGAGGCTGAGGTGGGGGGATCACTTGAGTTCTGGAGGTCAAGGCTGCTGTGGGCCATGATCTTGCCACTGCACTCCAGCCTGGGTGGCAAAGCAAGATCCTGTCTCAAAAAAAAAAAAAAAAAAAAAAAAAAAGATGAAAAAGAGAGTGGCCCTGTGAATGCCAAGCTAAAAGCCTGCAATCCCGCCAAACTTCAGCAAGCTCTCTGAGTCAGGGGTCAGGGACACGGTCCTGCAGAGGGGAGGCATGGGGAGAGAAATGACAGAATGACCCCAGGGATACAGCCTGGGGGAGGGTAAAGGGGTCAGTGCTTGTCCTAAGTAAGACAAAAGGTAGGGGCTCTCAGGAGGGCAGGCTTGGCAGTGCCAGGGGTGGGTTGGGGACTTGGGAAGGGAGAAGACTGAGGAGTCCCCACCCAGGGGAGGGAGGGAGGTTAAAGTAGAACCCTGGGCACAGAGGGTTGAGGACCCTGGGGTCAAGAGAACCCTGGGGTCAGAGGGTTGAGGAAGTAATTGTACTGAGGTGGCCGGGAGCGGTGACTCATGCCTCTAATCCCAGCACTTTGGGAGGCCAAGGCAGGAGGACTGCTTGAGCCCAGGAGTTCAAGACCAGCCTGGGCAACATGACAAAACCTCATCTCTACCAAAAAAAAATAATAATACAAAAAAATTAGCTAGGCATGGTGGCACATGCCTGTAGTCCCAGCTACTCAGGAGGTTGAGGTGGGAGGATCACTTGAGCTCGGCAGGTTGAGGCTGCCATGAGCCATGATCCCACCACTGCACTCCACCCTGGGTGACAAAGCAAGATCCTGTCTCAAAAAAAAGAAGAAAAAAAAAAGTACTGGGGTGAGGGGCACAGCAAAAGGGGACAAGAGAGGAGCTGAGCCCGAGAAGGGGCCTTGTTCAGCTGGGATGGAAGAGGCAGCAGTGGAGGGTTTCTCTGAGGCCCTCATAGGCCTGGGTGCCCAAGATGCCCAGAGCTAAGGTGGCAGCAAGAGTGCATACCTGTGGTACCCCCACTGTGTGCCAGACCTGCCTGGCCACTGTCTGCAGCTGCAGGGAAAATGAGAGGTGCAGACTCCAGCTAGGGCCACGGGGTCGGCTAAGCGGCAGGGTAGGGATTCAGCCCCACCTCCTGCTGGACTAACAAGGGGGTTGATCCTTGGGGCTGGCTCCAGACTCCTCAGCCCTCCCCCAGAGCATTCAGAGCCCCATACCCAGTACTCCTGGGAGGCTCTCCCCTAGCCAGTTAGGAGAATGTAGTATTTATGTAAATGTCTGTTCATGAGTGCAGTGTGCCCTCAGAGTCCACTTTCCAGCATTCCTGGCATAGCCCCCTCCACCCTGCCGGGCTCCAGAGGAGGGAGGGAGAGGGAGGCCCCGCCCCCAGCCCCCTCTCCTCCCACTCCTCCCTGCTGGGCAATGAGGAAAACAGGAGTGAGGGAAGAGCTGTGATGTGGCTGGTTGGGGGGGCTCCCGCATCCCAGAAGGGCTGACCTCAGCCTGGGAGGAATGTGCAGGAGGGGAGGGCAGGGGTGGGGCAGGCGGGGGTAGGGCCACAGCCAAAGGCCCAGGGTTCTTGGTAGCCCCTCCCTCAGCACCTCCATCTCAGTTCTGACAGGGCCCTCAGAAGGGAAGGGGAACAGGCAAGGAGGGGAGGAGCTAATCTTTCAAAAAAGGTGGGCCAGGGTTCCCTGGGAATGTGGAGACCAGGCTGGGGTGAGGACATGCCTGCAGACGCTTCCCCAGGAGATGCCCCTGGGGCAGGGCCTTAGAGTGTCTGGGAAGTTAGGCCTCAGGTGATGATCCTATGGCCGCCCACGCCTGCCCCCACTGTGCCTAAGTCCTCTGGGCAGCATGACCTGGTACCTACGTGGCCAGAACAAGGAAGAGTTGTGACGTTGGAGCCACAAGCCCTGATGACTAAAGCAGGTGTGAGTGGGGCGCCCAAGATCCCATCCAGTCCAGGCTGCACTGGGAGGGTTGCCACAACCTTCCTCAGATGGGTGTCCCACCCCAACCACACCACCCGGAGTCCAGGCAGGGGCAAAGGGGCAGGCCCAGCTGGTGGCCAGGGGTGGGGAGGCAGGTGCTGAGATTTGGCACAACAATCCAGGTTTTTCCAGAAGGAAAAGCCAAGGCCGTGGTAGGCCATGCCACTGACAGGCAGCCCCAGAGCAAGGACCCAGGCAGGTCTCTGCCCATGGAAGCTCCCTCAAAAGAGAGAGGTCCAGGGTAGGAGTACAGGCAGGAAAAGGGACCCCAGCTGCCTTGCCTGGTTTGCCCCATTCTGTTGAGACTCAGGCTCAGGCTGCCTGATTCCAGAATCCTCGAGGAGTTCCAGCCCCCAGTGTGACCCACAGGCAGTGACCTTGCTCCTGGAGTGCTGACCTCCATGGGGGCCCCTACCCATGGCCTGGCACACTGGACCTGGGGCTGAGGAACAGAAAGGGGACCATGTGGAATCAGGGACAACTTGACCTCCCATCCCTGGAGACCTCCATTCCTACTCAAGGGAGGGTACACATCTAGAGGACAGAGGACAGGGCACAGCACTCAATGGGGACAGAGACAGTCTAGTCCTTTTGGCTGGGGGTTGACTCCCAGGCTATTGGAAAGATAATGGCGGTGGCGGGGGGGTTTCTGATACCGTTTCCCAGAGTGAACACAGGTGGAGGAAGGTGCGGGGTGATGAAACAGAGACAGGGCCCCTGGGCCTGGAAAAACATAAGGCAGTGAGGGCCTATGGGGGCACAGTGGGAGTGGATGGGAGCCTCTGAGGCACTTGCTGATCCTGGCTGCTTGGGTGGAAAGCTGTAAACAGCCAAAGAATGTTGTCTGCTTGCATGGAGCCAGGAGAGCCTGCCCAGGTCCTCTAAGGCTAGAGGCAGCTACTCCTGGAGTAGGAAAAGGCCACATCCAGGAAGCCCACGAGCCCAGGCAGGGATCTGTCCTTCCACTTGCCCTCCTGAAGGGCCCTGCGGCTCCCACTGGCCCCTGTTATTTACCTGCCAGCTGGCCAGGCCAGGCCAGGTATACCAGGTCCTCAGGCTCAGGAAGGAGGGGCATAGCCCCACTTCCACTTCCAGGGGACTTGGAGATGTGCCCCCCACCTCTGTCCTTGCTTGGCTGGAGGCATCCAGGGCTGGGCAACAGAACTGCAACACTTGAAATGCCCACACTGCCCCATCAGCCTTGGGAGGTGGTAGGAAAATGCCTTTTGCGGGGATGGAAGGATCAAAGCCCATTCTCAAGCCCTGGTATATTCACTCAGGTGGACTTCAGGGCTCCACTCTGCCACTGTCAACATACAGTCCCTCCAGAGAAGTACCCCTCATGTTACAAATGGGGCACGTTCACCAGACTCAGCTTCAGGACAAGACCCCAGGTCATTCCCAACTGAGGCTCCGAGGTGCAGGAGCTCCGTCCTGTCTGTAAAACTCCCTCAGTTTTCGGCTCTGGGTTTGGTGGGGGTTGTTCCTCCCACCTCCAACCTAGAAAGAGAAGCCAGAGGAAGGGAGGTCACATGGTCTGCCCCCCAACCTCTCAGCAGAGATGCAAAGCTACCTGTCCAGGATGGCGGACTCCAGATGGGCCCCGCCCTGTGGTGCAGAAGTGAGATTTGCTGCTCCTCCTGCGTCTGCCCCTCTCCTGCCCTCCTCTCCCTCCCCTATCTGGCTGTCATGGTAGAAGCCACTGCTGGCCAGGCCACTGAAGTACTAAGTGGCCCAAGTGTTGAGGAAGGATGGGGACTGGGTCCTGAGGGCCCATCCGACCTCCAGTTGAGAGCCCCTCCCCTGACCTCCAGCTGCCCGGCCACCCCAGCCGGTCCCTGGGAACTGAGGTGGCAGCTGAGCTCCCCATTATCTTTCCCCACAGCTCCCCACCTGTGGAGGGAGAGGTTGAGATATTGGAGTCCACGGGTGGTGCCCCCACTCAGTGATTCCCTTTGCCTGCTGAGCCCCTGGAGCTGGGGTTTCTTCCTCCCTTGCCTTGGCTGGCCACCTGGCTTCTGGGACCGCCACCTGGGGCACCCTTCTGCTTTAAGGCCCAATATGGGAGGGGTCGTCCCTACCAGCCCCTCCCTTGTGCCCATTCCACTCCCGCCTGGCTGCCGTCTCCAGCTGGTCCCGGCTGCCTGCCCGGTCACCCGATCCGCCCTCTAAACTTTACGGCACGGCGGGCGGTGCGTGGGGCGGTGGCTGGCCTGGTGGGGGCGGGGGCTGCTTCTTAAAGGAGCCGTCAGAGGGTCCCCAGCGGCCCCAGGGTGGGAAGGGGCCAGAGTGGAGAGATGCTGCTGCGGAAGTCCTCGGTGGAGTGTGAGAAGGCAGCCAGTGTTGGCCTGGAAGACCTCTAGAACCTGAGAAGAGGCAGCGGCAAGTGTCAGCGGAGGGAAGGAGGGAGGTGGGGGTCCTGGCCTGGGATGGGGCCAGGAGCTGGGCAGGAGTGTGGGTGGAGGGGCCTGGAACCTGCCTCAGCAGCTGCTCCACTTGCTTAATCCCACCTGGAACCTTGTCCCACTCCCTGGGCTCCTGTGTCCAGCACCTGCCCAGCTGACCCCTGGGAAGGAGGGTGGGCATAGCAGCCAGGTCTTTGCCCCAGCTGAGGGCCAGGGGGAGGTGTCTGGCTCCTAGAGTGAAGGGGCTCAAAGATGGGGAAGAACTCAAGGGGTGAGAGAAGTGAAGGGAGAGGCTCAGAGAGGCTGTGGAGGCGTTGAGAGGGAAGGCCAGCTCAGCGAGGCCAGGAGGCTGGGGTGCAAATGAAGGGCTGCCTCACCTTGCCCCTCTTTGATTCCTCAGGGGTGTGGAGAGAGAGCCCTCAAGCTCAAATGCAGAGGCTGCTTCAGCTGGGTTGGGAGCAGTCCCCAAGTCAGAGGCTGAGGCTTCTGCCCAGGTCTTGGGTCTCCTGGGTAGCACTTCTCCCTCTGAGGAATGGAGTGATTGATGCTGCAGTTGGATTTGCTCACTTGCATGCCCAGAGACATGTCTATTCTTATGGGTGCACACGTTTGCACATGCACAAATGTGCAACACATCTGTGTGCAAAATATGCACATATCACACATATGTACTGCATGGATTGCACAGTGCCACATGTGTGTGCACACCAACCCATATCCACACATGTGCAATATGACACACTATATATTTGCACATAGATGTGCACACACATGCACATACACACTACACACATGCGCACATCACAAGGGGACACTCGGAAACACATTCACAGGCACCCACACCCTTGGCTCCAGCCTCAAAAGTGTCTCTGTGTTTTTCTGCGGGACTGTGGGGACACTGCCACCTCCAGAGGCCTGACCCCCTCCTGTCACTCTCACTCTTTTGACTGGCTTGTTTTGCTCATTGCACTTGGCACCCTCTGCATCCATCTGATTCCTTGTTGGCACTCTGTCCCCTTTCACATGGGGACCTTGTCTATGTCTCCCAGTATCCCTCCTCCCAGGTCTAGGCTGGCATGAAGTGGGTGGCACATTGTGAATTAATGTCTGTGAGTGTGTATACAAGAGAGGAGATTACTGGGAAGGGTGACGTGGTGAGGCGGGCTTGCCAGTGCAGGGTGACCCTGAGGGTGTGCCCAGTGGCGTGGGTGTGTCTGTGATTGTGGCCAGGCGGGGCACCCTCGGAGGGGAGGGTTCGGAAGTGGAATGCGACCCCCCAGCCTCTTTCCCCTAGGGGCTGTAATCTGATCCCTGGGGACTCCCCCCCTAGCCTCCCGCCCTCGCCCTCACTGCTGACTCCTCTTCCAGATCCTGGGGCAGAGTCCAGGGCAGCTCAAGGCTCCTCCACACACACACCCGCTGAACCCTGAGCACCCTGAGCTGCTGAGATGGGGCGGGCCGGGGCTGCCGCCGTGATCCCGGGCCTGGCCCTGCTCTGGGCAGTGGGGCTGGGGAGTGCCGCCCCCAGCCCCCCACGCCTTCGGCTCTCCTTCCAAGGTAGGTGCACCTGGCAGGCGGGAGGGCCCAGCTTGAGGTGGGCAGGAAAGGGTCCCCGTATGGCCAGGGGGCTCTGTGTTGGCTGTTGCCCCATGTGCGTGCCTGTCACCAGACTCTGGTAGGATTAGTGGGCACTCTCAGGCCACCTCCAGTTAACCCTGTCCGGGCCTCAGCCCCCAGCCTCTGCCCACATTCTCTTCGTGCTTTCTCAGGAAGACCCCTCCTGTCCCCACAGCAACAGACCTTGTCTCTGTTCCGTTCAGTACCCCCAACAAGGCGATACTCCTTCAGCAGAGCAACAGGGAAGTCAGAGCCCCCTTCTCATGCCTCCTGTATAGGAGGGTGGCCCCTGGGCAGTGGCAGTGAATAGGCAGTTCTGCTGAGCTCAGGCTGGTGGTGGAGTGGCAGGAAAGGAACTCTCAGCCTGACTTTTGGGAGTTGGGGTTCTGGCCATCCCTGCATGCCAGTCTCCCCCAGGACTCTGGTGTCCATAAGCCTTGCCTCCCAGTGCGCCCGCCTGGAGACACCACCTGTCTGAGCATGCCCAAGTTCAACCTGCCTTCCTCTTCCTGGGGGGATGTACCACCTACCCTGGCAGCTCCACACGTGCACCTGGGTGGGCTTGGGTTTGCGTGTGTAAACTCACACACATGTAAACTCACATGTGTACAGGCCAGGTCCTAATGGCAACCTTGGCCGATAGAGTCACCACCAGGCAGGACCTGGGGGAGGCTTCCAGCATGGCTGGCGAGTCATCAGCAGTGTCCTGCCCTGCAGAGCTCCAGGCCTGGCATGGTCTCCAGACTTTCAGCCTGGAGCGAACCTGCTGCTACCAGGCCTTGCTGGTGGATGAGGAGCGTGGACGCCTGTTTGTGGGTGCCGAGAACCATGTGGCCTCCCTCAACCTGGACAACATCAGCAAGCGGGCCAAGAAGGTGCCAGGGACTCCCAACCCCAGCACTCCCCAGGGAAGGAGCCCTGGGACCCCACTCCAGCCTGGAGAGACCCAGAGGAATGGCTCCCTGAGGTAGAGAATATCCCAAGTTCCTGACCTGTGTCCCCTCTCCCCCAACCTCCCGATAGCTGGCCTGGCCGGCCCCTGTGGAATGGCGAGAGGAGTGCAACTGGGCAGGGAAGGACATTGGTGTGAGTGCCAGCTGCCCGGGCCGGGAGTGGGGAGGGTCAGCCCCTCACCCCAGAGACAGGGCAGGGCTAAAACAGAGGCCTGCCTGTTCTGGCTGGGATGAGGGCAGGGAGGTCGAGGTGGCTGAGGTCTGGGGGTGGTGAGTCAGGGTGGGGGCTCGTGTAATTCTTCTGGGGTGCCTCTGAGTCATGGGAGGCTTTGCAGGCCTGTGCTTCCCCAGACACCCACCCTCGTGAGGCCTGGGCTGGTCAGCAAGGGCCCCCAGGTCCCTGTAGCCCATGTTAGTACTTGCCTGGGCTGATGCCGAAGAGAGGGAGGGGTGAGGATGCCACTGGTGAGCTGGGACCTCTTAAGGCTACGTCCCTGGGGGAAGCCTCACACCTCCAACCCTACTAGACTGAGTGCATGAACTTCGTGAAGTTGCTGCATGCCTACAACCGCACCCATTTGCTGGCCTGTGGCACGGGAGCCTTCCACCCAACCTGTGCCTTTGTGGAAGTGGGCCACCGGGCAGAGGTAAGGCCGGATCTAGGCAGGGAGGGAGGTCAGGAGGGTAAGAAGGGCCTGGTAGTCACAACTTGCCACACCTCCCAGGAGCCCGTCCTCCGGCTGGACCCAGGAAGGATAGAGGATGGCAAGGGGAAGAGTCCTTATGACCCCAGGCATCGGGCTGCCTCCGTGCTGGTGGGTGAGTCCAAGGGCTAAGGCCCCAAGAGAACCCCTTAGAAACTCTAGAACCTCACAAAGTCCCAAGACCCCCAAGAGCTCCAGGGAATCCCCCATAACCTCACTCACTCCCAGAGCTCCCCAGGCCCTCCTGCCCCAAGAGCCCTCCATTTGCCTGAGTGGCCCTTGCTCTGTCTGCAGGGGAGGAGCTATACTCAGGGGTGGCAGCAGACCTCATGGGACGAGACTTTACCATCTTTCGCAGCCTAGGGCAACGTCCAAGTCTCCGAACAGAGCCACACGACTCCCGCTGGCTCAATGGTGAGAGGCTGGTGGGGTTGGTGGGTAGAGGTCGTCACCCTCCCACAGGGCAGGTGCCAAGCAAGGCCCATAAAGTAAGTGAGCAGTGGGTGTGGCCAGGTCTTACCAAATACCCTCCTTAATCAGGCACTGGCGTCACAGAGACAGACAAGACAGGTATGACCGTGACCTCTTTGAGTTCACAGATCACATACATGATAAGATCAAGTCCAATGGCCTTGAGGCCAGAGAGAGACAAGGGAGGAAGGGAAAAGGAGACTGGGTGGCTGGAGGGGGTTGGGTAAAGGAAGCCGCTGTGCTGAGGGGAGTATGAGCTAATTCCCAAGCACAAGACAGCTAGCCAGCAAAATTTAGGGATGAGCATTCCAGGCAGAGGGAGCATTCCAGGCAGAGGGAGCAACTAGTGCAAAGGCCTGGATGCAAGAACAAGCAAAGGAATAGACTTGCAGAGCTAGCAATGAAAAGGGGGCCTGGACTGTCAGGGGCCAGAGTCATTTATTCTAAGAGTCATGGGGGCTGGGCACAATGGCTTGCACCTGTAATCCCAGCACTTTGGGAGGCTGAGGCAGACAGATTGCTTGAAGACAGGAGTTTCATACCAGCCTGGGCTACAAAGCAAGACAAAAAATAAAATAAAATTAGCTGGGGGCAGTGGCATGCACACACCTGTAGTCCTGGCTAGTCAGGAGGCTGAGATGGAAGGATCACTTGAGCCCAGGAGTTGGAGGCTGCAGTGAGCCATGATGCTGCCACTGCAGGACAGAGCAGACCCTGTCTCTAAATCAAATAAAAATTAAATAAGGGCTATGGGCTGGTGGGCACAGTGGCTCACACCTGTAATCTCAGCACTTTGGGAGGCGGAGGCAGGCAAATCGCTTGAGGCCAGGAGTTTGAGACTAGCCTGGCCAACATGGTGAAACCCTGTCTCTACTAAAAAATACAAAAATTGGCCGGGTGCAGTGGTGTGCACCTGTAATCCCAGCACTTTGGGAGGCTGAGGCGGGCGGATCACCTGAGTTCAGGCATTTGAGACCAGCCTGGCCAACATGGTGTAACCCCGTCTCTACTAAATATACAAAAATTAGTCCGGCATGATGGTGTGCATCTGTAATCCCAGCTACTCAGGAGGCTGAGGCAGGAGAATCGCTTGAACCTAGGAGGCGGAGGTTGCAGTGAATGGAGACTGTGCCACTGCATTCCAGCCTGGGCAATAGAGCGAGACTTCGTCTCAAAAAAAAAAAAAAAAGCCAGGTGTGGTGGTAGGCTCTGACTGTAATCTCAGCTACTTGGGAGGCTGAGGTTGCAGTGAGCCGAGATCGAGCACTCCAGCCTGGGCGACAGAGCGAGACTGTCTCAAAAAATAAATAAATAAACAAATAATAATAATAATAATAATAATAAAGAGCAATGGGACCCAGCAGAAGGATTTGAAGCAGGAGTGGGGAGCATCTGGTTATGCTAGAGAGGAAGATTCATGAGTGAAGGTGAAACCAGATTACCTCATCTCCCTCCTACCCCAGCCTAAGGTGCTGGGCGACGTGTGGGGCGAGATCGGAGGCTAGCCGGGCTTCACGCCTGCGCCCCCAGGTAGCCACGGTCTCTGCTGCCCCCTCGCGGCTGCTTCTTGCCTCGCAGGCCCTGATCCTTTGGATTCGGTCCGCGCAGAGCGCCAACTGGACATGGTGCTAGAGGTTGGGTGGTCAGACACTGTGATCCCGGGTGCTGTGCCCGCACTACGGGAAGGGGAAGCAGCGCGTGGGTCTCGCATCAGGAGGCAAGGCCAGGACCCGCTGACCCATGCCTCCTGCCGCGGTCAGAGCCCAAGTTTGTCAAGGTATTTTGGATCCCGGAGAGCGAGAACCCAGACGACGACAAAATCTACTTCTTCTTTCGTGAGACGGCGGTAGAGGCGGCGCCGGCACTGGGACGCCTGTCCGTGTCCCGCGTTGGCCAGATCTGCCGGGTGAGGAGTCCCTGGGCCACACCCGGCGACCCTGCCCCTACCCCTTTGCCTGCCCTGGTCTCGCCCTCATCCCCTTTGATCGTCCCGGCAGAACGACGTGGGCGGCCAGCGCAGCCTGGTCAACAAGTGGACGACGTTCCTGAAGGCGCGGCTGGTGTGCTCGGTGCCCGGCGTCGAGGGCGACACCCACTTCGATCAGCTCCGTGAGTGCGGGAGTGGGTATGGGGTTGGGGAGGGGGGCAGCGGCGCAGACTCCGGGAGCCCCCGCCGCAGCGGGGCTGTGCGCCCTACCCCAGCTAGGCCCCTTCCCCGCAGAGGATGTGTTTCTGTTGTCCTCGCGGGACCACCGGACCCCGCTGCTCTATGCCGTCTTCTCCACGTCCAGGTGAGGGGCAGGAGGTAGGGAGCGCCCGGGGCGGGCCGCTGGGCTCCACCCGGCCCCTCACCTCGCCCTGGTCTTCGCCTCCAGCAGCATCTTCCAGGGCTCTGCGGTGTGCGTGTACAGCATGAACGACGTGCGCCGGGCCTTCTTGGGACCCTTTGCACACAAGGAGGGGCCCATGCACCAGTGGGTGTCATACCAGGGTCGCGTCCCCTACCCGCGGCCAGGCATGGTTCGTAGCCCAGGGACTTCTGCTACAACCCACTTCAAAGCCTCAAGGGTTTGAGAACTTGGCCTGGGGTCTTCTTGGTGAATGTGGTTTCTTCCTTTAGTTATGGGTGGGAAAACGTTTCCATCATAAGACAAGGCTTGTTTCCCGCCTCTGACTTCCTAGGGCAAGGCTGATCTCCTCTCTAATTCTCAGGGCAGGGTTCTGTCCCCATCCCCCTCCATGTTCCCAGAGGCTGGGCATGGAGGGCTGCCTATCAAGCCCCCATATCTATATCCCTGCTGTGCCTCCCTTTCCCCCACCCCCAGTGCCCCAGCAAGACCTTTGGCACCTTCAGTTCCACCAAGGACTTCCCAGACGATGTCATCCAGTTTGCGCGGAACCACCCCCTCATGTACAACTCTGTCCTGCCCACTGGGGGGCGCCCTCTTTTCCTACAAGTTGGAGCCAATTACACCTTCACTCAAATTGCCGCGGACCGGGTTGCAGCCGCTGACGGACACTATGACGTCCTCTTCATTGGCACAGGTCAGGGTCCCTCCACAGCGACCCCCAGGCTCCCAGCCAGGCCCTGTGGGCTGCTGATGGAAGCTCTCCCTGTTCAGTCCCATCTCCACATCCTTTCCTGGGCTGTGTCTCCACCCTGTGGATGCTGCCCAACCCACACTCTTCCAGTCCACACTCTTCACAACCCAAACATGCTGAGGGTAGACGCCTCAAAGGCGAGGAGACACTAGCCCCAGCTGTCCGGGAGCACCAATGGTCATTACCCCTTCTCATCCCTGCAGACGTTGGCACGGTGCTGAAGGTGATCTCGGTCCCCAAGGGCAGTAGGCCCAGCGCAGAGGGGCTGCTCCTGGAGGAGCTGCACGTGTTTGAGGTGAGGCCTCACCCCCAGTCGCCCGGGACCCCCCCACCCCACTAAGCCCTGACCCCGTCGCCCCTCCTCCCTCTCAGGACTCGGCCGCTGTCACCAGCATGCAAATTTCTTCCAAGAGGGTGAGTGACCAGGATGGGGGTCGGGGTGGGATGGACTGAGCTTGTGCCTGGCGCGTCCCAAGCCTCTGGCCCCTTTTGGTAGTTTGCAGTCCCGGGTTTGAGTACAGGCTCTGGCTTTGTTAGACTGTGTGACCTGAGGCGTAAGACCTCAGTGTTCCCATCTGTCGAGTGGAAGAAGGGATCCCTGACCGATGGGAGGCAGGCGTGGGGTCGCCCTCGGTCAGCCCAGAGCCCCTCGTGCCCCCTAGCACCAGCTGTACGTAGCCTCGCGGAGCGCGGTGGCCCAGATCGCGTTGCACCGCTGCGCTGCCCACGGCCGCGTCTGCACCGAATGCTGTCTGGCGCGTGACCCCTACTGCGCCTGGGACGGGGTCGCGTGCACGCGCTTCCAGCCCAGTGCCAAGAGGTGGGCGGGGTCGGGGTTGGGCCGCCGGGAGGGAGGCGAAGGGTCTTTCACTGCCCGGGGCTGAAAGAAGGGCTCACAGAAGATCGGATGTTCCCCACAGGCGGTTCCGGCGGCAAGACGTAAGGAATGGCGACCCCAGCACGTTGTGCTCCGGAGGTGAGTGCCCCAGCTGCCCCTACCCTCAGCCCCAGAAGACGCCCCACCTGCCCTGCCTTGCCTAAATCTGACTTTCTTCTCGCCCCAAGACTCGTCTCGTCCCGCGCTGCTGGAACACAAGGTGTTCGGCGTGGAGGGCAGCAGCGCCTTTCTGGAGTGTGAGCCCCGCTCGCTGCAGGCGCGCGTGGAGTGGACTTTCCAGCGCGCAGGGGTGACAGCCCACACCCAGGTGAGCCTTACTCCGCCCTCCCCGCCAGGCTCCTGTCCCACCCCCTGCATCCAGGAGAGGCCCCGCCCTACCCAACGAAGCCCCGTCCAACCAGACCCACTCCCCGCCCTGTCCAGTTTGGTCCCTCACCTGCACTCCACAAGCTGCTGAGGCCCCATTGCGTCCAACGGGGCTCCCGACCCGCCTCCCCTGAATCAAGGAGAAGACCCGCCCTCGACCCTCCCATTAAGGTCCCTGACCACCCCCCACCAAGTTCATGTAAACCCCGCCTCTTTCGGATTCTCCCTTGAAGACCACCAGCTCCCAAACACTCAGCCTTAAAATGTGCGCCTGCGGGCACCCCTTTCCCGCTCCACCTCGGCTCCCAATGACTCTTTGCTTCTTCCGTCGCGTGCTAGGGCCCGGAAGCCCTGTTCCCGGCCCGACACCCCCGCCTCACGCTGCCCTCTGCCCGCAGGTGCTGGCAGAGGAGCGCACCGAGCGCACCGCCCGGGGACTACTGCTGCGCAGGCTGCGGCGCCGGGACTCGGGCGTGTACTTGTGCGCCGCCGTCGAGCAGGGCTTTACGCAACCGCTGCGTCGCCTGTCGCTGCACGTGTTGAGTGCTACGCAGGCCGAACGACTGGCGCGGGCCGAGGAGGCTGCGCCCGCCGCGCCGCCGGGCCCCAAACTCTGGTACCGGGACTTTCTGCAGCTGGTGGAGCCGGGCGGAGGTGGCAGCGCGAACTCCCTGCGCATGTGCCGCCCGCAGCCTGCGCTGCAGTCACTGCCCCTGGAGTCGCGGAGAAAGGGCCGTAACCGGAGGACCCACGCCCCTGAGCCTCGCGCTGAGCGGGGGCCGCGCAGCGCAACGCACTGGTGACCAGACTGTCCCCACGCCGGGAACCAAGCAGGAGACGACAGGCGAGAGAGGAGCCAGACAGACCCTGAAAAGAAGGACGGGTTGGGGCCGGGCACATTGGGGGTCACCGGCCGATGGAGACACCAACCGACAGGCCCTGGCTGAGGGCAGCTGCGCGGGCTTATTTATTAACAGGATAACCCTTGAATGTAGCAGCCCCGGGAGGGCGGCACAGGTCGGGCGCAGGATTCAGCCGGAGGGAAGGGACGGGGAAGCCGAGCTCCAGAGCAACGACCAGGGCCGAGGAGGTGCCTGGAGTGCCCACCCTGGGAGACAGACCCCACCTCCTTGGGTAGTGAGCAGTGAGCAGAAAGCTGTGAACAGGCTGGGCTGCTGGAGGTGGGGCGAGGCAGGCCGACTGTACTAAAGTAACGCAATAAACGCATTATCAGCCAAAGCTGGAATGGCCCCAGCAGAAAACCCCAGTCCTCGGCCTTGCTATGTGGTCTTGGGCACCTTACTAGCGGTGTCAGGGCCCGAGTTTCTCCTGTCCAAGGTTGCCTGGTGAGGATTAAAGGTGGTTCCGGCCAGGCGCGGTGGCTCACGCCTGTAATCCCAACACTTTCGGAGGCCCAGGCGGACGGATCACGAGGTCAGGAGATGGAAACCATCCCGGCTAACACGGTGAAACCCCGTCTGTACTAAAAATACAAAAAATTAGTCGGGCGTGGTGGCGGGCGCCTGTAATCCTAGCTACTCAGGAGGCTGAGGCAGGAGAATTGCTTGAACCTGGGAGGTGGAGGTTGCAATGAGCCTAGATCTCGCCGCTGCACTCCAGCCTGGGCGACAGAGCGAGACTCCAAAAAAAAAAAAAAAAAAAAAAAAAAAGGTGGTTCCGCGTGACTGAACAGGTTCTGTAGGGCCTTTGGGAATAGTGACACGCAGGGTACATTGTGCATAATATAACTTCAGGACTAAGTGCTAGGAAGAAAATAAAACTGGACCGGGCGCAGTGGCTCACGCCTGTAATCCCAGCATTTTGGGAGGCCGAAGCAGTCGGATCATGAAGTCAGGAGTTCAAGACCAGCCTGACCAACATGGTGAAACCCTGTCTCTACTAAAAATACAAAACTTAGGTGGGTGTGATGGCACGCGCCTTTAATCCCAGCTACTCAGGAGGCTGAGGTAAGATAATTGCTTGAACCAGGGAGGCAGAGGTTGCAGTGAGCCGAGATCGCCCCACTGCACTCCAGCCTGGGCAACAGAGCGAGACTCTGTCTCAAAGAAAAGAAAACTGGGTGATGTGGAAAAGAATGTACACAGAAGGCCTCACTGAAGGGGTGGCATTTGAGTTCGCTGACAAGACGGGGCTGGCCACAGGGCTATCTGGGAGCAGAGCATTCCAGGAGGGAACAGCCACCACCAAGCCCCTGAGGTGGTAACAAGCTTGTTGACTTTGAGGAACATCAGGGAGGCCAGTGTGAGACAACGGAGTGACAGGTTTGAGGTGTGTAGGAAGTAGAGCCCACAGTCTTGCTTTGCCCCCACTGGGAAGGAAGGGCACAGGGATCCAACCACAGAGGGAAAGCTGGAAGCTGGACCACCTCCTCCTTTCAAGGTAAGCAGTGATGCGCATCCTTACACAACCTTATGGGACCTGTCTGCCCTTGTGGAGATGGGAGCAGGGGAAGACCAAAACCGTGGATTGTGCTAAATGCTCCAGATGTTGTTCTCAGTGTACACTGCCAGGGAGGAGCCACTGTTATTCCGACTTTACACATGAGCAAACTGAGTTCAGAGAGGGGAGACCCTTTACCTAAGGTTGCAAGCTTAGTAACAAATGAACCAGCCTCCAACCTAGGTCCACCCACTGGCCAGCATGGGTGCTGTTGGTGTATCTGCCCACTTGTGAAGCTATCAGAGCCCTCATGGCATTGGGATTCAGTTGTCCATCACCCTCTATAAGACACACACAACAATAGCATTGTGTGCTAGCAGGTCATGCAGTGGAGGCTGCTGTGTTTGCTGGGAGGAGAGATGACTGGGCTGTGGGTAGGAGTCTGCAGGGGTAGAGGGGTGGCCAAATAGAGATGCACAGGCTTCCTTTGTCTGTCTTGGCTGCCACATGGGGCCTTGCTGAGCCTGGAGTGGCCATTCTGGATGTATGGGGGAGGTGTGCTTCCCCTTGAAGGTCCCTGGGCACCTGGACTAGTGGAGGCAGGCTCCTGGCTGGCTCCCTCACCAGGTAGATAGTTCAGGCTGGCCCACGTGGATCACTCTGCCCCTTCCCATGGCTGAGGGCTGCCCCCTCTAAATATAGCCCAGTGGGCTGAGCTCAGGCCTATTTTAGGCCAAGGCTGGGAGGCAGCCAGGCCTTCCCTGGGCTCACAAAGGAGCCACTGCTGCATTTGTCCAGTCCTGCTACTGGATGCCATCATTGGCCCCCGACTGCCCACTGCTTGCCATGCCTGAGGAGACCCAAGAAGGTAGGAGAGGGTGACCATGAGGGAGGGCAAGGCCTCAGTCCTGTGACCTTGTGGACCATGGAGAGACCCACCCTCTGTCCCACTGACCTCACTGTCTTGAGTAGTTAGTTACCCATTTTCATGCTCCAGCTCCAGTAAAAGGACCTGCCCCCTGTGCAGGGAGGAAAAGCCTGCCATGCCTGGAGCCCCTTGTCACCTCAGGCCCTGCTTCAGTTTCCCCTGCTGGGGACATCAAGGAGGGATGGGAGAAGCTACCCAGTTAGGAGTGGGTCAACTACAGGCTGTGCTCAGGTGGGTGTGGGCATCCGGTCAGCTGCCTGGCCGGTTCAGCTCTTAAGGAAGGAAGCTGGGATTGGGGTGGGTAGTGGTTCCAGAAAGCATTTGGGTACCTGTCCCATGGACTGAAAAGTAGTTAGGCCTCTGGCCTCCCCTGACTTGGGTCTAAATATCCCCAACTGCCTAGGGTTGGGGGTCCCTTGGCCTGGTCAGACAGAGACTCAGCTAGTCAAGAGCTTGGTGGCCACTCACCTAACTGCACCACTGCATATAAGAAGTACTGATGCTCAGAGGGGCCAGGGCAGCAGGAATCTAGGAAGCTACAGGTCCAGTACTGGCCAGGACGTAGGACTGTCTGCTCCATGGCTCCATGTTATGGCCCATGACAGAGCATGGCCCAGCTAGCAAGCTCCTCTTATCACATTTTCAACTTTTTTTTTTTTTTTGAGATGGAATCTCGCTCTGTCACCCAGGCCGGAGTACAGTGGCGTGATCTCGGCTCACTGCAACCTCCGCCTCCCAGATTCAAGCAATTCTCTGCCTCAGCCTCCCAAGTAGCTGGGATTACAGGCGCCTGCCACCATGCCTAGCTAATTTTTGTATTTTTAGTAGAGACGGGGGTTCACCATCTTGGCCAGGCTGGTCTTGAACTCCTGACCTCGTAAGCCACCCACCTCAGCCTCCCAAAGTGTTGGGATTACAGGGGTGAGCCACCGCGCCTGGCCTCAACTTTTTTTTTTTTTGTCACCCAGGCTGGAGTGCAGTGGTGCGGTCTCGGCTCACTGCAACCTCTGCCTCCCAGATTCAAGCTATTCTCCTGTCTCAGGCTCCCAAGTAGCTGGGATTACAGGCATGTGCTACCATGCCCGGCTAATTTTTGTATTTTTAGTAGAGACAAGGTTTCACCGTGTTGGCCAGGCTGGTCTCAAACTCCTGACCTCAGGTGATCCACCCACCTTGGCCTCCCAAATTGTTGGGATTACAGGCGTGAGCCACTGCCAACATTTTCAACATTGCAGGAGAGGGGCCTTGCCCCTGGTAGGGGGAAATGTTTACTTTCATGCATGTGTGTGTGTAGAGAAGGGTCTCCCTGGTCTTGAACTCCTGGCCTCAACCAATCCAATCCTCCCACCTTGGCCTTTCTTTTCTTTTTTTTTTTTTTTTGAGATGGAGTCTCGCTCTGTCGCCCAGGCTGGAGTGCAGTGGCGCGATCTCAGCTCACTGCAAGCTCCGCCTTCCGGGTTCACGCCATTCTCCTGCCTCAGCCTCCTGAGTAGCTGGGACTACAGGAGCCCGCCACTACGCCTGGCTAATTTTTTGTATTTTTAGTAGAGATGGGGTTTCACTGTGTTAGCCGGCATGGTCTCGATCTTCTGACCTCGTGATCCACCCACTTCGGCCTCCCAAAGTGCTGGGATTACAGGTGTGAGCTACCGCGCCCGGCCAGCCACCTTGGCCTTTCAAAGTGCTGGGATTAGAGGCATAAGCCACTGTGCCTACCCTCTTTTGGGATCTTAACAATAACATTTACTGTGTGTTTTTCCTGTAATAAACAATTCACATTCAATTTAGAAAGTGTGAGAAAAGCACAACAAAGTACAAAGAGGGAAATTTTTTTTTTTTTTTGAGACAGAGTCTTGCTCTGTCGCCCAGGCTGGAGTGCAGTGGCACGATCTTGGCTCATTGCAAGCTCTGCCTCCCGGGTTCATGCCATTCTCCTGCCTCAGCCTCCCGAGTAGCTGGGACTACAGGCGCCAGCCACCATGCCCAGCTAATTTTTGTTTTGAATTTTTTAGTAGAGACGGGGTTTCACTGTGTTAGCCAGGATGGTCTCGATCTCCTGACCTCGTGACCTGCCCACCTCGGCCTTCCAAAGTGCTGGGATTACAGGCATGGGCCACTGCGCCCGGCCCTTTTTTTTTTTTTTTTTTCTGAGACGGAGTCTTGCTCTGTCGCCCCGGGTGGAGTGCAGTGGCACGATCTCTGCTCACTGCAACCTCTGCCTCCCAGGTTCAAGTGATTCTCCTGTCTCAGCCTCCCAAGTAGCTGGGACTACAGGCGCCTGCCACCATACCTGGCTAATTTTTAAATATTTTTGGTAGAGACGGGGTTTCACCATATTGGCCAGGCTGGTCTCAAACTCCTGACCTTGTGATCCACTTGCCTTGGCCTCCCAAAGTGCTGGGATTATAGGTGTGAGCCACTGCGCCCGGCAGCAGGGAATTTTTTTTTTTTTTTTTTTTTTTTTGGAGATAGGGTCTCACTCTGTTGCCCAGGCTGGAGTACAATGGCATGATCACAGCTCACTGCAGCCTTGACTTCCTGGACTCAAGCAACCCTCCCACCTCAGCCTCCTGAGAAGCTGGGACCACAGAAGCATGCCACCACACCAAACTAATCTTTAATTACTTTTTTGTTTTTTGAGACGAGGTCTAGCTCTGTCGCCCAGGCTGGAGTGCAGTGGCTTGAGCTTGGATCACTGCAAGCTCCGCCTCCTGGGTTCAAGCTATTCTCCTGCCTTCAGCCTCCTGAGTAGCTGGGACTACAGGCGCCCATCACCATGCCCGGCTAATTTTTTGTATTTTTAGTACAGATGGGGTTTCACCATGTTGACCAGGCTGATCTTGAACTCCTGACCTCGTGATCCGCCCACCTCAGCCTCCCAAAGTGCTGGGATTACAGGTGTGAGCCACCATGCCCGGCCCTAATCTTTGATTTTTTTGTAGAGATGGGGTCTCCCTACGTTGCCCTGGCTGGTTTCAAACTCTTAGACTCAAATGATCCTCCTGCCTTGGCCTCCCAAAGTGCTGGGATTACAGGCATGAGCCACAGTGCCCGGCCCAAAGAGAGAATTTAATATGACCTTCAACCCACCACCCAGACATAATGACTGGCAGCACTTGCTTGTTTTTGTTGTACTTGCTTTTGAGCACGTCAAGAGGCAGTTTCAAGTAAATCATGGAGGTTGAGTTACTGTCCTGAGAATGACAGTCCCAGAGTGCAAGGCCACCCTTGCTCCTATCTGGAGGTGTCCCCTCAATGCTCTTCCCTACTGTTATCAGCTTCCAGGTGGGTATCTGGAGCTCTTGGCATCTGGACCAGGATTTTTAGACATCAAGTTAAAGAACAACTAGAAGAAAATATAATTAAATATTGGCCAGGTACGGTGGCTCATGCCTGTAAACCCAGCACTTTGGGAGGACAAGATGGGCAGATGACTTGAGGTCAGGAGTTCAAGACCAGCGTGGCCAAAATGGTGAAACCCCAGCTGTACTAAAAATGCAAAAATTAGCTGGGCATGGTGGCACGTGCCTGTAATCCCAGCTACTGGGGAGACGAGGCAGGAAAATCACTTGAACCCAGGAGGCAGAAGTTGCAGTGAGCTGAGATCATGCCACTGTACTCCAGTCTGGGTGACACAGTAAGACTCTGTCTCAAAAAAAACAGACAAACAAAAGGCCAGGCATGGTGGCTCATGCCTGTAATCCCAGCACTTTGGGAGGCTGAGGTGAGCAGATCACGAGGTCAAGAGATCGAGACCATCCTGGCCAACATGGTGAAACCCCGTCTCTACTAAAAATACAAAAATTAGCCAGGCGTGGTGGCACGTGCCTGTAGTTCCAGCCACTCGGGAGGCTAAGGCAGGAGAATCGGTTGAACCTGGGAGGCGGAGGTTGCAGTGAGCTGAGATTGCGCCACTGCACTCCAGCATGGCAAGAGAGGGAGATTCTGTCTCAAAAACAAACAAACAAACGAAACACCGGCTGGGTGCGATGGCTCACGCCTATAATCCCAGCACTTTGGGAGGCTGAGGCGGGTGGATTACCTGAGGTCAGGAGTTCAAGACCAGCCTGGCCAAGAAGGTGAAACCCCATCTTTATCAAAAAATACAAAAATTGGCCGGGCGCGGTGGTTCACACCTGTAATCCCAGAACTTTGGGAGGCTGAGGCAGACGGATCACAAGGTTAGGAGATCGAGACTATCCTGGCTAACATGGTGAAACCCCATCTCTACTAAAAATACAAAAAATTAGCCGGGCATGGCAGCGGACGCCTGTAGTCCCAGCTACTTGGGAGGCTGAGGCAGGAGAATGGCACGAACCTGGGAGGCGGAGCTTGCAGTGAGCCGAGATCGTGCCACTGCACTCCAGCCTGGGCGGCAGAGCGAGACTCCATCTCAAAAAAAAAAAAAAAAAAAAAAATTTGCAGGGTGTGGTGGTGCACACCTGTAGTGCTAGCTACTAAGGAGGGTGAGGTAGGAGAAACCCTTGAACCCGGGAGGCGGAGGTTGCAGTGAGCCCAGATCGTGCCACTGCACTCCAGCCAGGGCAACAGAGACTCTGTCTCAAACAAACAAACAAAAAGCAAAAACTTCAATGAGTGTGAAAGTACATAATTAAAATCAAAAGAAAAGTACACAGACCCAAGTGACTAAATGGGCAGAGGCTTCAAATTGATAATTAAGAAGCCACACACAGCTGGGCATGGTGGCTTGCGCCTATAATCCCAGCACTTTGGGAGGCCAAGGCGGGTGGATCACTTGAGGTCAGGAGTTTGAGACCAGCCTGGCCAACATGGCAAAACCTGGTCTCTACTAAAAATACAAAAATTAGCCAGGCATGGTGGCAGGTGCCTGTAGTCCCAGCTACTTGGGAGGCTGAAGCACGAGAATTGCTTGAACCTGGGAGGTGGAGGTTGCAGTGAGCTGAGATCGCACCACTGCACTCCAGCCTGGGCAACACAGCAAGACTGTCTCAAAAAAAAAAAAAAAAAAAAAAGCGCCACACACGTATTAGTCACACTCCCTAGGCTAAGAAACCCAATAAAATAAGAAAGACCATTTCTCATCTCTCAAGTTAGCAAATATATGTGTGCACGTGTGCATGTAAATATAATTTTTTTCCTATGGGGATGCCTAATGGTGGCAATATTATACCCTGCGGGGGAGCTGTGGACAGTGCTTCTGGAGGACAGTTTGGTAATAGCTTTAAAAAAAATCAGGCCGGGCATGGTGGCTCACACCTGTAATCCCAGCATTTTGAGAGGCCAAGCAGGATGGATCTCTTGAGACCAGGAGCTCGAGACCAGCCTGGGCAACATAGTAAAACCCTGTCTCTACAAAAAATACAAAAAAAATTAACTGGGCATGGTAGTGCATGCCTGTAGTCCCAGCTACTGGGAAGGCTGATGCAGGAGGATCACCTGAGCCCAGGAGGTGGAGGCTGCGGTGAACTGTGATCACTCCACTGAACTCCAGCCTGGGTGAAAGAGTAAGAATCTGTCTCAAAAACAAAACAAAAATCTCAGGCCAGGCGCGATGGCTCACGCCTGTAATCCCAGCACTTTGGGAGTCTGAGGCGGGCGGATCACTTGAGGTCAGGAGTTTGAGACCAGCCTAGCCAGCATGGTGAAACCTGGTTTCTACTGAAAATACAAAAATTAGCAGGGCGTGGTGGCACACATCTGTAATCCCAGCTACTTGGGAGGCTGAAACAGGAGAATCACTTGAACCCAGGAGGTGGAGGTTGCAATGAGCCAAGATTGCGCCACTGCACTCCAGCCTGGGCAACAGAGCAAGACTCTGTCTCAAAAACAAAAAAACAGGCCGGGCACGGTGGCTCACGCCTGTAAATCCCAGCACTTTGGGAGGCCGAGGTGGGTGGATCACAAGGTCAGGGGTTCAAGACTAGCCTGGCCAAGATGGTGAAACCCCATCTCCACTAAAAATATAAAAAGTAGCTGGGTGTGGTGGAAGGCGCCTGTAATCCCAGCTACTCAGGAGGCTGAGGCAGAGAACTGATTGAACCCGGGAGGCAGAGGTTGCAGTGAGCCGAGATCTTGCCATTGCACTCCAGCCTGGGCGACAGAGGGAGACTCCATCTTAAAAAAACCAAACCAAAACAAAAAACGACCAAATGCAGTGGCTCATGCCTGTAAATGCCAGGACTTTGGAAGGCCGAGGCGGGCAGATCACTTGAGGTCAGGAGTTCCAGACCAGCCTGGCCAACATGGTGAATCCTCATCTCTACCAAAAATACAAAAATTAGCTGGGCGTGGTGGCACACGCCTGTAATCCCAGCTACTCAGGAGGCTGATGCAGGAGAATCGCTTGAACCCAGGAGGTGGAAGGTGCAGTGAGGCGAGATCACGACATAGCACTCCAGCCTGGGCAATACAGGGAGACTCCATCTCAAAAAACAAACAAACAAACAAAAATCCCTGCTCTTGGATCCAGTAATTCCACTTCTGGGAATTAAACTATCAGGAAATTGGGAAAAAACCTTCATATTCAACGGTGGATGTCCTGGGGGTTAATTTCAAAAGGGAACTGCAGCGGTGAGCCAAGATCGCGCCATTGCGCTCCAGCCTGGGCAACAAGAGCGAAACTCCGTCTCAAAAAAAAAAGGGGGGCGGGGACTGCAAACAACCTAGATGCCCAGGCAGCCTCAGGGAGATGTGTGAAGGGAGAGACCTCAGAGGCATGTGCAACAGTATAACAAAGAAGGGTCTCCCCAACAGTAAATGTTGAATGAAAACAGCAGGGTTCACACATGTACAGCAGAGTCACACTGAGTATGTTAACAAACACAGAACCAAGGCCAGGAGGGAAAGGCACCAGAGTGGCTACAATAGGGCTTTCTGACCAGAAGATGCCAGGCATTGGGTCTGCAGGGAGAACTGACAAAAGAGGCAGGACTGAATTCCATTTGCTGCAGGTTTAGCATTCAAGGCTGATAAACTGCTAGAAATAAGCAGGCAGAGGAATGCCTGAGTGAGTCCCTGGGGTGCTTGGAAGGAAACAAATCAAATGTACCTGTTGCTCCTGTATACAGAATAAGCCTGTAAGGGTCTGGGATCATCCTGGATCCAAATCAAGGGTAATTCCTGAGTCAGTTTTAGGGGATTTGGAACCAAATGTCCCACTATCCCTATCATCCGCAAGTCCTTGCTGCCTGAAGCCACCTGGTAGAAGGAAGGGGGTTGACCCACCACTGGCTAAATCAGCCTGCGCTGCCCCTGCAGACTCCGTGGCGCCAATGATGCCCAGCCAGAGGAGCAGGGGGCCATTGGCCCCCAACCACGTGCATGAGGTATGCCTGCACCAGGTGGAGTCCATCAGCGACCTACATAGTGGAGGTGAGTGGGGACAGTGGGGTGGATGATGTGCTGGGGGAGGGGACGAAAGCAGGTGCACCCACCACCCTCCCAATGTCCCATCCACCCAGCAGGCACACTGCGCCCCTATCTAACTGAAGAGGCACGACCGTGGGATGAGCTGCTGGGCGTTTTGCCGCCGTCACTGTGTGCCCAGGCTGGCTGCAGCCCTGTGTACAGACGAGGAGGGTTCCTGCTGCTGCTCGCGCTGCTGGTGCTCACTTGCCTAGTGCTCGCACTCCTGGCTGTCTACCTGAGCGGTATGGACGCATAGGGTGCTAGTAGGAATGGAAAGCAAGGCAGTGGGGACTGGGAGGCCCTTCTGTGCAGCTGGAAGGAGTAACTGCAGATGCTGCAGCAGTGAAGGATGGGGCGGGAGGCCCGTGGCTGCCCCTGGTCCTGGGCTGGGTCTGCAGGGGTCACGGGGTGGCACATGGTCTGATGATCCCCCACTTCCCATTCACAGTGCTGCAGAGTGAATCCCTGCGCATCCTGGCACACACGCTCCGCACGCAGGAGGAGACACTACTCAAACTCCGCTTGGCCAGCCTCAGCCAGCTTCGGAGGCTCAACTCCAGTGAGGCCCAAGCACCCAGCTGAGATGCCATTTGGATCTGGGGCCTGGGGGTGTGTGTTGGTGGGGGAATAAAGTGGCTATGGGCAGGTCTCTCCTTCCCTACTGCTGGCTGCCACATCTACACTATTTCCTTGGTGAGATTTTTGTACAAGAACCTGTTGTTAACTTAATGGCTGCCTCCCTCTCCTGATCTCTTCAAGCCAGGCCTAGCCAAGCCTCTGGTGCCAAAGCCTCGCTTTGGGTGGCCCAAGGTCAGGGGAAGGGGCACCAGCCTCCTGGCTCCTCCTGTGGCCTGTCAACACTCTCTGGCCACCCCAGATGGCAGGTTCTGAAGTCTAGAAATAGCTGCCCCCATAGCAATCACCCAAACTCTGCCAGGGCTCCCAGTGAGGGTCCAGCCTCAGCTCTTAAAGACAGGCTGGGCTCTGAGTAGGGGGAGAGGCACCACCTGGGGAAGACTGCCTTGGAGGGCAAAGGTGACATCGTGGAAGACCAGTTGGGCCCAAGCCTGGGATAGTAGATGGGGAGGGAGAACAGAAAAATACCCAGGGGTTAAGACCACAGAAGGCTGACCGTTCTGTTTAATTATCTGTAATAATCCTTAAAAATCAGCACACAAATCCATTCCAGGTAGCTTTGCCACCCCACCTGCTGTGGTGGCATTTGTCCAGATGCCACCACCCCCCTAAGAGTGGGTCATCCTGGGGGAGCAAGGCCTGAGAAAGGAAAGGAAGGGAAAGGCCCCCTAGTGCCTGCCCCACAGCCCTGAGGAAGGCACATATTTAGCCTGGCCTGAGACAGGACAGGAAGGGGCCACAGGGCTGAGTGCAGGGACAAAGGGGTCAGGGTCCCAAGTGTCCGGGCCCCCAGCTACCCACCCCATGTCTGTTTTTGGTTTTGTCATTAAAAAAAATAAAGTGACAAATACTGGTGGAGACCAGTTGTTGCACTGTCTTCTGTTAAAAATACGGACCAAGGGCATAGAAAGTCTCCTCTTCAGCAGGTCCTGCTTCACAGGATGTCTGCCCGCTTGTCCCGCACACGGCTTCGAGCCTTGGTCCGGGCTTTGAAGGCAGCAGCATTGTACAGGTGCTAGAGTGGGGACAGAGAGTGACACCCTGGGGAGCTGGGAAGGGAAAGGGCTGGGGGTCCTCTTCCGGCCTCTACAGAATTCCAGGCCTCCAGGAAATGGGAATAGGGGGAAGAGAAAGGTGCCCAAGGGTGCAAACCTTCTCAAAGCGTGGAACCTTGCAGGCCTTCAGGGCAGTGGCATCCAGCAACAGCACAGGGCCCAGGCCAAAGATGTCACGGAGTAGCTCATTGTTCTGGGGGGCAGAGGGCAGTGAGCTCAGGCCAGACTGAAGCAACCACACCAGATGTCCCCTCCCTGTCCGTCCCCGCACCTGGAGGTGGTGGTGCATGCCCGAACCCAGCACTTCCTTGAAGGCAGCGTAGATCCGGTGCCGAGCCCAGCTGTCCATGTAGAGCACCTCAAAGCCGAAGCGCACTATCTCTTCTTCGCATTCACCGCCCTGCAGGGTAGAGGTGCCAACACAACTGGGCTTGGCTGCTATGCCTGGGGGTGCACCCTTGCTAGGACACATATGTTCTCACACACACCTCCACGGAGTGCAGCACGGCGCGGAAAGTAGAGCGCTGGCGCCGACGATCAGCCTTGGCACGGTACTTGTTACTGTCAGTGGCCAGAGTGCGCAGGACACTGCAGAGGGCCTCCATGTCCTCGTAAACAAACTCCTCCTGCAATGGGAGCATTGGAGGGTGTGTGGTAGATGCTTGAGCTCTGCTGGCTCTGAACAGGGCACTGCCCAAACCCCTCCTTTCACTGAGAGACCCTCTCTTCTCTGCCTGGCCCCTTTGACCCCTCCTTGGCCTCTGTCAGGCCAGGACACCACTGCTGAGGGCACCCATCATGACATCTAGGAGATAAATCTGTTTTGGGGCCACCTCCTCTGCATAATGACCTAAAGCTGTTCTGTTTTGTGTGGCACCCCCTGCATCCAGCCTGTGATGGGCAGGTGGTGTCACCAAGCACCCCCCATCCTTGTCCCTCGCACCTCAAGGTCCCGGGCAAGCTCAAAGAGCAGTGCAATGGTTTCACCGGCAGCGATCCGCAGGTTCACACTTTCACTGGACAAGAGCTGGGGCAGCCGGGGCAGCTGCCTAGGGAAGGGGCAGGCTGAGCTATATGTGTGGCTTGGGGGCCTCTTTGAGATCCCCTCCCCCTCCCAGTGGACAGCCACCCCTACCTGTCAAGGATGTGGCTGATTTGGGTGCTAGGGCAGATGGTGAGCAGCAATGCCCAGGCCTGCAGGGCAGCAGAGAGCAGGCCGTGCAGGCTGGCAGGAACCACAGGACTTGTGGAGCTGCCCCCCAAGCCATAGAACCGGCTGAAAACACTTTCTAAGCAGGCAAGGCAAGAGACCAGGTCCTAGGAGCACAGAGAGGCAGGGGAGCTCAGAGGCAGAGTTACAGCCCTAGATGCTCTACCACCTGTGCCCAAAGACCCCTCACCTGGATGTCAGCGGCAGCCACGTAGCAGCCCAGGCCAAGGGCAGAAGCACACTGTTGGGAGAAGGGCAATGCAATGCCACGGTCAGCGGGTGAACCTGGGTTCCCAGCCCTGGAGCTCACTCCCCTCAGAGTAAAGGAGGCTGAAGATAGGGGGAACCCACCACTCTGCTGAGGGATAAGGTGCAGGAAGGGTTTCATGGGGCACAGGCACACTCACGTGGAGCCGGGCAGCAGGGCTAGCTGTGCTGTCACTGAGCACAGAGACCAGCAGAGGCTGCAGGCTGTGAAACAGCTCCTCACCCTTAGGTCCAGGGCCCAGCTGCACGCAGAGCAGGCCTAGCACAGCAGCAGCCAGGGCTTGTTCCTCGCCCTTCCCTGTGGGATGCTTTCCAGTCAGCCCATGCAGCAAGGGCCAGTGTCTGCCCAGTTTAAGTCTCCCACACACCCCCAGGTCCAACCTTTCTTGAGGCACTTTTCCAGGGCATCGGCTAGCGTGAGGCGGCGCTCCAGCAAGAAGTCGGGGAGTAGGCGGGACGCTAGGGCCAGGCGCAGGCTCTCAAGAGCACCCTGCCGGGTCTTGGCACTGGGGGAGGTCGAGAAGGGGGGTCATATGGGCCAGCCCTCCCTTGATCACACTTGGAGCTGGGTGTAGGAGTTGGCTGGCAGCCAGGGGTACCTCTTGTCTGTGAGACAGTCCACATACTCCTTCAGCTTTTCCTCAAGGTCTTCCTGCTGGCCCTGCTCATCCACGACATCCCCCCCTGCAAGGCCACCTGGTCAGCACCGCTTCTTGTCCTCAGCCCATGGAGCCCTCACCAAGCCCCTGTCAAACTTCCACCCGCTCTCACCAAGGCTGTCCTCTGCAGTGGTGCTGAGAAGGCTGGGGCATTCACTGGCGGTGCTGCGGGCCTCACTGGCTGCCTCATCGTCACTGGAACCCGAGTCAGCTTGGGCACTGCTCCGGGCACCTGGAGAAGGTGGAATAGGACACTCAACTTGCCTCTACTGATGAGGGATGGCTGGGGGTACCTCACTCGACCTCATAATCCCAAAAGATAGAATGGTGTCCCTCTCAGAGATGAAAAACCAAAGCCAAGGGTCAGTTCAGTAGGGCTGGTGCACTCCTGTGTGTGGGGTCTGTCCAGGGCCAAGGGCTGACATTGGCAAGGTTGGCTGCTGTGGCAGAGTTTTGGACAGGGTGTGATCACCAGGCTGGCCCTACTTCTAAGAACTACTCACACCCCTCATCTGCAGGACAAAGTCCAGCCTGCGCACTGGCCTCTGCTCCCCGCCACCTTTTTTTTTTTTTTTTTTTTTTGAGACAGAGTTTTGCTCTTGTTGCCCAGGCTGGAGTGCAATGACGCCATCTCGGCTCACTGCGACCTCTGCCTCCCGGGTTCCAGTGATTCTCCTGCCTCAGCCTCCCGAGTAGCTGGGATTACAGGCATACGACACCACACCCAGCTAATTTTGTATTTTTAGTAGATAGGGTTTCTCCATGTTGGTCAGGCTGGTCTCGAACTCCTGGCCTCAGGTGATCTGCCTGCCTTGGCCTCCCAAAGTGCTGGGATTACAGGTGTGAGCCACCACGCCCAGCCTGCTCCCATTTTATCTTACTATTCTACCTGCCGGAGCAGCCCAGCCTTCCCTCATTCACTCCACTGCGCTGGGGTCCCTCCAGCTGCCAGGTCTTTGTACAACTTGCTCTCTTCTCCATCCTCTCAGGACTCACCCAGAAGCACTTCCCCCCAGGCCTCCCTGAGTCCTAAGTCTGGGGCTGACACCACTCAGTGAACATGTTCCACACCCTATTAGATGTCCCCCACCCAAAACCCACCATGGTGGTGACCAGTTTAAAGTTGTGCCTAGGTATTTTCCTCCTTCCTGTGCCCGGCCCTCCTCCCTTCCCCCTCAAGAATAAAAATAAATAAATTTGTGCGTGGTAGGCACCCCATCCCAGCAGAGTAAACATATGTGTTTAACGCATTAAGATAGGCTCCTGGTCTAAGCTGATAAGCGAGTCCCAAGACTGCCTCAGGCTCCAGGATACTCAGCTACCTTGTGGAGTCAGGCCTGCCAAGCTGCCAAGGCCCTAACCAGGTAGCTTCCCAACAGAGCCCCCTCCCTCTCTTCACCGGAGCAGGCCAGGACTCCCGCCAACTTCCTTGACCAGTCCAGGAAAGGATCAGGGTTTGGCAAGAGGACTGGCTTCCTGCCCTGTCCGGTGAGTTTGTCCACCCAGCAGGCAACTGAGGCCCGGAGGGGCTGGCCGGGTCACCGCTGGGAGCGCGGACTCCCAACAGGCAGTGGGCAGCGAGCTCAAGTTGGGCACGCACGTGGCCAATGACTGCTGGGGCACGTGCCAGCCTCGGTAGAGTTATGGGAAGCTGCGTGGGGCTGGCCGAGGGGGTTCCCCACCCAGGGCCCTCGAGAACAACCAAGGGGATCCAGCAGGACCCCCGCCCGCCGCTCATACAGCTGTCCCGCGCCCCCCACCCCACTCACCTCCTCCACGGCGCTGACCACCCTTCCGGAGCGTGTTGCCCTTACGGGCGCGAGGCATGCCGGGAACCGGGCGCGGGGGGCGCGGGGTCAGGGACCCGGTGGGTGTGGGCTCCAGGCCAACGAGACGCCGGCCGGTGCGCTGCGCTGAGACTTGGCCAGACGACGGGAGCCACACGCCACGCGCGCCACCATCTTCGCGAGGCGCCCCGCCCTGCCAAACAGGTCGCCGGGAAGGCGAGTTCCAGGCCATCCGATTCAGGCCCACATCCACGAGGCTAAAACTACTAATCCCAGAGGCCTGAGCGCGCAGGCGACGGCGGCTAGCTGCGCGTAGAGCACCATGGGAATGGTAGTCCACGCCTGGGGCCCACCAGCCGACGACGCGCTGGCTGAACTATGCACCCACAATGCCCTGCGCGCGCCCCAGCCCCGCGTCGGGAACAAGTGCACGGTGGTTAACTCCGAAGCGTCCCTCAGTGGAGCACCAAGGCAGGACTGGCTTCTCAGGGCACTTGGCAGCGGGACACTCCAGACGAGACCTACCCCTGCCTGGGTCTGGGGACCATGGGAAGGGCTTAGAGCTTGGGATAACAGGAGCAACAGCCAAACCTCAGGCAGTGGAAAAAAGTGACTTTATGATGAAAGAGTGCAGACAACAGCTTAGCACTTTACCGACCTTCGCCAAGATTTTTTGGGGCCCATCTGCCCGTGCACGGCCCATCTGTGACCTCTCCATGGGCTTAGTGAGGTGTAGGCACAAAGCCCTAGGCTGGCAGCCCTAACTAGCTGGAACCTGACTCTCCCTGGAACTGCTTCCTTGCCATGGAGGACTCACATGATCTCAGAGGGCCTCTGGTTTTATAAGCGTTTTTTCTGGCCCCTTCTACCCCTCAGGGATTCCAAGGGAAGCGGGGTGTGTGCTTGGGAGGGTTGACTGTAAACTGAATAGAGCAAGAGTGGGACAGAGTAGTTCCAGGACTGGAAAAGTGGCAGCAGGGAAAAGAAGAGGCAGTGGCAGGGGCCCTGGCTTTATACTGCTTCTTTAGGCCCAGGCCTGGGCTCCTGGCAGGTGGGGCCAGCCCAGCCCCAGTAACAGTGGCAGCTGAAGGACTTCCAATCTCCAAGGCTGCCGTCTGGCCACAGGTGTAGAAAGGCTTCCATCTGTCCTGGATCTCGCCGGGCACAGCGCCCGTGGCCATGGCACCGCTGGTGACTGCAGGCCATCGCTGCCCTGGTCACATTGATCACATAGGGGCCCAAGGTGTCCACCAGGTAGTCATGGAGATGCCAGCACTCCTCCTGAGGAGAAGGGAAGATATGTGTCAATATGCCTGCTCTATAATCTTGACATGGCCGTCCCCCACCCTGGGACCCCAGCATGTGCTACATGGCAGGCTCAAAGGGGCAATGATCACCTCAGAGCTGGAGAGGCTCAGGTCCCCCCAGAGCACCACGCCGGCTGCCCCTAGTGCTGCACTCACACCAATGGACTGCACAAGGTCATCCTGGAGGCAGAGAGCTGCTAAGCCAGTGCTGGGCTGGCCAGATCCATGTGGGCACACATCCACATTCAAGAAACTCTTCTGGTTCACTGTCACAATCTGATTCTAACTCTACAGTAGGGACTCTCTAGTTTGGTTTGGTTTTAGAGGCGGGGTTTTACTCTGTCATCCAGGCTGGAGTGCAGTGGCATGATCATAGCTCACTGCAGCCTTGAACTCCTGGGATCAAGTAATCCTCCCACCTCAGCCTCCCAAGCAGCTGGGACTACAGGTGCATAACACCTGGCTAATAATTTTTTAGGCTGGGCACAGTGGCTCACACCTGTAATCCCACACTTTGGGAGGCAAAAGCGGGAGAATCACTTGAGCCCAGGAGTTCAATACCAGCCTGGGCAACATGACAAAACCCCATCTCTACAAAAATATAAAAATTAGCTGGGTGTGGTGGTATGCATCTGTAGTCCAGCTATTCGGGAGGAGGCTTAGGTGGGAGGATCACTAGAACCAGGAAGTGAAGGCCGCAGTGAGCTGAGATGGTGCCACTGCACTCCAGCCTGGGCAACAGAGCAAGACTCTGTCTCAAATGTTTTTTTGGTAGAGGTTGGGGTCTCACTATGTTGCCCAGGCTGGTCTCGAACTCTTGGCCTCAAGGAATCCTTCCATCTCAGGCTCCCAAAGTACTGGGATTATAGGTGTGAGACACTCACCCAGCCCAAGTAGGGCCCCTTTGTATCGAGTCTCTGAGTGGCTTCTCAGGCCTTCCACTCAGAATATCTCCCCTCAGGCCAGCACTCCAAAGGCTGGGCCTCCCTACCCCTCAACATCTTCCAGGGCAAAGCCATGCCTCCCTCATCAGATGCTCCAGGACAGGGCCTTCCGCTGAGAACGCCTAGATTAGGACCAACCCCTAGGCAAGGTCTTCTCCTGGGACCTTCCTAGAACAGGGCCATACCTCCTGACTCAGACCCCTAGACCTCAGCTTCCACTTACCTGGGACAGGAACCTCCCAGATCTCCGGTGTGTGAGGCGGACATAGGCCAGGACAGGCAGGGGATGTCGGTGCCCAACAAGGGCCACACGGAAGGCCTCCTCCAGGCGATGTCGGACAAAGGCCTGGTGGTGGGCAGGTGGCAGCCTGGGTGGGAGGTAGATGCTGGGGAAGAGGGCACTGGAGGCGGCCCAGAGCCAATGCAGTTGAGTGTTGCGGGCAAGGGTGGCTGCATGGCAGCGGCCGGTATAGTTGGAAGCCATACTATGCCAGCCATTGCCACAGGCTGGGTAGTGATAGAAGCCCCAGAGTCCATGGGGCCGTAGTGCCTGGGCCACCCGCAGCGTATCCTCCATCAGTGCACGGGCCGCCTGCTCAAAGCCAGTATAGGCCTTGTAGAGCTGCTCCTGAGGGTCCAGGTCAGGGAATACCTGCTGTGCCCAAGCCCAAGAGGCTGCCTGATAAGCTCGGCGGCGGCCCCAGTTCCCAGCCCAGAGTGGACACCACTCCTCCCAATCCAGCACTGCTGGGCCAGCAAAGCCAGGTCTCAGGCTGTGGTGGATCTGGTAGGCAGCCAGTGCCAGGTGGCGGTCAAGGGGCAAAGCCTGGGGGATGCCCCCATTGTGAGCTGTGCCCCTGGGTCCAAAGTAGGGATAGAGGCCGAGTTGGTTCTTGTAGAAAATGGTCATGTTCTGACCGTGAAAATGCTGGCCACGGTTGGCTATGATGCCCAGAGCATTGAGTGGCAGGTGCACACCAAAGCGGGCCTCACAGTGTGCTGAGGGTACATTCCACAGCACAGAGAAGGGGCGTTCAGGGACCTGTGGTAGGGGCTGGCCACAACCCAGGCACAGGGCCACCCCCAGCACCAGGGCTGGGCCCAGTTGCGTGGTCATTCCCCAAGGATGGAAACCTGCAGGAGAGAGGGGGGTGTAAGCTTAGAGTCCGCAGCTATGGCCACACCTTCCACATGGCAGGGAAAGCCAGGAAAGCTCCCCCAGCTCCTCCCCATCCTTACAGGAGGAGCTGGGGAAAGCATGTTTCCCCAGGGGTCTCTTGGGCCTTTTAAAGCAGCCACACCGCAAGCTGGCTATGATGCCCCGGGCATCGAGTGGCAGGTGCACACCAAAGCGGGCTTTACAGTGAGCTGAGGGTACATTCCCTCCCATGTTCCGTCTTTGTCAATACACCACTGTGTCCTCCCACAACTGTCACAAGTCCCCTTCTTTCCTCTGCCCACCTTGTTCCCTCTTCCAAGAACAGTCAGCTCCCACCTCCTCACCTGCCTGGTTTAATTCCTACCTAGCACTCAGGTCTCTGCTGTGACATCACTGCCCTGGGAGGTCTCCTGGATCCCCAGGTGGAGTGAAGTCACTTGGGTTCCCAAAGCCTCTGTACCTCCCCTGTGCCACATGGATCCTGCTACTGTATGCCTGTTTGTCTAGTTACCCATTGCCTATGTCCCGTCCAGGGCTTGACACACAGTAGGTGCTCAGTGAATGGTAATGAGTGAATGGGGAAGAAAACAGCCACCCTGTCTCCTGAGCCAGGTGGGGGGTAAAGGCAAAGGACAGGCATCCTCCCATCAATGGCCTCAGGGCCAAGGTGGATCTGGAGACTTCTGCAGGGATAAGGGACCTGCAGAAGAGGTGAGAGGTGAGGGTAGGGGGATCAACAAATAAACTGTCACAGCCATACCCAAGAGAGCCTTTATTCAGCCACACTGACGGCTCTGAGCCAGAGCCACCTCCTGGCCCCACTGGTACCCAGGAAACATGCCCAGGTTAAAGCTGCCCCCCAGGGGCTAGGGGCTGAGGTATGGTCAGTGGGCTGAGGCTTGTAGACTGTCGGGGCAGTCTATTGAACCAGAAAGACAGTTCCTTGCCCTGGATGGCCTCAGATGTCTTTTTCCATCCAGAATATGGGGCGCCCCCTCACATTTTGATATTGTGTCTCCAGCAGGCTTTTTGAAGGGGGCCCTGATGGAACTGGGGGTGAGATGGTCAGGCACTCAGGTAGGGGAGGGGGTGGTGGCAATGGAGGTCCCTTGGGACCCCTTGGGGCAGCTTGGGCAGTCAGGTTTGGGGCCTTCCTGGGTGGCCGGGGAGAGGGGGCTGTGGGGAAGGCATTAAGCAGGGTGGCAGGCAGCCGTCTGCTGGTGAAGACCAGGCCCTGCACAGGCTCACCCAGCTGGTAGCCCAGGTGGGTATAGAAGTGCACCTGGTCATGGGTGGTGAGATGCAGCTTGCGGAAGCCCCGGGCCCGAGCAAAGACCTCCAGGCCCTCCATGAGGCGGCGGCCAAAGCCACGGCCCCTCAGGGCCCGGGCCACCACCACTGTCTCCACTAAGAGGCTCTGGGGCTGGTTCAGCACCCGTGACAGGCGGGCATGGCCCACCACAACGGGTGCTGCTTCAAGTGTGGGGTGGGGGCTTAGCAGCATCAGGCAGAGGGGGAAGGCATCTGAGGACTGGCCCAGGGAGTGCAGGCGGGAGGTGCGGCTGCGGGGCCACTGATCATTGATGAGGTCAGCACAAGCATCCAGGAGCTCGGGTCGGCGGTGCACAGGCTCCAGGGTCAACTCAGCCAGGCTAGGAGCTGGGGTCTCCTCTGGCTGGTGTTCAGGATCCAGGGTAAGCTCAGTTGGACCAGGATTGAAGGTCATCTCTGGTTGGCATGTGGAATCCAGGGGCAGCTTTGGCTGGCACGCAGGATCCAGAGTCAGCTCAGCTGGGCTGGTACTCAGGATCAGCTCCATCCGGTGTGTAGGGTCTAGTGTAGGGGTCAGCTTGGCTGGGCCAGGGCTCAGAGTCAGCTCTTGCCTATGCACAGGATCCAGGTTCAGCTGAGTCAGGCTGGGAGCCAAGGTCACCTGCTGCTAGGTTGCAGGTGGCTCAGTGCCAGGCTGGAGGTTAAGACCCCAGTCTCCAGGCAGTAGCATCTCTTCAGACCACAGTGGCTCTCCTCCTGTAGATAACAGCCATGCTGGGCTGTGCCAGGAGGGAGGGTGGGGTTGGAGCAGGGAAGGGCTGACAGAGTGCAGGGGGGACCATGCATACTGGAACTGGGGAGTGGTGGGCTGCACTTTGTCCCACACTCACCTGATAGCACAGGTGACCTGGAAGAGACCCATCCCCTATAGAGCAGGGCAGATAGATCCAGGTGTCTACCCCACATTGGAGGGAGGCTGGGAGTGATGGATGAGCTGCTTAAGGCTGGGGCAGAACCTAGGAGTCCTGGCCCCAGCCTGCTCTGGCTACAAATTTGTCCTCCTCAGGACCTCCCCTCACAGGGGGTCTGTAACCACCAGGTCTATAAAACAGCCGACCCAATCTACTTGCTGGCCTTCTGTCTTCCAGTAGTCCTCCTAGTCCACCACTAGGGCATGGGATAGAAGATGCAAAGCAGACACTATACCCCCTGCTCAAACCTACCCAAGGTTCCCTCCATAGGAAAAACTGCCCGGGAGTCTTCCTGTCCCTTTCTTCTCCCTATGTTCCGAGTCTCCTCCAGCTCCCAGCCTTTTCAACTACCTGGGCTATGCCCACTGCCTTAGTGGATCCTGGGGCCCCACTCATGCACCCATCAGGCTGAGCTTTGGCCTGTCTTGACTGCCTTCCCCACCTGGAGCCCATGGCCCCCTTCCCAACTCTGCCCATCTCAGGACACTTTGGATATAGACCCAACTGTCTCCTCAGATGGGGCCCCAGCAGCACCAGCACTGGGCCTGGCCCACAGTCACACAGCAGTATTGCCTCTGCAGGCTTGGTTCCCCACTGGCTTGAGTTTCGCAGGCACCCTAGATAAGGACCACAGCTTCCTTCCTATATCCACAGGGTGTCCAACGGTCACCAGGTTGGGGGCCCAGACCTCCTGTGCCCAAACCCTACTGTTTTCCCATCTTAACCAAGGTCCTGCCGTCCGGCAGGTCTATGCTGGGGGTTTTCTAGTCGTGGGCGGGCAGCTGAGCCCCCTCCTTCTACTCACCTGCTCCAGAGGGGGCCTCCTGGCTCCCCTTACCTCTCCTGAGCTTGAGGCCAATTAAACACTGGTCAGTAACAGGCACCCCCCTCCCCTCACCTCCCACACCATTCACAGGGCTGTAAGCCCCTCACCTGCATCAGCCACCTCTGCAGCAGCCGCACCCTTTGGTCTAGAGGGAGGAAGCCCCAGGATCCGCCCCTAGGGCTGAGCCCGGGGCTTCCCCGCGGCCTTAACCCCTTCAGTGCCGACCCCACCCACTGTGGGCGGGGCTCCGGGGTCCTCAGAGAGTGGCTTCTCCGTCTCTCCCGGGCCTCGGTTTCCCCCTCCCTCCTAGTGGGTCACAGGCTGTGGAGCTTTTGGGAATGAGGACTTCGAGAGCTCGACTCTGTGGGCAGGTGTGGCTCGGCATGGTCTGGAAACGAACGACTGACGCGGGGAGGGCGTGCAGGGTGGCATGGCCACTTGGGGACCGCACGCGCGGGGTGGACCTACAGGCAGCAAATGGGAAGGGTGCGGTACTGACATGTTGATGCTGGCCTCTGGGATGTTCCGCGTCCTAGCTCCGCACAGCTGGGTATCTCACTCAGTCGCCACCTCGGACTCCTCGGTCCGACAACGTTGGCCCCCAGCGGTGCGGCGGATGTTCTGCAGCCGTCGCGTCCTGCGGCACGCCACGGCGTTCTAAGGCCTCCCAGCACCCGCGCGTCGCCGCTTAGAACCCGCCCCTGGTTTGCGCGTCACAACACCCGCCAGGCGCCGACTCAGTCTCTACCCTGGCTCCGCCCCTGCTGAGCCCCACCCCATCTCCATTTGAGTCCGCCTCCTCCCCACCCGGCCCCATACAGGCCCCTCCTCCTTCTCCTTGCGTCACAGCTTAGGTCCCGCCTCGATTTGGCTTCTTCCAGGCCCTGCCCCAGCCCAGCACGTCACTTCAGCCAGGCGCAGGCCCCGCCTCCAGCTGGCTCTGCCTCCGCCAGCCCCGCCCCAGGCTCTGACAAGTCTAGCTTCGGTTCCCGCCGGCCTCCTGCCCCAGGACAGCTTGGAAACGGTCCGATCAGGTGGGGCTTCCTCTTGAAATTTGGGCCCCACCCTGGGAAGCAGCCGCCCTTAGACTGACGTCAGATCTGGTGAGAGTGACAAGCCTTTCCTGTGCCCTTTGGATACCGGGGCCTGGACATTTTAGGCGCTCAGTAAACAGCTAAGTAAATCATGACTGCTTTATTTGCTGGACTGGTGCCTCTCAGCAGATTCAGGGGTCGTGCAGGGCTGGTTACCACAAACTCAGTAGGAGTGCAAGGGCTGTACCCCCGGAGCTAGACAGCCTGGGTTTGAATCTCAACTTCTCCCTTTTCTTGCTGTGCAACCTTGGGCAACGTGCTTACTCTCAATGTGAGTGACTCAGTTTCCTCATAGCCTCATTGTGAGGAATGAATAAGTCCACATAAAACGCTTAGCACGGGGATTGGCAAAGAGTAGGCACTCAGTGAATGTCAGCCTTTGTGATTGCTGCAGTTCAAAGACTGGCTCAGTGTCTCTGGAGGAATTGTCTATGACCTTGCCAAGTAGATGCATATGGACATGGAATGAATGGTGTCTGCTGTGGTTCTAACTCCTTATGCCACTATTCCAGTCTGTAAGTATGCATGTGTGTGCAGGGAATATGCCTGTGACAGTGGCTGAGTGTACTCTTTACTGTGACCATGACTTGTATGACTGTGCATGTATTTGAGGAAGCCCTGGCCAGACCCAGAGTGCATTAGGTTCTCAATATGTGCAACTCAGTGTGTGGCCAATCACCACATGCTCTTCCGCTCACACCACGGTGCCTGCCAGCCAGGGTAGCATCGACATTTGAACTCCACAGCCATCTGTGCCTGATCTTCAAGTGAGAGGGCACCCCGCAGGCTCAGGGGCCCACCACCAGGCGTGAGCTGGATGGAGAAACTGGCAGGGTTAAGGAGGAGGAGGGCTTTGGGGTGGCTGGTGCGGCGGACACAGCGGCCATGGCCGGAGCACAGGGCTTGACTGCAGAGAAGGGCCCCACTGGTCACGTTCAGGATGAAGGGCCCCAGTGTAGTGTCCATATACTCCTTGATGGCCTGACATGATTCCTAGGTGGGAAGGGAGGATAGCGTCAGGGACACCATGGCCATGTATGGACCCACCCAGGGCACTGAGGCACTCACCTGCTGGTCAGCCAGGACTTTGCAGGTAGAAAGGGTAAGTCAGGGTCTACCCCGTCAGCTTAATGGCCCCACCCCTCCCCCACCCCCACCCTCATGCCAGGCCTAAGCTCACCTTGGTTCTTGTATTTTCCCAGCTCACCCAGAGCACCACTCCAGCTGCCCCCTGGGCCGCACTCTCCCCCAGGCTGTGCTCCAGCTCATCCTGGGAAGGAGACAGCACAGCTCTGTGGGGCCTCCTTCCCACCATGTGGCAGACTGCTGGAACACCATTAGATGGGACAAATAATTCATAACCTTCACCTGGGGCTGCTCTGGCCATGGGACCAGAGGCAAACTGCTTCCTCCTCTAGCCTATGAATTCCATGCAGACAGGGACTACATCATTCCAATAAATGTTGAATTGCCTGTGCCTGGCACAGAACTTGGCACCAAGTGCACACTCAATGGATGTGCCCATGCGCCAGGCGCGGTGGCTCATACCTGTAATCCCAGCACTTTGGGAGGCTGAGGTGGGAGGATCACCTGAAGTCAGGAGTTCGAGACCAGCCTGGCCAACATGGTGAAACCCCATTTCTACTAAAAATACAAAAATTAGCCAGACATGTTGATGGCATGCCTGTAATCCCAACTACTTGGGAGGCTGAGGCAGGAGAATCACTTGAATCCGGAAGGTGGAGGGTGCAGGAGCTGAGATCTTGCCCCTGCACTCCAGCCTGGGTGACAGAGCAAGACTCCGTCTCAAAAAAAAAAAAAAAAAAAGGATGAATGAATGGATGAAAATGTCCCAAGGTTGGGGGCCGGGCGCGGTGGCTCACGCCTGTAATCCCAGCACTTTGGGAGGCCGAGGCGGATGGATCACGAGGTCAGGAGATTGAGACCATCCTGGCTAACACAGTGAAACCCTGACTCTACTAAAAAATACAAAAAATTAGCTGGGTGTGGTGGCGGGCGCCTGTATCCCAGCTACTCGGAGGCTGAGGCAGGAGAATGGCATGAACCCGGGAGGCAGAGCTTGCAGTGAGCCAAGATCGTGCCACTGCACTCCAGCCTGGGTGACAGAGTGAGACTCTGTCTCAAAAAAAAAAAAACGAAGAAAATGTCCCAAAGCTAAAGTACCCCAAGGCTGGACCTAATATCTGACAAGGCAGGTTGACAAGGTGGGCAGGTTACAGAAGACTCACCAGGGGCAGAAAGTGGTTTGTCGTGTCATAGAAGATCTGGACATAGGGCAGCACCGGCAGATTGGGGTCACCAGCAGCCACAGCCACACGGAATGCCTCGGCCACACGGTGTTGCACATACATCTGTGACTTCCCTGTGCCCTCCAGCACTGCGGGCATGTAGATGCTGGGATAGAGGGCACGGCTCTGGCCCCACAGCCACCCTAGCTGGTCATTTTGGGCACGGATGCCTGATGGGCACTGGCCGGTGTAGTTGGGGCTTAGAAAGTCATAGTTGTAGCAGTCAGGGAAGCCATAGAAGCCCCAGAGGCCGCGAGGACGCAGTGCCCGCCCCAGCTGGAGGGTGCCTGCCATCCAGGCCCGTGCAGCTCCCTGGAACTGGTCCTGGGCTACTGCCTCCACCTGAGGAGCTGGCCAATCAGGGTGCTGTGCCTGTACCAGTGCCCGTGAGCGCTGCCGGTAAATGTCCTTGGTGTCCCAGTTGAAGGCCCAGCGTGGGCGCCATGCCTCCCAGTCGATGACTGCCAGCCCTGAGAAGTCAGGAGCAGGTATGGCAGCCAGGATGTCCTGGAATGTGCGGGCCAGGTGGGCAATCAGGCTGGCATTCTGGGGCAGACCACCAAACACAGGCTCCCCAGTGGGCGTGTAGTAGGGGTAGGTGCCCAGCTGGGAGCTATAGAAAATTGTCATGTCAGGGCCGCGGAAGGTCTGCCCTGGGTTGGCTACCACATCGAAGACACTGACATCCACGTCCACACCGTGCCTCTCCAGGCACCACTGGGTGTTTGCATTCCAGACGGTGGTGAAGGGCCGGTTGGGTAGCAAGGGGCCCCTAAAGCCTTGGGCCATATCGAGTAAGGTCAGGAAGAGGGCGCAGATGGGAAGCAGGTGGGCTGCCATGGCACGGGACTGGTCGAGGACAACCTGGCCAGGGGAGGCAGAGCTGAGAACAGGTTGCAAAGTCTCCGATTCCCCCACTGCTCAGGGCTGGGGGGCTGAGCCCTTGCGCATTAATCCACCGCTGCTCTGGTTTCTGTTAAACATTGACCTGCAGGGCTCCAGGAGGGCAGGGGAGACGCATGGAGGGGAGCATGGCCACTGGAGGGCACATCCGAGTTGCCTCTCAGACCAGGCCTCTGCCATCTCCCACAGGACTTGCTCTAGCCTAAGCTCGCCCACCCCTGCTTCCCCATGAGCCACTGAGGCCATGACATATGTTCTGGGAAGAGTGGCTGACAGCCAGGCCCTCAGCCCCCAGGCTGACCCGACCAAGGGGGGGAGGCCTTCCTGTCTCTTCCACCAGAAATCCTGGCAGCCACTGGAGGAAGATCCAATGGCCTCAGTGACCAAGGACAGGTCAACCCAGCCCTCCTGTACACCCGCCAGTCTGCCCGCTCGTCCCTGCTGACCTTGGGGCTGAAGGGCCTTATCCTCCAAATTTCCTGACCCCAGGATGGGGGCCTAAGCAGGGCCTGGCCAGATTCCACCCCAGCTGCACCAGAGACTCCTGGAGGAAGGAGCCGCTGCTGGAAATTCTGAGCTTTTGTAGGGGGTCACCCCACCCAGGCCAGGGGCGGGCCAAGGGGCGGGCCTTGGATTAGGAGGCCAGGCCAGCCAGGCATCAGGGCTACCTCTGAATCCCTGGCAAAGGGATCTTGGTTGGGGGTGGGGCTGGGCCAACAGTGGCCCCTCCCACGCTGTCAGCACTAGGGCAGGGCTTTGTGGCCTTACCTAGGCTGGAGGAGGTGGGCAGGGGCAGACCCTGCTGGGCAGGCCTGTTTGTGACACTGGAGACCGGGTTCTTTCGTGTCTTGTGCTCAGGGAGTGTTCTTTGTCCACGTGGCTGCATCTGACATTGATGGGCCCTAGGCACTTTACTTTCGTGGATCTTTTCCTCCTTAAAAAAAATATTTTAAAATATGGCCAGGCATGCCAGGTGCGGAGGCTCACGCCTATAATCCTAGCACTTTGGGAAGCCGAGGTGGCAGATCACGAGGTCAGGAGATCGAGACCATCCCGGCTAACATGGTGAAACCCCTTCTCTACTAAAAATACAAAAAATTAGCCGGGCGTGGTGGCAGGCGCCTGTAATCCCAGCTACTCGGGAGGCTGAGGCAGGACAATCCCTTGAACCCGGGAGGCAGAGGTTGCAGTGAGCCAAGACTGCTCCACTGTGCTACTATACTCCAGCCTGGGTGACAGAGAGCGACTCCATCTCAAAAAAAAAAAAAAAAAAAAAAATATATATATATATATATATATATATATATATATATATATATGGCTATAGTCTTAGCACTTTGGGAGGCTGAGGTGGGAGAATTGCTTGAGCCCAGGAGTTCGAGACCAGCCTAGGCAATGTAGCAAGACCCCATCTCTACAAAAAAATTAAAAATTAGCTGGGCATGGTGGTATGTACCTGTAGTCCCAGCTACTTGGGACACTGAGGCAGGAGGAGTGCTTGAGCCCAGGAGGTCATGTCTGGGTTACACTATTATATATTAATTATTAATATATTTACATTTATATTCTTCTTCTGATTAAAAAAACATTTTGTGGGCCCCTGAAAGTACTGTGGCCCTAGGCCTTGGGTCTATTGTGCTTAGTGGATAAGTCATCCCTGTTGTAGGGACCTGTTTCTGAAAGGCACTGTGTTCATGAAGTCAGGGCTGTGTCATCACCCTTTGTATATGTGCTGGGTTAGTGACTGTGTCTTTGTGAAGCCCCATTTAGTGACCATCTGAGCCTCTGCACAAATTCCAGTGGCAAGTAGGTGTGAGTGTGGAACCCAGTGCCTGGGACTGGGTGTGTGTGAGCCCTGCTGTCTTGTGAGCATGAGATCCTGTGTTTGTGTGACCATGCATATGAGCTGTCAGTGAGCACATGCTTGTTCATTCATTTGTGGTTTCACTTGTTCAATATGTGAAAGGAAAATATCTTGGGCCCCTTCAAGCTGGGAACCGCTCAGGACAAATCTGCCTCCCATTCTATTCAAGTCATCCTTTTGCTTACAGACATAGATGCATATTATGATTGCCTCCATTGCCTCTTTTGGAAAGACTACCAGAAACTCAAAAGAATGCAACCATCTGTCTGTCACCTGCCTGTGACCTGGAAGCCCCCAGTGGGGGGCCGTGCTTTGAGCTGTCTCCACCTCTCTGGACAGAGCTTATGTACTTCTGTTTTTTTTTTATTTTTATTTTTTGAGACGGAGTCTCGCTCTGTCGCCCAGGCTGGAGTGCAGTGGTGCGATCTCAGCTCACTGCAAGCTCTGCCCCCCGGGTTCATGCCATTCTCCTGCCTCAGCCTCCCGAGTAGCTGGGACTACAGGCGCCCGCCACCACGCCTGGCTAATTTTTTGTATTTTTAGTAGAGACGAGGTTTCACCGTGTTAGCCAGGATGGTCTCGATCTCCTGACCTTGTGATCTGCCTGCCTCAGCTTCCCAAAGTGCTGGGATTACAGGTGTGAGCCACCGCGCCTGGCCTAATTTTTTTTTAGATGAAGTCTCACTCTGTCGCCCAGGCTGGAGTGCAATGGCATGATCTCGGCTCACTGCAACCTCTGGCTCCCGGGTTCAAGCGATTCTCCTGCCTCAGCCTCCAGAGTAGCTGGGACTACAGGCGCGTGCCACCACACCCAGCTAATTTTTATATGTTTAGTAGAGACAGGGTTTCACCATATTGGCCAGGCTGGTCTTGAACTCCTGACCTTGTGATCTGCCCACCTTGGCCTCCCAAAGTGCTGGGATTACAGGCTTGAGCCACCACGCTTGGCTAAGGTACTTCTTACGTATTGATAGATGTCTCATATCTCCCTAAAATGTATAAAACCAAGCTGTGCCCGGAACACCTTGGGCACATGTCATCAGGACTTCCTGAGGCTGTGTCTTGGATGCATCTTCAACCTCAGCAAAATAAACTTTTTAAATTAACTGAGAGCTGTCTCAGATTTTCTGGGTTCACATTTGGTAACTATGGATGGATTCTGTGTGGAGATGTCCTTGACTTTTGACTAATTGCCTATCTGTGCTTGGTACCAGCAGGAGCTAACTTTATGGCTCAAACCAATAGGACAATTTGCTGAGGTCTGGGAGCACCCCCTCCAGAGAATCCTTGATTTCTCAATTGGTTGAGATCTAAAGTTTATTTTGCTGTACAACTCTTTTTTTTTTTTTTTTTTTTTTTGGAGTTTTACTTGCTCCCAAAAGGAAAGCAAGTTTTTCTGCTTCCATGACGATGGAAGGCAGGTAACTCCTTTATGGAGTTTGAGCTCGCTTCCAACAGGGAAAATTAGTTTTTTTTTCCTGCTTCTGGGATGGTAGAGAGCAGTCTACAGCCTGAGACCCATCACTAGGTAAGAAACTGGCTTGGGATTCTGCCTTGCAATTTCCTTTAAATGACTAAAGTTAGCATTTAACAACCAGCTGGTGTTAACTTCTGCTTACACTTACAGCACTCAGAAATCATATACTTTGTGTGATCATTGTTACTTTAGCAGCATTTTGTTCTAGCTGAAATATGGTAATAAGATTAAAAAAATTTTTTTTGGCTGGGAGTGGTGGCTCACACCCGTAATCCCAACACTTTGGGAGGCCGAGGTGGGCGGGTCACCTGAGGTCGGGAGTTTGAGACCAGCTTGGCCAACATGGTGAAACCTATCTCTACTAAAAATACAAAAATTAGCCCGGCATGGTGGTGGGTGCCTGTAATCCCAGCTACTCAGGAGGCTGAGGCAGGAGAATTGCTTCAACCTGGGAGGTGGGGGTTGCAGTGAGCCGAGATCATGCTACTGTTACTCCAGCCTCAGTGACAGAGCAAGACTCCATCTCAACAACAACAACAACAACAACAAAAACACAAAAATTATCCAGGCATGGTGGCCCACACCTATAATCCCAGCTATTCAGGAGGCTGAGGCAGGAGAATCACTTAAACTTGGAAGGCGGAGGTTGCAGTGAGCTGAGATTGCGCCACTGCCCTCTAGCCTGGGTGACAGAGCAAGACTCTGCTAAAAAAAAAAAAAAATAAGCCGGGTGCAGTGGCTCACACATAATCCTAGCACTTTGGGAGACTGAGGCAGGAGGATCATTTGAGGTCAGGAGTTTGAAACCAACCTGGCCAACATGGCGAAACCCTGTTTCTACTAAAAATACAAAAATTAGCCAGGCTTAGTGGTGTGTGCCTATAATCCCAGCTACTTGGGAGGCTGAGGCAGGAGAATCGCTTGACCTGGGAGGCAGAGGTTGCAATGAGCTGAGATCATGCCACTGCACTCCAGCCTGGGTGACAGCAAGACTCAGTCTCAAGAAAAAAATAAAAAATAAAAAATAAACCAAAATAGGGCCGGACGCAGTGGCTCACGCTTGTAATCCCAGCACTTTGGGAGGCCGAGGCGGGCGGATCACAAGGTCAGGAGATCAAGACCATCCTGGCTAACATGGTGATACCCTGTCTCTACTAAAAATACAAAAAATTAAGCTGGGCGTGGTGGTGGGCGCCTGTAGTCCCAGCTACTCGGGAGGCTGAGGCAGGAGAATGGCGTGAACCCGGGAGGCGGAGCTTGCAGTGAGCGGAGATCATGCCACTGCACTCCAGCCTGGGTGACAGAGCAAGACTCCATCTGAAAAAAAAAAAAAAAAAAAAAAAACCCAAAATAAATAAAAAGGAGGGATGTTCAGAACAAATTGGAAAGTCCAACCATGTCATGAACAGTCAGTGTAAGTCACAAAAAACCCAAAAACTTTTTTTTTTTTTTTGAGACGGAGTCTCGCTCTATCACCCAGGCTGGAGTGCAGTGGCGCAATCTCGGCTCACTGCAAGCTTGCCTCCCGGGTTCACGCCATTCTCCTGCCTCAGCCTTCTGAGTAGCTGGGACTACAGGGGCCCGCCATCATGCCTGGCTAATTTTTTTGTGTTTTTAGTAGAGACAGGGTTTCACCATGTTAGCCAGGATGGTCTTGATCTCCTGACCTCGTGATCCACCTGCCTCGGCCTCCAGAAGTGCTGAGATTACAGGTGTGAGCCACCGTGCCCGGCCAAAAACCCAAAAACTTTTATATAATCAAGTTGTCGTATACTTTTTTCTTCAGGGTAGAGTCTTGCTTTGTTGCCCAGGCTGAAGTGCAGTGGTGCAATCTTGGCTCACTGCAACCTCTGCCTCCTGGGTTCAAGTGATTCTCCTGCCTCAGCCTCCCCAGTAGCTGGGTTTACAGGCATGTGCCACCACACCTGGCTAATTTTTGTATTTTTGGTAGACATGGGGTTTCAGCATATTGGCTTGGCTGGTCTCAAACTCCTCGCCTCAGGTGATCCGCCTGCCTTGGCCTCCCAAAATGCTAGGATTACAGGCGTGAGCCACCATGTCAGGCCACGTTGTCGTATTATATATTATTATTATTATTATTTTTTGAGATGGATTCTCGCTCTGTCACCCAGGCTGGAGTGCAGTGGCGCGATCTCAGCTCACTGCAAGCTCCACCTCCCAGGTTCATGCCATTCTCCTGCCTCAGCCTCCTGAGTAGCTGGGGCTACAGGCGCCCACCACCGCGCCCGGCTAATTTTTTGTATTTTTGGTAGAGACAGGGTTTCACCGTGGTCTCGATCTCCTGACCTCGTGATCTGCCCACCTTGGCCTCCCAAAGTGCTGGGATTACAGGCATGAGCCACCGTGCCTGGCCTTTTTTTTTTTTTTTAGACGAAGTCTCACTCTGTCACCCAGGCTGGAGTGCAATGGCAGGATCTCGGCTCACTGCAACCTCTGGCTCCTGGGTTCAAGCGATTCTCCTCCCCTAGCCTCCCGAGTAGCTGGGATTACAGGTGCACACCACTACACCTGGCTAATTTTTGTATTTTTAGTAGAGACAGAGTTTCAGCATGTTGGTCAGGATGGTCTTGAACTCCTGACCTCGTGATCTGCCTGCCTCGGCCTCCCAAAATGCTGGGATTACAGGCGTGAGCCACCGTGCCTGGCCAACAGCTTTTAACAATTTAGTACAGTCCTATGAACAAAATTTGGAGCATATTTGTTTCTCTACCTGATTTCTCCAGAATTTGGAAACTATTTGTGAGTATTCTTAACTTATGGCAATACAGTTATTTGCATAAGTGCCATAAGAATCTGTTTTTGCCTGGCATGGTGGCTCACTCCTGTAATCCCAGCACTTTGGGAGGCCAAGGTGGGCAAATCACCTGAGGTTGTGAGTTCGAGACCAGCCTGGCCAACATGGCAAAACCCCATCTCTACTAAAAACACAAAAATTAGCTGGGCATGGTGGCACATGCCTGTAATCCCAGCTACTCCAGAGGCTAAGGCAGTAGAATCGCTTGAACCTGGGAAGCAGAGGTGGCAGTGAGCTGAGATTGCACCATTGCACTCCAGCCTGGGCAACAGAGCCAGACTCCACCAAAAAAAAAAAAAAAAAAAAGAATCTGTTTTCATTTGTAACAGGACACAATTGGAGGAATTGATTATTTGACCAAGACTTTGACAGGAATGGTGTGCTTTCGTTTAAGGAATCAAACTTAACTTATGGAGCCAATAAAGCCCTTGGGAAAACTGGCCTCACATTTTGTGTACACAGTCCCTGTACAGGATTTCTTACCTGTGGTAAGTAAAGAATGTCACTTTCTGGGGCCAGGAGTGGTGGCTCATGCCTGTAATCCCAGCACTTTGGGAGGCCAACGCGGGAGGATCACCTGAGGTCAGGAATTCAAGACTAGCCTGATCAAAAAAAAAAGGATGTCACTTTCTGACAGGCACAGAGGCCCCAGGTTTATGTTTATCTTGGAACTTGAAAGGAGAGGAAATTCCATCCAACTCATGGGTATTTGATGGCACAAATCCATGGCTGGGCAGGGCTTTAAAAAGTCTTACCTGAGATTCCTCTTATGGGACAAAATAAATTATTCTTGCTGCACTGTATACAAATATTTAGGCCAAGTATAATAAGCAAACAAGTCATACCATGATTTGTCTTTAGTAAAATGGGAAATTGGAGAGAGAATAAAATCATGTTTCAAAACGAATGTTCACCTGTTGTTAGATTCTAGTCTTAACTGTTTTTTTGTTTGTTTGCTTCCAATTTTTATGATTTTCTACAGTTTGGAATGAATTTTTCTTGGCTACAAGTCTTCAAATTAAGTTTTCAATTTTTTTCCTTCTTTTTTTTCATTTTCCTAATTTGGAGTCACTGAAAACTAAGCTGTGTGTTTTTTTTTTTTTTTTTGAGACAGAGTCCCGCTCTGTCACTCAGGCTGGAGTGCAGTGGCAGGGTCTCAGCTCACTGAACCTCCGCCTCTCAGGTTCACGCCATTCTCCTGCCTCAGCCTCCTGAGTAGCTGGGACTACAGGCAACCACCACCACGCCCGGCTATTTTTTTTTTGTATTTTTAATAGAGATGGGGTTTCACCGTGTTAGCCAGAATGGTCTCGATCTCCTGACCTCGTGATCTGCCCGCCTCGGCCTCCCAAAGTGCTGGGATTACAGGAGTGAGCCACTGCAATCGGCCACTGTGGTTTCTTTTCTTTTTTTTTTCTTTTTTTTTTTTAATTATTATTTTTTTATTGATCATTCTTGGGTGTTTCTCGCAGAGGGGGATTTGGCAGGGTCACAGGACAATAGTGGAGGGAAGGTCAGCAGATAAACAAGTGAACAAAGGTCTCTGGTTTTCCTAGGCAGAGGACCCCACGGCCTTCCGCAGTGTTTGTGTCCCTGGGTACTTGAGATTAGGGAGTGGTGATGACTCTTAACGAGCATGCTGCCTTCAAGCGTCTGTTTAACAAAGCACATCTTGCACCGCCCTTAATCCATTTAACCCTGAGTGGACACAGCACATGTTTCAGAGAGCACAGGGTTGGGGGTAAGGTCACAGATCAACAGGATCCCAAGGCAGAAGAATTTTTCTTAGTATAGAACAAAATGAAAAGTCTCCCACGTCTACATCTTTCTACACAGACATGGCAACCATCCGATTTCTCAATCTTTTCCCCACCTTTCCCACCTTTCTAGTCCACAAAACCGCCATTGTCATCATGGCCCGTTCTCAATGAGCTGTTGGGTACACCTCCCAGACGGGGTGGTGGCCGGGCAGAGGGGCTCCTCACTTCCCAGTAGGGGCAGCCGGGCAGAGGCGCCCCTCACCTCCCGGACGGGGTGGCTGGCCGGGCGGGGGGCTGACCCCCCCAACTCCCTCCCGGCCGGGGCGGGGGGCTGACCCCCCAACCTCCTTCCCGGACGGGGCGGCTGGCCGGGCGGGGGGCTGACCCCCCCACCTCCCTCCCGGACGGGGCGGCTGGCCGGGCAGAGGGGCTCCTCACTTCCCAGTAGGGGCGGCCGGGCAGAGGCGCCCCTCACCTCCCGGATGGGGCGGCTGGCCAGGCGGGGGGCTGACCCCCCCCCACCTCCCTCCCGGACGGGGCGGCTGGCCGGGCAGAGGGGCTCCTCACTTCCCAGTAGGGGCGGCCGGGCAGAGGCGCCCCTCACCTCCGGGATGGGGCGGCTAGCCAGGCGGGGGGCTGACCCCCCCACCTCCCTCCCGGACGGGGCGGCTGGCCGGGCGGGGGGCTGACCCCCCCACCTCCCTCCCGGATGGGGCGGCTGGCCGGGCGGGGGGCTGACCCCCCAACCTCCCTCCCGGACGGGGCGGCAGGCCGGGCGTGGGGCTGATCCCCCCACCTCCCTCACGGACGGGGCGGCTGGCTGGGCAGAGGGGCTCCTCACTTCCCAGTAGGGGTGGCCGGGCAGAGGCGCCCCTCACCTCCCGGATGGGGCGGCTGGCCAGGCGGGGGGCTGACCCCCCCACCTCCCTCCCGGACGGGGCGGCTGGCCGGGCGGGGGGCTGATCCCCCCTCCCCTCACGGATGGGGTGGCTGGCCGGCCAGAGGGGCTCCTCACTTCCCAGTAGGGGCGGCCGGGCAGAGGCGCCCCTCATCTCCCGGACGGGGCGGCTGGCCGGGTGGGAGGCTGTCCCCCCCACCTCCCTCCCGGACGGGGCGGCTGGCCGGGCGGGGGGCTGACCCCCCCACCTCCCTCCCGGACGGGGCGGCTGGCCGGGCGGGGGGCTGACCCCCCCACCTCCCTCCAGGACGGGGCGGCTGGCCAGGCGGGGGGTTGACCCCCCCATCTCCCTCCTGGACGGGGTGGCTGCCGGGCGGAGACCCTCCTCACTTCCCAGACAGGGTGGCTGCCGGGCGGAGGGGCTCCTCACTTCTCAGACAGGGCGGCTGCTGGGCGGAGGGGCTCCTCACTTCTCAGACGGGGCGGCCAGGGAGAGACGCTCCTCACATCCCGGACGGGGCGACAGGGCAGAGGCGCTCCCCACATCTCAGACGATGGGTGGCCGGGCAGAGAGGCTCCGCACTTCCTAGATGGGATGGCGGCCGGGAAGAGGCGCTGCTCACTTCCTAGATGGGATGGCGGCTGGGCAGAGACGCTCCTCACTTTCCAGACTGGGCAGCCAGGCAGAGGGGCTCCTCACATCCCAGACGATGGGCGGCCAGGCAGAGACGCTCCTCACTTCCCAGACGGGGTGGCGGCCGGGCAGAGGCTGCAATCTCGGCACTTTGGGAGGCCAAGGCAGGCTGCTGGGAGGTGGATGTTGTAGCGAGCCGAGATCACGCCACTGCACTCCAGCCTGGGCACCATTGAGAGACTCCGTCTGCAATCCCAGCACCTCGGGAGGCCGAGGCTGGCAGATCACTCACGGTTAGGAGCTGGAGACCAGCCCGGCCAACACAGCGAAACCCCGTCTCCACCCAAAAAATACGAAAACCAGTCAGGCGTGGCGGCGCGTGCCTGCAATCGCAGGCACTCGGCAGGCTGAGGCAGGAGAATCAGGCAGGGAGGTTGCAGTGAGCCGAGATGGCAGCAGTACAGTCCAGCTTCCGCTCGGCATCAGAGGGAGACCGTGGAGGGAGAGGGGGAGGGGGAGGGGGAGGGGAGGGGGAGGGGGAGGGGGAGCCACTGCAATCGGCC